>NC_000004.12:47789803-48099227 GCF_000001405.40 Homo sapiens | reverse complement strand
TTTACTTATGAAGCTTTTTATTTCTGTGAATTAATTTTGTAACTGATAATTTTGGTGAATTCTCATGTTTTATGTAGTAGGTTTTCAGTTGATTCTCTTGGGCTTCCAGTATACAATCAGCAGCCAACAGTGATGATTTCAGCTCCTCTTTTATAATTTTAATATAGTACTTTTAATTTTTGCCTCTCACTTAGTTGAATTGGCTAGTGTCTCCAGAACAGTATGAAATGCCAGTGATGATAGTTAGTGGGCATTATTTCTTTTTTCCCATTTTTTTTTTGTTTGTATGTTTGTTTTTTGACAGTCTTGCTCTGTTGCCCAAACTGGAGGGCAGTGGCGCAATCTCAGCTCACTGCAGCCTCTGCCTCCCGGGTTCAAGCAATTCTCGTGCCTCAGTCACCCAAGAAGCTGGGATTACAGGCATTTTCAGTAGAGGCAGAGTTTTGCTATGTTGGCCAGGTTGGTCTCGAACTCCTGGCCTCAAGTGATCTGCCTGCCTCGGTCTCCCAAAGTGCTGGGATTACAGGCATGAGCCACTGCGTCCGGCCCTTTTTCAGATTTTATTTGGAATGATTTCCACATATAGCACGATGCTGGATTTGAGACTAAAGTGAGTAAGTGCTATTGTGTTAAGGAAGTACACACGCATTCCTATTTTATTGAGAATTTTTAAAAATTGATACTAGAAGTTGAAATTTGTCAAATGGCTTTTCAACATCTCTAGGGATGTTCGTGTGGTTTTTCTCCTTAGCGCTGCTATATATGTTGGTGCAAAAGTAACTGTGGTTTTAATAGAAAAAAACACAATTACTTTTGCACAAACCTAATAATATGATAAATTATGTTAATAAAATCCCAAATACTGAATTATTCTTACATTCATCATGCAATTCTTCTTGGTCATGGTATATCATTCGTTTGTGCCATGGGATTTATTTCTTAACATTTTATTTAGAATTTTTACATTGATAAGACTGGTCAGTAGTTTTCTCTTTTGTGCACAGTTCTGGCGGTGCTGTTGATTATTGATATTAAGCTCATTTTTTACATACAAACTGAAAAGTTTTTCTTCTTTTCATGTCATGTGCTGTGGCATAGTTTCATCTCTATACCATTTTTTTCTTTAAGGTTCGGTACATTGTAATGTGTGACTATAGTACTGTTTAAATGTGGGAGCTTTTGGCCGGGCGTGGTGGCTCATGCCTGTAATCCCAGCACTTTGGGAGGCCGAGGCGGGCGGATCGCAAGGTGAGGAGATCGAGACCATCCTGGCTAACACGGTGAAACCCCGTCTCTACTAAAAATACAAAAAATTAGCTGGGCGTGGTGACGGGCGCCTGTAGTCCCAGCTACTCGGGAGGCTGAGGCAGGAGAATGGCGTGAACCCAGGAGGCAGAGCTTGCAGTGAGCCGAGATGGCGCCACTGCACTCCAGCCCGGGCAACAGCGCGAGACCCCGTCTCAAAAAAAAAAAAAAAAATGTGGTAGCTTTTGGCTGGGTGCAGTGGCTCACGCCTGTAATCCCAGCACTTTGGTAGGCTGAGGCGGGCAGATCTCAAGGTCAAGAGATCGAGACCATCCTGGCCAACATGATGAAACCCTGCCTCTACTAAAAATACAAAAATTAGCTGGGCATGGTGGCAGGCGCCTGTAGTCAGGAGTTACTCAGGAGTTTGAATTTACTCAGGAGGCTGAGGCAAGAGAATCGCTTGAATCCTGGAGGTGGAGCTTGCAGTGAGCCGAGATGGCGCCACCGCACTCCAGCCTGGCGACAGAGTGGGACTCCGTCTCAAAAAAAAAAAAAAAGTGGTAGCTTTTTAAAAACCCAATCAATTTTTCTACTCAACAGGTCCATTAAGATTCCTAACTCTTCTGCATTCAATTTTGATAAATTTTATGTCTTACTAGTTTATTATCCATTTCATTCGAGTTTCCAAATTTATTGTATAGAATCAAGTAAATTCCTTAATTTTTACTGGATCCTTGATAATTTTCTCCTTGTGACTTATTATTTTTGATTGATTTTCACCATTATTTAGTGATTAGGTTAATTAGCAGTTTATCTATTATTTTTCCCTAAGCAACCAGATTTTGAATTTACTAGTCATATTATATTCTTACTTTAATAATTTATTATTTTATGTTTTGTCTTTATTAATTTATTTCTTCTACTTGATTTGGGCTTATTTTATAGTTTTTAATCCTAATTTCTTGAGTTGAATATGCTTATTTTTATTGCTATTGCTTGTTGATATAAGTAATAAGACTATAAATTTATTTTTCTGAGTACTGCTTGAACTGCATAGCAGAGGTGCTAATATGTGATGTTTCCTTATTACTTTCTAGATATTCTTCGCTTTTATTTGAATTTCTTTGAGCTATATGAAAGAGAATTTAAAAGGCCGGGCATGGTGGCTCACGCCTGTAATCCCAGCATTTTGGGAGGCTGAGGTGGGCATATCACTTGAGGTCAGGATTTCGAGACCAGCATGGCCAACACGGTGAAACCTTGTCTCCACAAAAAATACAAAAATTAGCCAGGCATGGTGGCATGTGCCTGTAATTCCAGCTACTGGGGAGGCTGAGGCAGGAGAAAAGGAGAACGGCTTGAACCTGGGAGGTGGAGGTTGCAGTGAGCCGAGATCATGCCATTGCACTCTAGCCTGGGTGACGAAGCGAGACTCCATCTCAAAAAAATAAAAGAAAGAAAGAGAAAGAAAATTTAAAAATCTTTAGGTGATAGGAGCTTTTTTAGTTTTCAGTTTGCTATTAATTTCTGGTTTTATTGCTTTGTAGTCAGGAAATCTTGCTTGTACCCTTTCTACTTTGTTTCTATAAAGCTATCACTACATATGCAACTTTATATGCATATTATATATACTTGTTTGTGTGTATTATATACATATACACAATACATTCAACTTTACTTTTTCATCTTTGTCTTTTACATCTTGTGTCCTCTGTGGTATGTAACAGTACCCTTGTACATTGTAGGAATATAGTAAAAGCTAGATTTTATTATTTCGAATGGCTGCAAGAGATTCTTTGGTTAAAACAATTTGACCAGGGAATAAGGCTTATATCTGGGTGAATATCTGGAATGAGAAGGAGAAGACTCTACTTAATGTAGTACGTTTACCTTGAGGGTCAGACCATGCTATTTGGGTTCTGCAATTCTCAAGCACAATGTAAATAATACCAGCACTTTATAAGTGTAAGCTTCTATGGGTTTGACAAGATTCTGAGATGTATTTTCCCTCTTCATGAGCATAAGCACACTCAGTAAAGCTAAATCATTTTACAATATCAAACAAACGAATCTAAACAATGCAACATTCAAGATTCTTTGAAAGCAATTTACAGCTTTATTGGCATCTCCCAAAGAATGTTAATAGGAATCTAATTTATAACATAACTTCAGATTTACTATCATGTTCTCCCTTTTACCACTTCTTTTTATCTTCCCATACCCCTACTGCAACTAATATGGTTCCTTTTGCTTTTCTTTTCAGACTCCCCCATATCTGTTCTTTCTTTCTACTTCCCATGAACTCTGGTGTCCTTCCCCACGCCCTGCTTGCCCAGCTGTGTTCCTCCCTGTCACCTTGTTGCTCTTCTTCCAAAGTACAATCCGGTCAGTCTGTCTTAGTGTTCTTCCTATTCTACAGTGATTTTTAATCTATTATTCTGGTCAATATAACAAAAATAAGCAGTAGGGTACAAGGTTTTCAAATAGAGAATTTTTCTTAGAAAAATCAGTAACAGTATTCTAAAGTACATTATAAATGCATGTCCCAATTACAATTTATTTTATAGGTGTGACTTCTAAATCTATAAGGGAGATAAGATTTTGTGTACTTGTAAAGACAATCTAATTCTTCATATTAATAATATAGCAGGTCACTTATTTATGGTAAGTCAATATAGCTTTGATTTTCATCCCTGAGTTGTAGGTTTGTCTTTCTAAGAAGGAATAGACTTATTCAATAAATGATTTTTTTTGCAGTCTAAAGAAGGTGCATTTATTGTCAGAGATTCAAGACATTTAGGATCCTACACAATTTCCGTATTTATGGGAGCTAGAAGGTAAGCACTTGTGATTTTGGTTACTATAGAAATAATCCCTGGCACAGTCTCCATCACATAGAGAATGTTAGTGAGAGCTTAGCTTAGGGAAAAGATTGTTGACCTGGAAGTTAGAAAAACCAACCAGTCCGTGATATATCCCTAGCATGCTCTGTGTGACATTGCATAAGTTTCTTAACCTCTCCCGTCTTCCTTTTCTCAACCATAAAGTAAAGAGGGGGAGATTAGTTGTAGTAGACGCTGTTGGGCGCTTTCCTCATATCCCTTGGTCTGTTCTGGGATTCACTTGCAGAAAAGTCTCTTGCACTCAGAAAGCTTCCTGTGTCTGTCTGCCTGAGGATGTTCTCTGGCTGTGGGAACTTGTGCGCCCCGTGGCTAAGCTGAAAGTGCCTGAGAGGTAACATCCCAGGAGCAATGCTAGGTTAAAGAGAATGGGAGTTGGTGGATAAATATCTCAGCTTCTTTGCACTTCAGTGGGACAATTGTGAGGTGTGTTCCCCAGTCTCTCCTAGGTTCCTACAAGTATTGAGCCCCAATTGCCCATAGTAGTAACCTACTAACTAATGCACCTGGCATTGGTTTTTCCTCCCTTCTTGTCTCCCATCTCCAATTGCTTACAGTGCATGTGTTCATTCATTTAACCAATACTTGATATTCAATATGTACTTACATGTATTCATTATGAGATCTACTTTTCTGAACACTGGTCTTGTCACTCAGACAACTTTGGCTGAAGTTATGTTTGAATCTAAGGCCCCAATAATGTAGTTGAGGAATTTTCTTGGCATGGGGGGGCACTTGTTGAATTTAGCCAATCTACTTCTCAGTGTAGTGTTGCTAGGATGAGTTTTAGAACTGGAGTCCTGTTGTTTAATGAGTTGGCTTAGATCCAAATTGATCTTTCACATTTCTAGTAATTCACATTTTCTTGATTGTAGAAGTACGGAGGCTGCCATAAAACATTATCAGATAAAAAAGAATGACTCAGGACAGTGGTATGTGGCTGAAAGACACGCCTTTCAATCAATCCCTGAGTTAATCTGGTATCACCAGCACAATGCAGCCGGTAAGAGGGGAACTTCCAGCTGGGTGAGTCAGGGAGCCATGCCCTTGATGGGCAATGCATCTTTGGTATCAGGCACTCAACAGGAGCAAATCTCCCTATAGAAATAGTTTAAAAGCTTGAAGTACAACTTATCTTTTGAGCAATTATCTTTCTTATTGATGCCTCTTCATTTTTCTGGTTGGTTGGGGGCAAGAGGTAGGTCAATTTCTTATATTTCTACCAGGTTAGAAAAATGATAGATGACAGAGAAGCAAATAGTCATCAATCATTATGCATTTGTTCTGGAAATTTACATAGGGCTAAATGTAATAAGATTTCAAATACCCTAAATAATGATGCTTCTTTCCCTTTGCCCCCATAAATCTGCTCTCTACTTTTGACGATTGTAATAGAAAATCACCCTTATATCTCTCACTCTCTGTTCTTTCTTGTTTGGAGAATATAAAAAGTCACAGAGAACACAGCCTTTCACAGTTACAATTTAGCCTAACTATACCAGAGGCATATTTAACCCATCTCCCCAGACATTGTTTGCAATAATTGCTCTTTGTGCAAACCTATCATCTGTGGAAAGATGTAGGATCCCAGAAAGTTCCACCACAATTAAAATCACCTCTCTGGCCTTCAGCCCTTGCCCAACCTGTGCTGAACCACTCTGAGCCCATGGGGAATCTTCTTATCTCAGCATTGCAGAATTCAGAATCCACGGTAACTTTTCATGTCATTTTGACTGCTTGTCATGCATGCACTTCTTTTTTAGATTTCTCTCATGAAAAGTGTTGACAAATATTCCTTTTGGAAAGAGCTCACTTTTCCATTACACTGGTTCTAAGTATCAGGAATATATCAAAGGACATTTTTATCCACTTGTGGGATGCATCCACATGGCTATTCACTGGAATTTTGGTTAAGGAGTGAGGGTAAAATATCTGGGTGGGGCAATAAAGGTCTTAGTTGTAGCTAGAGATAGAGTCAAGATGTCAGTTCTGAGTTTTCTCCTTTATATTCCTCTTTCTCCTTCCTCCAAAGAAAAAAGAAAGAGTGGTTTTGGTGATAAGGTTAAATGAGGTTAGATGAGGGCTTTAACCTGAACTAGGTGTTAGAGTCACGGTGAGCATCCATTCCTGTTCCCTGTTCAAACTTTTACCATTCTCAAGACTCCTTTACCAAAATTAACCACTGCCTTATTAGCAAATCCCCTGTCTGTGTACCTCACTAGGAAAAGTGAAGTCACCAGGCATGAGCGACCTCCGTCTCCTCTTCTGTCCCCATGCCCTCTCATCCTCATTCCCTCCAGTAGTAGTGAGGGCATGCCTGTGCTCTTGCCCTTACCTGCCATCCACTGTTCCTTTCTCTCCTGTATCTCTTCCATTCTTCTGACTGTCTCCCTTTAGCTTTTAACCCTATAAACATGCTTAAGACTTTCTTATCCTAAAAACAAAAACAACTCTCCTCCTGCTGCCCTAACTCTTTCTCCCTTTACACATTGCTCTTGTAAGTCACACTTTTGGAAAAATGTGTCCACATCCATTGTCTCCACTCTCTCACTTTCCATTTACTTTTTAAACATCTATGATCTGTCTTCTGCTTTCAACACTCCATATTTGACCAGTGGCCCCTATATTGACAGTACAGTGGTGCTTTCTAGTTCTCATGTGTTCAGGTCCTCTCTGCTACATTTGGCAGTGTCACTTGTTGCTCCTTCGATGTTTGACACCACCCCTTTTTGGCCTTCTCTAACTCAATAGTTCCTAATGGATCTTCCCAATGTGCCCTACTTCTATTCTTCCCTTAAATATTGGTTTTCCTCCAGAATCCGTCCCTGATCACTACTCTTCTCACCTTAGGCATCTCCCTTTGCATAATCTTCTGTCTGGTAGACAAAGGCACTTGCAATCCCGCAGGCCCTGAACTTCACTGATGAAGTAGGATGCTTCATCTTACACCATTACTCTCCCTCCAAATGTCCTCTTTCTTTTCTCTCTCTCAGATAATACTAGCATCATCCAGCCCCTTGTAGGGGTTGGAAGCATAGGAATTAAATAGATGCTTCTTAATAGCTCACTTCTGATTAATTATCAAATGCAATTGATTTCATATCCTAAATGTGTCTCCTATAGATCCCTGCCTCTCCCTACCTTCTAGTGCTGCCCTGATCATTGCTCACTTGGACAACTGCAGTAGCCTCTTAACTGGTCTTATTGCCTCCAATGTTGATTTCCCCTTAATCCATTCTGCTAGTACCAGAGTGATCTATCAGAAATGTAAATCTGGCTGGGTGCAGTGGCTCATGCCTGTAATTACAACACTTTGGGAGGCCAAGGTGGGTGGATCACCTGAGGTCAGGAGTTTAAGACCAGCCTGGCCAACATGGTGAAACCCCATCTCTACTAAAAATACAAAATTATCCAGTCATGGTGGCGCATGCCTGTAATCTCACCTACTCGAGAGGCTGAGGCAGGAGAATCGCTTGAACCTGAGAGGCGGAGGTTGCAGTGATCCAAGATCACACCATTGCACTCCAGCCTGGGCAACAAGAGTGAAACTCCATCTCAAAAAAAAAAAAGAAAAGAAAAAGAAATGTAAATCTGACTGTGCCCTCCTACTTGGGACTTTTCAATAGCTTCCTCTCACCTGCAGGAAAATGTAATGCTTCCTAGCGTGGCTTATGAGTCCCATCATACCCAGAATACTGCTTACCTCTGCAGTGCAATTTGTCTGGCTCTACCTCCTGAGTTTTGCTCAAGTACCCACCATCATGCTTCACATTTCTAAGTTTCATCTCATGCGTTACCTCTGCTTAGAAAGTCCTTCATAGTTTCTCCCCATGGGTTAACTCCATGTGTTAGTTTCATCTCAGTCATTTCCTCCCAAAGAATTCTTCGAGTCCAACAATGTGTCAAGTGCTCTTTTTCTACATCCCAAGGCACCCTATATGCATCTCCAGCAGAATACTTATTCCTTTCACATTAGAATGGCCTCTCTCTGCCTGTCTTCTCTCACTGAGATAGAGCTCCCTGTGGGCAGAGTCCTCATCTTACTCATCTTGGAATCTGCTGGAATCTTTGGGAATCTACCTAGAAGAGTGCCTTGCACACAATAGGCACTTAATATGTGCTTCTTTTTGTTCTTACACTGGTCAAGCTCGTTTCTGTCTTCCAGCATTTACACATGCTGTTCCATCTACCTGGAAGGCTCTTCATCAATCAACGTCAGCGTAGCTGTCATCTTGTCTGAAAGGCCTTCCCTGAGCACCCACTCTAAAGTAATTATATGTTATCCGGTCTGCCTTGCACTTAATCATCATTATCTACTTTTTCTTGTGTGTGCATGCCCTTGTTATTTTCTCTTCCTCTCACTAGAATGTAATCATGAGAGCAAGACCGAATCATCAGTCTTGTTCCCTACTGTCTCCCAACATCTAGATAGTGTTTTATTGAAAGCTTTTATTGAAAGCGCATACCAGGCTTTTAATAAATATTAGCTGAACAAATAAATAATAAATGATTATTAAACTAAGTTGAAACGTAAGGTATATGCCTAAGTGGGTCACTGAAAGGAAAAAAAGAGACATTTGATGTATAGAAATCTATATGTTAACCCAATTAAATGAAGTCTCATTTACTCTACCATGCTATTAAAAATCAAATAAACAAAGATTATACAAAATGGGCACACTTCAACACCGTTGGTGGTTGAATAAATTAGTACATCCTTTCTGGACACGCTTTGACCTGGAAATCACATTTTATAAGGTGATAATTTGAGAAGTACAGACAAATGTATGTTCAAGGACATATGGCATATTTTATAATAGCGAAATCTTGGAAATAAATTTAAGCTCTGTTTATAGTCAATGACATATATCAATTACGTGCATAGTGCAAAAAGCTTTTAACAAAATATTTATATTTCTGCAAAATATATTGGATGTGTTCATGTTTTCAATTATGCACATAGTGATTTTTGCAAAAATATTCACCAAGATGATAACAATCTATCTGTGAATACTAAGATTTTGTGAGGGATTTTTTAGGGTCATCTTTATACTTCCTTAGATTCTTTAAATTGTATACAATGAGTATATATTTTTTTTTGGAAAATGTGGGAAAATAAGCAAACTGCTGACTAACTGGTAGAATGAATTTTGTTTGTCTAATTATTTAAAGAATGGTACTGTCTTCTAGAATATTTCATTCTTTCTTCTATATTAGCAACTAGGCTTGAAATATTGATTTCTCTTTCTCCTTAGGTCTCATGACTCGTCTCCGATATCCAGTTGGGCTGATGGGCAGTTGTTTACCAGCCACAGCTGGGTTTAGCTACGGTAAAGTGTGCACACATGCTGAAGTAAAATAGCAAATCCAGTAGTAAAGAATCTACCTGGCTGGGTGCGGTGGCTCACAGCTGTAATCCTAGCACTTTGGGAGGCAAAGGTGGGTGGATCACCTTAGGTCAGGCGTTCAAGACCACCCTGGCCAAAATGGTGATACCCCGTCTCTACTAAAAATACAAAAAATTAGCCGGGTTTGGTGGTGGATGCCTGTAATCCCAGCTACTTGGGAGGCTGAGGCAGGAGAATCGCTTGAACCCAGGAGGCAGAGGTTACAGTGAGCTGAGGTCATGCCACTGCACTCCAGCCTGGGCAGCAGAGTGAGACTCTGTCTCAAAAAAAAAGGAAAAAAAAAAAAGAATCTAGTTCCCTATTGATTCTTTGAACTCTCAGCACTTCCGAAATGTCTATCTAGAAACATTTCTTCTCAAAGTTTACATCACCCTTCTGAGATGTTTAAATATGTGCATCTCATAAGGACAATTTAAACTTTGGGGAGAAATGCTTCCGTTTGACTTCAGATTTCACTGTTACATTACCAGGAGCCTTAATCTTCACCCTTTTGATAAATTACAATTCTTTTTATTTGGATGTTTGGGTTGTTGTTCTTTGGTTTCAAGGGTGCCTGGGAAATGATTCCTCTCCAAGAGAAGCTACTAAAAAGAGCTGCTGAAAGTATCGTCTTCATCTTTTTTTTTGTTTCTAATAGAACATGCACAAAGTTCAATTTGAACCACTTTCTAGCAAATGTGGTATTTGTAAATCTGTGAGAATACGTAAGTGCCAGGGAATCCTATTTTCTAATTTGGTGACATTTTATTCCTTTAAACTTCTCTCAATAGTGGGATTCAGAATGTACTGAAAAAATTAATAACACAATATATTGGGAAAAAAGTAACTGGGACTCAGGATCTCATTAAGTTAAGTGGGATGGAAGCAAGATTTCTGGCTATTATTGGTGCCTGTATTATTCCTCTGGCCCACAGATAGTATATATAATACAAAGTTCTACCATTAACAATTTACTTAAGTTAAACATGATTCTTTTTAATTTCTTAAAAATAAACTTAAAAAATTTAAAAACAAATAGAATAGTGTACAACTCATAAGTCTATAGATTGATTTGTTTTGCCTGGTTTGATTACGTTATATAAACAGAATCGGACGCTGCAGTTTTTTGTGTCTGGCTTCCTCCTCACCTCATTACATCTGTGAGTTTCATCCATGGTCCTGGGTGGGGTTGGTTTATTTTCACTGTGGTGCAGTGCTACACTGCATGACATACCACAACTGATTTAGCCATGCTTCTTGTAGATGGCCATTCGGGTTGTTACCAATTTTTGGCTCTTACAAATAATATTGTTAAGAACATTTTTGTGTGTGTTTTGATGAAGTTAAGTGCACATTTACATTCCAGCATATGTTGGATATGTGCTTAAGTGTACACCTGCTGGGTCATAGGCTATGCATATGTTTAGATGTAGTAGATACAGTCAGTTTTCTAAAGAGCTTATACCAAATTACACTCCCATCAACAATATGTAAGTTCTAGCGGCTCCATACCTTTGCCCTTGCCAATATTTTATTCTAGGTTTTTTTTTACATGTTAGCCAATCTGGTGTGTCGTAGTATCTCATTATGGTCTAAATTTACATTTCCCTGATGACTAATTATTTTTATCAATTTGGCTTAGTGGCCATTTGGATATTCTCTTCATAAGAGAATACTCCATTCACATTTTTTACCCTTAAAAAAGTTAGGGTATATGTCTTCTCTAGTTGATTTATTTATATTCAGAATAAGAATTCTATGTTGGTTGTATATTTTAGAAATATCTTCTGTGGCTTAACTTTTTACTTTCTTAATGGGGGTATTTTTGATGAACAGAAGTTTTATGAAGTATAATTTATCAATATTTTTCTTTGTGGTTATATTCTGTTGAATAAATTTATGCCAATTCCAAGGCCATGAATATATCCTCCCATGTTACTTTTAAAACATACCTATGAGGCCGGGTGTGGTGGCTCATGCCTATAATCCCAGCACTTTGGGAGACTGAGGTGGGCAGATCGCCTGAGCTCAGGAGTTTGAGACCAGGCTAGGCAACATGGTGAAACCTTGTCTCTACTGAAAATACAAAAAATTATCAAGGCGTGATGGCGTGCCTGTAATCCCAGCTACTTGGGAGGCTGAGGCAGGAAAATCACTTGAACCTAAGAGGTGGAGCTTGTAGTCAGCTGAGATCGTGCCACTGCACTCCAGCCTGGGTGAGAGAGTGAGACCCTTCCTCCAAAAAAAAAAATAATAATAATAATAAAATAAAACATACCTTCTATAGGGAGGGGGAATACTTTGCATAGCTGGTAGAAGGGACTATCAGATTTTACAATTCTTTTAAATGCATTATTCAAAAGTTCCAGCAGATGGTGGTATTGCTGTATTAAAAGGAGACACTAAACCATTAAGTTTGGTACAGTTTTCAAGAGGGTTATTTTAAAAACAGTTTATTTTTTCCTGATTTGCTTCTATAAAATGAGAAATATACAGTAAAAATTTCACTTCAGCTATACTCTTAGATATATGTGGGTTAGATTTCTAACACTGAATTTGTTTATTAGATGATTTCATTGGACTTTTCCCTAAGAAGAAAAAGTATCAAGGGAGAAAAGCCCTTTAGGAATGGAGTGAGAAGACCAACAGGAAGAACTGAAATCACAGTTTTATTTGCCTTACAAGTTTACTCACCAGGAAAAAAAAACCAGACTGGGAACATAAATATTTTGGGTCCCAGGTCTAGTTTTGGTAGGTTTAGTTTAGAAAGGCACAGAAGTGTGTTCGCTGTTGTCTTTGGGAGCAGAGAGTGCATTTTGTTATCCTTAATTTGTTATACAAACATCACCAAATAAATAAAGTTTGTGTTTTGAAACTTGAGTCCTTGAATTACGTTTAAGCCACAGTGAGAGTATTAAAATGGCTTCATATCCTCTCCACTTTATACATTTTTTAACCTCTCTGTCAAATAATAGATACTTCCTAAACATTTTCCAGCCCTAATATTTTAACAGTCTTTCTTTCTACTTGTAACATGGATGTTTTACTTTTTCAGAAAAGTGGGAGATAGATCCATCTGAGTTGGCTTTTATAAAGGAGATTGGAAGCGGTCAGTTTGGAGTGGTCCATTTAGGTGAATGGCGGTCACATATCCAGGTAGCTATCAAGGCCATCAATGAAGGCTCCATGTCTGAAGAGGATTTCATTGAAGAGGCCAAAGTGATGATGTACGTATAAACAACACCCTGATAAATATCATACCATGCCCTGGTGTCATGGAAACAACATGAGCTTTGGAGGCAGCCACACCTGGATTTGTGTCACAACTTTGCTCAAGCTCATTGTGTAACCCAGGCACATTATTTGACCACTGTGTGACCTGGGTGAATTATTTCACCTTTCCAAGCCTCAATGTCTTCATCTATAAAATGGGATGAAAGTACCTACCTCACTGGATCAATGTGTGAATTAAATAAGAGAATTTATGTAAGTGATGAGACAGGAGAATTCCCTTGACACCTTTGCAGAATGCCTTGTGAAGAGGGTGGCTCATTTACTCAGCCGCTGTGTGCTCAAATCCCTTACGGGAGGAGGAGCATGCAGGTGAGCCAGGGTGAGTGCTTTTGGGCTCTGGCCCCACGACAGTGTCTAGAGGTGTTACAATGCTCTTTTAGCTTTTCTGTCTGCAGATGGCTAAGTGTTAACCACCTCAGTGGAAAGTCAGGGTGACAGCCTTTTGCATCCTGCCCTCTTGATACCTGGGTCCTTGTATGGCATCCAGGAAGAATCAGGTCACACGGACTTGAAGGATGGTGAATGCAGAGATTTTATTGAGTGATGGAGATGGCTCTCAGCGGGATGCATGGGGAGCTGGAAATGGGATGGAGTGGGAAGATGATCTTCCCTGGGAGTTTGACCATCCTGCAGCCGATCTCGTCTCTGACTGCCCCCAGCAGAACTCCTCTCAATGTTTAGACACTCCTCCTCTTCTCTTCTTCTCTGCTGCACTGCTCTGTCACCTGCCAATGGAGCTTGGGGTTTATATGGGCACAGTACAGGGGTGTGGCAGGCTAGAGCAGTCTTGGAAAGGGCAGCATCTGGGCACAAAAATAAAAATGCCTGTTCCCATTTAGGGCAGCAGGTTTCCAGGCTTGAAGGTGGGGATTTTGCTGGGGAACTGCCCGCTTCTACCTAGTATTTCCCTGCCTCCTGTTGGTATCAGTGACAAGCAAGTGTGTTCTTTTCAGCTCAATAATAGGTGCTTTACAAGTACTCTTTTTTTTTTCCTTTTCCCAGAAGCAGAAATGATGGTTATGTCTTAGTAGTGATACACTACTCATCTCTTGAAAGGGCATCCTCCGGTGGCCAAAAAGAGTTAATGGTTTTTTAAGGATAAAAAAGTATTTGCTTTCAGAGGACATAAGGGTCCAGAGCTTTAAAAGAAGTGGCTCTTTGTAGACCATTGGACACAACTCTTCTGTGATTTCCCGGGACAGCATTTTGACTCAGTTGAACCCATTTCTGTGGCTCATTAACTTTAACAACCTGAGCAGGACCAGGACAGGCCAATAATTTGACCATAGTTCAAATTAACATTCTTTAAATATTTGTTCAACATTTATTTAGAGGAACAGCAATGCTGTGAAGAAGAAAAACTCCAGATGACATTATTTAGATTCTGCTCTGTTTTCCAGAGAAATTTAGTTCTGACCCGCACTTGCAGACTCCAACTAGAAAAACAAACAAACAAGCAAACAACAATCAGAGGTGATTAACTGGACCCATTCTCGATTAACTGGACCCATTCTCGATTAACTGGACCCATTCTCGATTAACTGGACCCATTCTCGATTAACTGGACCCATTCTCTTTCGAAGGCAGAGCAAGTATATCCCTTGGGGCTCTCAACCCATACCCTGAGGGTCCTATCAAAATATCCTTTCCATTCACTTACAATAGAACGAATTCCAAGGGAAGTTGTTACAAACACAATTTCCCAGTGACACCAGCTTCCCAATGATGTTTTTGGGTCCCTAGGTGCCCCAGGCACCTATCTCTATCTGCCTTTGCTTCCTGTAGATATCTGCATCCTACCGTGGTTTTTCTATACCTAAAGGACAAAAATTGTATTCCTGTGTTGGATTAAATAGGCATAATAAAAAAAGAATGAATGGGAGACAAGTTATTCAGGGAGAGTTAAAAACATGTTTGACTGTCTATCAAACAAGAAAGAATTGAAGATGTTTAATGTCATAATGAGAGAATTCTTGAAAGGTACAAGCCTGATGGGGCATTTGAGGTCAGGATCTTTGAGGACAATATTTCCCCTGATTCATTCTGGGAGGCTAACATGGGAGGATCACTTGAGCCTAGGAGTTTGAAACCAACCTAGGTAACATGGCGAAACCCTGTCTCTACAAAAAAAAAACAAAAAAACTAGCCAGGCATGGTAGGGAGCACCTGTAGTCCCAGCTACTCAAGAGGCTGAGGTGGGAGGATCAATTGAGCTCAGCAAGTTGAGGCTAGAGTGAGCCATGATGGCACCACTGCACTCCAGCCTGAGTGACAGAGTGAGACCCTGTCATACACACACACACACAAATCCCTGATTTCTAAAAAAGTGAGGCAGAAAATCTTCCATTCTAACATTCTATTGCAAATATATTTATTTTTAAAATAGTTGACATGCATTGACATACTATCTACCGAGTATATATAGCTTTGCACATATTAGCTCCTTTCTGTGTGTGGTTTAAATATTACCTCTTTCAGGAGGTCTCCTCTGACTACTCTGTTTAAGTTGGCATACCCACTGCCAAATGCTTTCTGTTGTATCGCCTTGTGTTAGTTCCATCAAAGTACTTGTCATACTCTGAAGCTTCATGTGTAGTTGTTTTATTTCTCTCCCACTAGCATGCAAGCTCTCTAATAATATAACCTTTATTTATTTCTCCTGTTTAACCTGGTGAGTGTTAAAAGGATGACTAGCATGTAGTTGGTGCTTAAAAACATTTATGGACTATTGAATGAATTAATGAATCCTCACCACAACTCCAAGTGGTAGCTTCTATTAAGATCCCAACTTTATAGGTAAGAAAGAGAACATTTAGAAGGCTTATTATAAACCAAAATGTTTCTGAGACAAGTCTCAATTAATTTAAGAGTTTACTTGGCCAAGGTTAAGGACATGCCCATGACAGCCTCAGGAGGTCCTGATGATATGTGCCCAAGGTGATCGGCCTACAAAATGTAAAAATGGTTTTACACATTTTAGGAAGACATAAGACATCAATCCATCCATGTAAGGTGTACATTGGTTTGGTCTGGAAAGGCAGGACAACATGAGTGGTGAAACAGGAAAGTTTTCTGGCCCCCACTTGCAGGACATGCAACAGAGGTGTGGCTCTCTGGTCAGCCACTATGACCTTTTACAGGATGGGGAGCATGCAGATGGGCAGGTGCAGGAATCAGGGTGAGTGCTTTTGGGCTCTAGCCCAACAGCAGCATCTAGGGGTGGGTGTCTGCAACTCCCAAAGCCCAAGTGGGTCTGCGTTGTAGTGTGCTCTTTTAGCCTTGTGATCCGCAGATGGCTTAAGGGTTAACCAGCTCAGTGAACCCTCTGCCTTTTTGCAAGGGCAGGGGGCCAGTATGACAGCTTTCTGTATCTCAAGCTCTTGTCCAGTGTCCTGGAAGATCAGGTCACACACAAACTTGAAGGATGCATGTGGGATTTTATTGACTGTTGGAGGTGGCTCTCAGCAGGATGGATGGGAAGCTGGACAGGGGATGATGGGGTAGGAAGATGATCTTCCCCTGGAGTTTGGCCATCCAACAGCCGATTCTCTGACTGGTCCAGCTGAACTCCTCCTGACGTTCCTTCTTTCCTCCCCTTCTCTGCTGTACCATTCTGCTGTTTGTCTATTCATCTCCTCATCTGCTTCTGGACCTGGAGTTTGCGATTTGTATGGGTACAGGATAGGGGGCGTGGTGGGCCAAAAAGCAACTTTTGGGGCACAAAAACAGGAATGGCTGTTCTCACTTAAGGCCATAGGTATCTAGGCTTGAGGGTGAGGACTTTCCTGGGGAAACTGTCATCTTCTACCCAGTATTTCCCTGTCTCCTGTCCATATCAGTGGGGGCTTCCAAGTCATAGGCAGATTCAAAGATTTTCTGATTGACAATTGGTTGAGTTATTATCCAAAGAACTTGAATCAATGGAAAGGAATGTCTTGGTTACTCTAAAGAGTTGTGGAGACCAATACAGATGGTCTGTGTTTATTATGCAGATGAAACTTCCAGGTAGAAGGTTTCAGGGAAAATAGATTGTAAATGTTTCTTAGTAGACTTAAAGAGTCTGTTCTATCAGTCTCAGTGTCTGTGTTGATGTTAATGGTTATGAGGCATGTCCAACTCCCTCTTCCCATCGTGGCCTGAACTAGTTTTACAGGTTAATTTTAGAATGCCCTTGGCTAAGAGGAAGAGTCCATTCAGATGGTTAGGGGCTTAGAATTTTATTTTTGGTTTACATTATGTAATTTGCCTGTAGTCCCACAACAAAACATTGTTAGAGCTTCTAATTGAAATCAAAACTGTGAACTATCTGGGCACAAAAACCCTGATCTTAATGAACATAATTATCAATACACTCTTGGAAAACTAATATATGTCAGAGGGCAAGAGATGGAAAGAGGAGAATTGTTTCAGGATACATTTTTGAGATAAAGTCATCAAGACTTGCTGATAAATTGAATGTGGCAGGTAGTCGGAAGAAACCAGAGGAACAAAGATGATGCTGAGGTTTTGGTGTACATTATTATATCAGGCGAAGGATGGCACCATTTACAAAGATGGGGGAAGACCAAACGGGTTTAGGGGGAAAAATCAAGAATTCTGCTTTGGACATGTTGGATTTGAGAAGCCTGTTATTTATTAGGTGTGATCAAGTGTTGAGGTAAATATATGAGTCTGGGGTTCAGGAAAAAGGTCAGAGTGGAGGGTATTAACTTGAGAGTGATCAAAATGATATGATGATATTTAAAACCCTGAAACTTAATGCGATTACTTAGGGAAAGAGAATGATTAGAAAAGGAGAACTGGAGAAGCCTGCAAAGGGTCTGAAAATATTTAAATAACAAATTTAAATAAATTTAAATGTGTGTTTGCCCTATGATGAATCCCACATACTTCTCTAAACTGAGAAATAATGTGTATTAAGAAGTCCTAGAGTTATAACAAACAAGAATGTAGATTTTCCATTTGCATCTTTCTATGCTTGTGAGAAATATTTGTCATATTTGTTAGACTGAATCACATGCGAGAGTTTGTTTTTGCCTGATTTCTGATAAAGGTTTGCCTTATTTCTGTTAGATTTTTACCAGTGATCTTGATAAGGAAATGCAGTAACATTTCAATTCTCAAATGCTTCCATGTGGGTATCAACTTGGTGGATTTCTTGTGGCAAATTAGTATTTCATCTCAAGACTTGCTTTTCTGCACTTACTCTATATATATGTAAACTGCATCTCTTAACTGAAAGTACACTTTATGAATTCAAAAAGTAAATCAGACAAAATATATATAATATATATATATCTCCAAATTAAGATAATGTTAAGTTCTCTGAATGCCTCTCTTCCACATTAACTGGAGTGTTTTCACAAGCTAATTTTATGGTAATGAGTCAAAAATCGTTCATATACATTGTGTTAAGGTACACAGTCTTCCCAAGTCACTGATTTTATTTTACCTTTATGAATGAAAAGAATGAAAAGAAGCAATAACTTTTCAAGATGCATTTGACACAAGGTACATCTTCTAAAATTATAAGCATTAATTTGAATATTATTTTCCATGATGACTAGTTGGCATAAAAGGCTTTTAGAGATTGAATATAGTATTACACACACACGCACACAAAACCAATAAACTTTTGAAGTCTAGATAACTAAAAAGTTCTGGGTATATTTTAATAGGCAACATTCAAGTCTTTGTGTGTGTGTGTG
This sequence comes from Homo sapiens, assembly GCF_000001405.40. Taxonomy (NCBI): domain Eukaryota; kingdom Metazoa; phylum Chordata; class Mammalia; order Primates; family Hominidae; genus Homo; species Homo sapiens. The sequence continues at coordinate 48,080,690 of NC_000004.12, read as the reverse complement.
TGTGTGTGTGTGTGTGTGTGTGTGTGTGATTACCAAATACACTGCAAGTTTTCATGTTGGTAAATGTTTTTTAGTTTCCAACTTTATCTACAATTTTCCTTTTAAAGAACTTCATGCTTTAGAATTTAATTTTTGTTTTCTCTTTTAGTCACTCTTTCCTCCCTCTTGTCTGTCCAGAATTTTTCATCTGGACAGCTGCAGGTAAGAAAGTTGGAATTCAAGGAACAGGAAAGGAAATCTGCTTGACCTAGCAAGGATAAACAGTGATGAAGAAACAAAAGGATTATAAAATGAAGAGGAGAAACATAAAATGCTTACGCGTAGAATATAGTGTATATTCTGTCTCCACTCTGCCTCTGGCATTACCACTTAAACTCTTGACCCCACATTCTCAGTGCATTAAGTGGCAAGGAAACTGAACTACTTCCTCTGTGTTTGGGTTGATTTTTATCTTATCTTGATAATGAGAGTGATAAATAGATGGTAAATACTACCAGTTATGTTCAAACATTTAAAAATGCAAACACAATTCTGCTCACTGGTGTATGTTTTTCTTCACCAGGAAATTATCTCATTCAAAGCTAGTGCAACTTTATGGAGTCTGTATACAGCGGAAGCCCCTTTACATTGTGACAGAGTTCATGGAAAATGGCTGCCTGCTTAACTATCTCAGGGAGAATAAAGGAAAGCTTAGGAAGGAAATGCTACTGAGTGTATGCCAGGATATATGTGAAGGAATGGAATATCTGGAGAGGAATGGCTATATTCATAGGGATTTGGTAAGTATGGTGCAAATTTACTTTTTTTTTTTGTATCATACCTATATTCAGAAGGATGTGACAATTACTTTCAATACTTTGAATAATGTGTCCTTGATTTAATTTTTAAACATTTACCTATTCATGCAATTTGTTGTAAAATGTAACTTTGTTTTCAATTGTCCATTGATGCTGTAGCTGTAAAGGCCGAATGGGTTCACCTTGCCTGCTGCCTAGACAGAGCCGATTTATCAGGACAGAGGAATTGTGATAGAGAAAGAGTAATTCACACAGAACCGGCTGTGCAGGAGACTGGAGTTTTATTATTACTCATATCAGTCTCCCCGAGCATATGGGGACCAGAGTTTTTAAGGACAACTTGGTGGGTGGGGGGAAGCCAGTAAACCAGGAGAGCTGATTGGTTAGGTAGGAGATGAAACCATTGGAAGTTGAAGCTGTCCTCATGCTGAGTCAGTTCCTGGGTGGGGGCCAGAAGATCAGGTGAGCCAGTTAATCGATCTGGGTGGTGCCAGCTGATCCATCAAGTGCAGGGTCTGCAAAATATCTCAAGCACTGATCTTAGGAGCAGTTTAAGGAGAATCAGAATCTTGTAGCCTCCAGCTGTCTGACTCCTAAACCATAATTTCTAATCTTGTGGCTAATTTGTCTGTCCTACAAAGGAAGTCTAGTCCCCAGGCAAGAGGGAGGTTTGTTTTGGGAAAGGGCTGTTATCATCTTCGTTTTAAACTATAAACTATAAATTCCTCCCAAAGTTAGTTTAGCCTACGCCCAGGAATGAACAAGGACAGCTTGGAGGTTAGAAGCAAGATGGAGTCAGTTAGGTTCTCAGTCATAATTTTGCAAAGGAGATTTCATAGCCAAGTAAGGCTTTACTCTAAATATGCCTTGAACTAATTAACCACCTAACCTATCATGTGACTAAAACTGATTTCCTTTCCTTTCCATTCTCCCTTCTTCCTTCTCTTCCTTCTTCTTTCTTTCCTTCCACCTTTCTCTCTTTCAACCCATAATCAAACATGTATCAAGTGCCTAGTATATGCCAAGCATTCTGCTAAGCACTGGAGATACAACAGTGAAGAACAAGTTCCAGTTTTAGTCTCCACTTTATATAAAGAATGTCACCTAGGGGCATAACTGCTCCTGATGTGGAGGTTGTTTGGTCCTAACAGGATTTCAAGAGCACTACTGGCATTATTGAAGAGACTAGGAATGCTAAATTATTTTTTTCTGTAATGCTCAGAACATTCCTATTTAAATAAATGATTGTCTTGCCCCAAACCATATGCTAAGAGCACTGCTTCCCTGCATTGCTACCTCCCCTTGAGTAACACTTTCTGTTCATTCCACATTTATTCGTGATATTCACACTATTCCCTTGATGTCCTTATGTTCTTCCATGTCTCATTTCTAAATCTAAAAATTAACTCAAATGAGAATTGGAGAAGTCTATGAGAAATCCCTGATATCGCCCCTTGGAAGTAATTCTGTGCTTCCATCACACATGATCAAAGTGATCATATTACTCACTGTTCAGGCTGCAGTATTTTGGGGAGAAAAAGGGAGCATAATTACATTGGCCCCAGCACACCTTGGGAAGTATGCTTATCCCACCCATGGCTTGGAACACTCAGGTCATTTGCTATTTACTGCTTCACCCAATAGTTAATTATTTACGTCATTTACACAAATACTAGAGTCTATCTTATGAGACTTAGAGTCTTTGAGATCAAGGCCTAGATATCTGAGATGCCACGCAGTGATTAAGAACACAGGTTGCAAACAGTCATTCTCAAACTTCAGACTTTGGTGCGCATTACAATTACTTGGAAGCTTTTAGAAAAATCGCAATAGCCAGGCCGTACCCCAGACCAATTAAATCAGAATCTCTGTGGCTGAAACCCAGGCATCAATATTTTTTGAAAATTCCCCTGATGAGCCTCATGTGAAGTTGAGGTTGAGAATAACTGCTCTAGAGCCAGGCTAGCTGGGTTGAAATATTGTCTCCGTTTTTTACTAGCTGTGAGACCTTGGGCAAGCTAGTTAACCAGTAAAATGGTATTAATTATAGCACCTTCCTCATATGGGTTTGTTGGGAGAATTACATGAATTAATAAACAGTGTCTAGCATGTAGAGGAGCTCAGCAGTGCTAACTATTGCTATTACAGAGATAGATCATTAAAAAAAAAATCCCTAAAGTCACATTCCCTCGTATCCAGCACCTAGGAGAAATGAGCAGATTTTTGAGTGGATGAATATGGTGTAAACTCCACCTAGCTCACTTTCCTAGTCTCTGCAGGTTTGTCTTTCCGGATAACAATTGGGTGAAAGTTCCGGTCATTTTATTTGCTCTAAATGGCTTCTCACAGGTCCTCCTATTCCTGTTTTTTTTTTCTTGTTTGCTCATTTTCTTTTGTGTTCTATTTTATCTCCCTATATGCTACTTAAAATATGTCCGTGAACAATGAGTCTTTTCCCTGTCAAAAACTTTTCTTGTGGTTTGGTCATTGCTAGGACTTGCTGGCATCTTCTAAACTGGTTACTTGTGATTTATTATTTCAAGTTTCTTGCTTTTGTTGCTTGACTAATTGAACCACAAATTAGCTGAAAAGAGGAAAATTCTATCAAATAGTTTATCTACCTACATGAGGCTAAATAATCAAATCAATGATTTTCTTGATTAAGTTGCTGAAAATGAATTGCTTTGGCATCAGACATATTGTTTCTACATAGCATTATATTCAGTTCATTGTGATAATTTTAATATGAAATTATCACTGTAAATAGTTATCTTTAGTGAGATATGTTTTAAAATATATTTTCTTAATTTTTATTACGTATTAGAGATCCCAAAGATATAAAATGACTATGCCTTATCTGTTATGTATTTTGGGCTTTCCTATAAAGATGTTAAAAAAAATACACTATTTTTATGCCAAGATTCATAGTTGTATCATCTTTCAGATTGAATTAATCCTGAGGGCAGCCTGGGCATGGTGGCTTATGCCTGTAATCCCAGCACTTTGGGAAGCCAAGGTGGGTGGGTCATTTGAGGCCAGGAGTTCAAGACCAGCGTGGGCAGCATGGCAAAACCCCATCTCTATTAAAAATAGAAAAATTAGCTGGGTGTGGTGATGTGTGCCTGTAGTACCAGCTACTTAAGAGGCTAAGGTGGGAGGATGGTTTGACCCCAGGAGGGGAAGGTTGCAGTGAGCCAACATGGTGCCATTGCACTCCAGCCTGGGCAACAGAGCCAGATCCTGTCTCAAAAAAAAAAGTGAAGGCAAACTATTGAATCTATACCATTGATGGATATCACCATAAAAATGACTTGGCGGTACACACAGAGAGGTAGTGTGGGGTCCAAATAACCTAAGGAAAAGGAGAGGAAAAACTCTTGAAATAAAAGCTTGTATTCAAACTTGGATTCTTTTCTTCTTTCCATAGGCGGCAAGGAATTGTTTGGTCAGTTCAACATGCATAGTAAAAATTTCAGACTTTGGAATGACAAGGTACATGCTATGTATATATATATGTATTTTGTTTGTTTGTTTACTCATAAGAGGGAATCTTACATTTGTTTACTGATAAACTGAAGATGCTGCAGGCTGTGTTTTTATCTTCCTAGGTTGTAGGCCTGGTTGTATGGCCTACTGACCCACTTTGAATTTTGGGACATGTACCAATTTTAGCTGTGAGGTAAATGTTTACTGTGGGCTATTCTTCTCATCTTTTAGCAAAACTATGGTATATCTTAAAATTAAAAAAGGAATTTCTTGATACACTGAGAAACGTGAAGAAAAAAGCATTCCTGATATACATATGTTTATGGAAGAAAAAGAAATAAATTTGTTTGCTCAGCTCTGATTTTTCTGTGTCCTCACCAAACATTTCTATTATTAAGTATAGTAGTTGACTTTAAGTCTAAAATTCAAGAGTGTGAAAAATTTAACCATATTTTTCTACAACTCAATATAGTTTAAATTTTGAGCATCCTTTTTTGGGGTGGTGCTAGAAATATAATCACAGGGAATTTGGGGTTTCTCTCTAGCTTCCCTAAGCTTCAAAGTCCAAGTTCTTGTGTCTCGTGGGGCTATAGTACTGGTAGTGAGGTGGCTTACTGGTCCTTTTGTTATCTGTGTGCATGGCATCATTGCAGCCACCATCCTCCGGTCTTGTCTTTGGCTGGCCATTCAAACAGGTAGCTGCTAACACGTACTGAATTTTTTCTGCAAGATTCATTCAGAACTGGCAATTTTTTTTTTCGACAGAGTCTTACTCTGTCACCCAGGCTGGAGTGCAGTGGTGCTCTCTCGGCTCACTGCAGCCTCGACCTCCCAGGCTCAAGCTATCCTCCTGCCTCAGCCCCCCGAGTAGCTGGAACTACAGGCACATGCCACCACGCCCAGCTAATTTTTTATTTTTGGTAGAGGCGGGGTTTCACCATGTTGGCCAGGCTGGTCTTGAACTCCTGACATCAAATATCCACCCACCTCACCTCCAAAAGTGCTGTGATTACAGGTGTGAGCAGTCTCACCTGGCCGGCGTTCTTTATGATTACAAAACTCCATGGTGTGATCTCAGATCTCATTTACCTAGGCACATCCACAGCCATTTGTTCACTGGCATCTTTCTGCCTTTCCAAGGGCTCCACCTGGGGAAAAGAGCACTGGTTCTGTGTCACTTTTAAATCCCACCAACCTAATGTGGGAGTAGGAGCTTCTTTCCTAAAGTACTTGGGCAGCCCTTTAGGGTACAAGATACAGGACCCTAACCCACTGATCTACTAATGTCTAGTACCCCCCTTTTCTTTCCCTTCTATTTCCCCCATTCCTCTTTTTGGGGGAAAAAGATCCCCCCAAAGCTCAGGGGATCTTTTTCTAGATAGTGGTGGTAATAGGGGTGGTGGTAGTGAGATCTCACTCCTGTTCATGGCCCATTTTCCAAGATATTTTGTTAATAACTCAATCTTTCTTCTCTGAAGAGCCTAGACTTGAAAAATTCAAAATCTATAAACAGTGGCTTTTCTCTCTTTGTTTTCTGTTAGTCATTCTTTACCTAAGTAGAATGACCTCTGACTCAATAAAGTGCTGACAGGTGGAGGGAGGTAGTGTATTTAAAAAAAAAGTGAGAGTATAGGGGCAGCATTAATAAATGCTGTGAAAACACTATATTGTATATTTAAGGGGCAACAAGCACAAGTTTATTTTTGTCTCTTCTCCTCAGTGTCTGACATTTGGACATCCCGGTGTACAATTCTCAAAAAAGAGAGAGGGTTCAACTTGTTATTTTTTTAAGGAGACGGTAGTTATTCTTGGTTTCTTTCCATATAGGGCCATTCTAGTGCATTAGAGATTTGTCATATCAGAAGCATTATGTTCATATACTTTTACTTTCCCCCCTTCTGTATGCCCCACAAAAAAACATGCACATGGAAGAAAATTCGACATCCAACTTTGAATCATTCATTTCCATTTTAAGAAGAGTGGTCTTTGTTTTCCCCACCCCTGGGAAGAGTGGTCTTTTATTTCCTTTTTATAATCTTGGTTGTTAGAGCCTTTAGCAGGCTTCTTTGTAGAGTTAAGAATTTACCATAATTAACATAAACAGTGAGCCATGTTTTGAACTGAAGCAGCATTATGATTTTCAGAGGTCCACGTAAAACAAATACAATTGAGACTTTGTTTGGGGAGGAAACATTATCAGGGACACTTTCACACTCTACTAACAAGAAGGCATCCACAACCTTTCTGGGGTAAAATACTTTGTCTTTTAGCAACTTAGAGTTAACTAAAGGGATTTGAAGTAAATAGAGCTTGGAGGTAATTAACACAATATGCTTTGAATCTGATAAACTTAGGTACGTTTTGGATGATGAGTATGTCAGTTCTTTTGGAGCCAAGTTCCCAATCAAGTGGTCCCCTCCTGAAGTTTTTCTTTTCAATAAGTACAGCAGTAAATCTGATGTCTGGTCATTTGGTGAGTGCATCTGATGTTCACTTGCTGGAGCTTGATTTAATAAAATGGGCAATGTGTTATTTTTAACTTTGATTTCCTAATTGATATAGCATTTTTTAAAAAGTCTTCTTGTAATTGTGCTTCCTTCTGTGTGTTCTAACCACATCCCGACTGTCTTTGGCAACTGGTGTCACATACCTTCTTACATAAGTCTGCCTTTTGGATCTTTTCCTTCCTCCATGGGCACTCACTATAAAACCATAACAAAGAGTCTACTGATCTAGAAAACAAACTCAGATAAGTTTTCCACTCCGCAGAGGCTTGAAGGAAAAATGATCTTATGACATTGTTTAGAGTGTAATTAATAAACTTAATTGTCTAAACTGTGAAGCAGGTTGACTATTTTCCAGTTGTTCAGTTGTTAACCTGAACTTAAAACCTGAGTTTAAAAAATGGTGGCATCTCATTTACTTCCTTAACTTTAAAGTTTGTGGAATTTAGACATAGGCTTCCTTGGGATCTATAAATTGATATTCATATTGGATAATGTTCTTCATTGAGAAAGAGACACCATAGACCCACGTCCAATGAAGTTTCGGGGTTGATTTTCAAAAAATGGTAATAAATATGCAAAAATCTATCTATCCTCTTTCACCCCAAACTTCCTGGAGGCTTGTGGGTTCTGGGTCCTCAGAAGGGTGTCAGTTTTATTGTCTACAATAAGGTTAAAACTGGGCACAGTGGCTCAGGCCTACAATTCCAGCACTTTGGGAGGCTGAAGTGGGAGGATTGTTTGAGACCAGGAGTTCAAGACTAGCCTGGGCAACCTAGCAAGACTCTGTCTTTACAAAAAAAAAAAAAAAATTAGCCAGGTGTGGTGGCATATACCTGTAGTCCCAGTTCCTCGGGAGGCTGAGGCAGGAGGATTGCTTGAGCCCAGGAGTTTGAGGTTATAGTAAGCTAGGATCGTGCCACTGTACTCCAGCCTGGATGACAGAGCAAGACCCTGCCTCAAAAAAATTAAAACATAAATTTAAAAACATACAATAAAGTTAAGCTTGTGTCATTAATCTCATTAGCTCTCCATGGACATATGATAGTCTCAGCAGGTGACACTTGAAGCTCTACTGAAGAGCAATTAGGTTGTGAGACCACATCTTAGAGACCAATGAAGAGCAATATAACGACCTCATCGAAGGTTGCCAAACAATTAGAACTCCCTGAATTTTACCTACTTGTCTCCCTCACTGAACAGTGAGCTCCTTAGGCACATGGATTGATCTCACACTTATAAAATCTCCAGGCCCCAGCAGAGGCCTCGCCTCTCATCAATGTCTAGTAAATATTTGTAGAATAAGTGAATAATTAAATGAACTCAAATTAGGAGTTCTTGCAGGAGTTTCACTAATCAATCAATCAATGATTATTGGACATCTACTTATGTACAGAGCCCCTGCTAGATATTCTGGGGCTCTGCCCATCAGTCTAATCTTTTAGCAGAAAGAAGGGGACACATGCCATTTACTGGCTGAAACTCTTGGCTAAGTAGGCAGCAGAGGCTCACATAATCCTGTCAGTTTCTATGGAATGGCAGAAAGGTTCATTGATTTCAGGATGCAGGAACGTGACTGCTGCTTAGAAATGAAAATGCTAGGCCGGGCGTGATGGCTTACGTTTGTAATTCCAGCACTTTGGGAGGCTGAGGTGGTCGAATCACCTGAGGTCAGAGCTCGAGACCAGCCTGGCCAACATGGTGAAACCCCGCCTCTACTAAAAATAGAAAAATTAGTTGGGCGTGGTGGTGGGCACCTATAATCCCAGCAACTCAGGAGGCTGAAGCAGAAGAATTGCTTGAACCCGGGAGACAGAGGTTGCAGTGAGCTGAGATCATGCCACTGCACTCCAGCCCGGTAGACAGAGGTTGCAGTGAGCTGAGATCATGCCACTGCACTCCAGCCCGGGCGACAGAGCGAGACCCTGTCTCAAAAAAAAAAAAAAAGAAAAGAAAATGCTACTGGCATTTTCTCCTGATAGGAGAGGCAATCAAGACCCATGGACAAGGAAAGGCATTGTTTTCACTTAGATTATTTTCAGGTTACAGGCCTCTTTGAAAACTAAAGTGAACATGATTTGCTTCCTTGACAGAACCGCTGTTATTCAGGATGGTTATAGCCCAAAGCCTGGAGCACAAAAATAATGCCTTGTAGTTTGAAATTGTTCTTTCAGTTCCCAAGCAATCATTTCTCTCTAACCCCTTGTTTTCCTGCATTTTTGTTTGCAGGAGTTTTAATGTGGGAAGTTTTTACAGAAGGAAAAATGCCTTTTGAAAATAAGTCAAATTTGCAAGTCGTGGAAGCTATTTCTGAAGGCTTCAGGCTATATCGCCCTCACCTGGCACCAATGTCCATATATGAAGTCATGTACAGCTGCTGGCATGAGGTAAGCATATGTTACTTTCCTATGAAGGTTGGCAGTCCCAGCATCTGAGAGCAGACCTGATTATCACAAACATTACTTCAGAACTCTGTCATGGCAGGAAAAGGCATCTGTGTCTTGGTCATGATCCTGAGAGTCTGAAGTACTATCTCAAACTCACTACAAAGTCATGAATCCATTTTGTTTTGAACAATGGCCTTTTATCTGAGGAATTCAGTGCATTTTCTGAGTCTTATCTGTTTGAGATTGGTTCTTGCAGAAACTCTTGGTGTTACTCAAGCCTCAGTGATTAGATGTTTTATTAGCTTTAAGAATTAATGGGCCGGGCGCAGTGACTCATGCCTGTAATCTCAGCACTTTGGGAGGCCGAGGCGGGTGGATCACCTGAGGTCAGGAGTTTGAGACCAGCCCAGCCAACGTGGTAAAACCCCATCTCTACTAAAAATACAAAAATTAGCCGGGCGTGGTGGTGCATGCCTGTAATCCCAGCTACTGGGGATGCTGAAGCAGGAGAAGAATCTTGAACCTGGGAGGCGGAGCTTGCAGTGAGCCGAGATGGCGCCACTGCACTCCAGCCTGGGCGACAGAGTGAGACTCCATCTCAAAAAAAAAAAAAAAAAAAAAAAGAATTAAATGATGGAGGCTGTGTGTGGTGGCTCACGCCTGTAACCCCAGCACTTTGGGAGGCCGAGGTGGCCAGATCACTTGAGGTCAGGAGTTTGAGACCAGCCTGGCCAACATGGTGAAACCCTGTCTCTACTAAAAATACAAAAATTAGCCAGGCCTGGTGGTGCATGCCTGTAATTCCAGCTACTTGGGAGGCGGAGATAGGAGAATTGCTCGAACCCAGGAGGCAAAGGCTACAGTGAGCTGAGATTGCGCCACTACACTCCAGCCTGGACAACAGAACAAGACTCTGTCTCAAAAAATAAATAAATAAATAAATAAGCAAATAAATAAAAGAATTAATGGTGGAAACTAAGGGTAGAACCAGGCTTGTTAAATTTCCAGGTTGAAAAAGAAAGATGGTGTTTCCATTTACTTCACTCAACTTTGCTTTGTCTTGCTTTTCCAACGCTAATAGTAATGGGTTTCATCTGTCTTCTGGCAGTCAGGACTCCTGCTACAGATTAAACTAGAATAGGAATGGAGGCAGAAAGTGTGTCAGGAACTTCCACTCAGGAAGAAATCTCTCCAGAACTTAGTTTTTCTATTTGTTGAAATGCCAAGCTTAGAAATAAAGCCAGAGGGGCTTCTTTTCCACCTCTGGGCACTGACTCAACACACCCCTGCCCTTCTCAGTGAAATTCCCTTTGATTTTGAGAGCTTTGGTCTCTTTCCAGCTGACAGTTTCAGCTGGAAATTGCAGCTTGATGAGAAGTTTCCTCCTGGCTGAAAAAATAAAGCACTTGATTATCAATCCACAAACACTAGAATATTGAATATTTTAAGAGTGATGTGGTTATTCATATTCCAAAAGCATTACATTTATAGAGAGCCCCAATGTATGAAAATATTTTACATATATTAACTACTTTACAAGGAATCTTGAAAGACATAGAAAAATGCTCAGCAAGCTGTAAGAAAAAAATGTTCAGAAAAATGTTCAGTGAGTAGTAATAAGCAGCCGTTTTAGGAGCATCTTTGCAATAACAATGTAAGTAGCTCAGAAGTATATGTTGTGTATGAAATAATACACACGTGTGTGTGTAATATAATGCTTATTGAGATGTTATATGTAAGTGGAACTGAGACATAGAAGGAGGAAGGGAAGTGATAAGTAGGATGCTGTCAGAAGGACCATGTAAACAACATTTGTCTCAAATTGCAATCAGAACATTGATTAATACAATGGTGTGGTTATGTCGATTTATTTGTTTGAAAAAGTTGATTTGGCCGGGTGTGGTGGCTCATGCTTGTAATCCCAGCACTTTGGGAGGCTGAGGTGGGCGAATCACGAGGCTGGGAGTTCGAGACCAGCCTGGCTAACATGGTGAAACCCCGTCTCTACTAAAAATACAAAAAAATTAGCTGGGCATGGTGGCGGGCACCTGTAATCCCAGCTACTCAGGAGGCTGAGGCAGGAGAATTGTTTGAACCTGGGAGGCAGAGGTTGCAGTGAGCCAAGATCCCACCATTGCACTCCAGCCTGGGTGACTGGGCCAGACTGTCTCAAAAAAAAAAAAAAAAAAAGAAAAGAAAAGATTGATTTATTTTTGAGACAGAGTCTTGCTCTGTTTCCCAGACTACAGTGCAGTGGCACAATCACATCTCACTGCAGCCTTGACCTCCTGGGCTTACGCAATCCGCCCAGCTCAGCCTCCTGAATAGCTGGGACTACAGTGATGTGCCACCATGACCAGCTAATTTTTTAAAATTTTTTCTAGAGATGGGGTCTCACTTTGTTGCCCAGGCCTCAAGCAGTCCTCCTACCTTGGCCTCCCAAAGTGCTGGGATTACAGATGTGAGTCATTATGTCAGGTGCAAAAGTTGATATTGCCTACAGCTTTACCCCATGTGCTTAGGGCATTAGAGTCAAACGTGATTATGCTATCTTTGAGAGACAAATTTCAGGATTCATGCGCAGAAACAGGCTCCTCACAGAGCTCCACAATTTATGCCCAGAGTCTCAATAAGGACCCTCACTTGCACTTGTGCTGTCTTCTGCTCTGTTTATTTTACTGATGCTCTCTGTTTATAAGCCATGAAGAGGGGTGTCTTTCCGCTGACCCTACTGTCAATGACCCCTGTGAGAATGTGGCTACTATGAGTAGCTCTGTTTCCCATGGTTTTAAAAGATGCTGACAGTGCCATCTCTTCTTCCTCTTGGAATCAGAGCTAAACCACACCCCTAAGTGAAGTAGGAAAAAATGCTCCAATCCTTGGCTCCATGACCAGGGATATGGGGTCACTTATGGTGAATATCTTCCTTTAGAGTTGCTGACTCAAAAACTGTGCAAAGATCACAGGCTTTTAAAACTTTTTAAAATGTAAGAATATTCAGCAATCATTTTTCTATGTGTGAGAGGGACTTCCACACTCTTATTTTTCTGTTGACTGAGACTGAAAGCACAACCTGTGCCCCAAGACCTTCAAAGTCCCTCATGAAAACATGCCTTTTGCTTTCTGACTGAAATCCTCCTTTCTATAATGGCTCAGGTGTCATAGATACCCTGAACTGAGCTTGGGAGCCTGGTATGCTAGATGCCCCTTCTCCCAGCCCTTTCTTTACCTCACACATGTCAAGTCATTCAAATATATCTCTAGGGTCGTGGTGTCCTAGAGTACTTTCTGAGATGCTGAAACGTTCTATATCTGTGCTGCCCAATATGGCAGCCACTTCTGGCTATTGGGTTCTTGAAAAGTGGCTAGCACGACTGAGTAACTGAATTTAAACATTTATATAATCTTAAGGAATTTAAATTTAAATAGCCACATGTGGCTAGTGTTTGCAGGTCTAGCCGTTTTATTTTTGCAACATTCTCTAACATTTTCATATTCACGCCTCACTCAACTGCCAATCATGCTGTGCTATGTCAGTCAGTCAAGATATCTTTCTCTTCCTTTTTGTGAAGAGCCAGCCTGGATTCAGGTCTCTGCCAGCAAGTTCCAGAGCTGGTCTCTGAGTGATCCTTAGCCTATTTATGCCGCAGGTGGCAATTTTTTGAATTTTTGCATGAGTGAAAAATCAGACCTTGGCGATGACCTCGAGCAGTGGGATATAAGTGACTCCCACATGCTTAGCGTTCCAAAAATGGAACCCTTGGCATAAGTTGGTTAAGCTGAGCTAACCACCCCCACTTCCCTTTTCCAGAAACCTGAAGGCCGCCCTACATTTGCCGAGCTGCTGCGGGCTGTCACAGAGATTGCGGAAACCTGGTGACCGGAAACAGAATGCCAACCCAAAGAGTCATCTTGCAAAACTGTCATTTATTGTGAATATCTTCACCATATGGGGTCACTTATGGTGAATATCTTTCTTCAGAGTTGCTGACTCTTGAAAACAGTGCAAAGATCACAGTTTTTAAAAGTTTTAAAAATTTAAGAATATTCACACAATCGTTTTTCTATGTGTGAGAGGGATTTGCACACTCTTATTTTTCTGTAAAATATTTCACATCCCAAATGTGAAGAAGTGAAAAAGACTTCGCAGCAGTCTTCATTGTGGTGCTCTTCATGATCATAGCCCCAGGAACCCTTGAGGTTCTTCTTCACAAGGCTGAGAGTGCTTCCTTCTTGAAGACGAGTGACATTCATCACTTCAGTGATCCATGCATAGAATATGAAAATAAATTCTTCCAACTCATGGGATAAAGGGGACTCCCTTGAAGAATTTCATGTTTTTGGGCTGTATAGCTCTTTACAGAAAATGCACCTTTATAAATCACATGAATGTTAGTATTCTGGAAATGTCTTTTGTTAATATAATCTTCCCATGTTATTTAACAAATTGTTTTTGCACATATCTGATTATATTGAAAGCAGTTTTTTGCATTCGAGTTTTAAACACTGTTATAAAATGTAGCCAAAGCTCACCTTTGAACAGATCCCGGTGACATTCTATTTCCAGGAAAATCCGGAACCTGATTTTAGTTCTGTGATTTTACACTTTTTACATGTGAGATTGGACAGTTTCAGAGGCCTTATTTTGTCATACTAAGTGTCTCCTGTAATTTTCAGGAAGATGATTTGTTCTTTCCAGAAGAGGAGACAAAAGCAAGATAGCCAAATGTGACATCAAGCTCCATTGTTTCGGAAATCCAGGATTTTGAATTCGAGATGAAACAACCAGCAATCACAGTTAAATCTTAACTTTGCCTGCACTCTTTGTAGGAATGATCAGAAATTTATCTTTATCATTCTGAGTGCTTCAGGAGTACAATAGGAAGAAAGATACTGGAGAAAGCACTAATGTAATCACCATGAAGTCTGACAACAGGAGCCCATTATTTGCGTACTGTCCCACCCTGTATCATGGTTCTCTGGGAACAAGCTTTATGATTCTCATTAGAGTTTATTTGTTGATTGTCAGTAGTTGCGACTTTTAAATTATATTTCCCCCACTCAAAGAATGGTATCTTTATATATCAATGACATTCAATAAATGTGTATTATTTCTAATGAGAATCAGTTACAAGAGGAGACTTGATAGTTCAAGTAGTGGTCTCAGAAATGTTTGGGCTGAATGTGGTGGCTCATGCCTATAATCCCAGCACTTTGGGAGGCCAAGGTGGGAAGATAACTTGAGCCCAGTTTGAGACCAGCCTGGGCAACAAAGTGAGATCCTATCTCTATTACAAGAAAAAAGAAAAAAGAAAAAAAAAGCTAGGTGTAGTGGTGCATGCATGCACGTAGTCCCAGCTACTTGGGAGGCTGAGACAGGAGCCCAGGAGATCAAGGCTGCAGTGAGCCATGATTGTGCCACTGCACTCCAGCCTGGGTGATAGAGCGAGACCCTGTCTCAAAAACAGAAACAAGTTTGTATGAGATGCTAGGCTGTTTCTGAGACTATCACACCCCCTTTCCTATGACTCCTGTTACGGTGAGGAAAGACAGAAGGCTGTTATTACTGAGACCTCAATTCACATAACATGAATTTACATAAGATAGTCTAGCTCAAGAAGACATGAGACTACTAAACAGCAAAAGCAGATGGAAGGGAGGTTAATATTATGACATAGGAAATAATGTAGTATCAATATATGGCTGCAGTAAGTTGCCCTTTCCAGGTTTTACTCAGCTTGGAAGTCCCCATTTCTCTCAAAAAGAAAGAAAGAAAAAACCCAGCAAAGCCAAACACTGAAAAGCTAGGACTGAGTATGGAGCATCTGCCATCACTATAGTTGTACCAGGTACAGAGCAAAGAGTGACACCCAGAGGCAAATCATTCTAAGAGGGCAACAACTATGACAGTGCCTGGCACTTCTAAGAGGGTGCAGCACTTCTAAGGTGCTAGGCAAGCTCTATTCCTTTTGTTTTAACACCTCGGGAAAATTTGAGGTACCAAATTAGGTACAAGAATAACTGGGGGTATGTCCTAGGTAACTAAGAGTCCAGATAATGTGTGAATTTTGAATGTGCGTGGAAAGAGATTTACCATTCTTTGTCTAACTAAACAAAAAAGTTTCCTTAAGAGGTAGTCAGCCAGGCACAATGGCTCATGCCTGTAATCCAGCACTTTGGGAGGCCGAGGCGGGTGGATCATCTGAGGTCAGGAGTTAGAGATCAGCCTGGCCAACATGGTGAAACCCTGTCTCTACTAAAAATACGAAAAGTTAGCCAGGCGTGGTGGCACGTGCCTGTAATCCCAGCTACTCGGGAGGCTGAGGCAGGAGAATTGCTTGAACCCAGGAGGTGGAAGTTGCGGTGAGCTGAGACTGTGCTACTGCCCTCTATCCTGGGTGACAGAGTGAGACTCTGTCAAAAAAAAAAGAGATAGTTATACAAGTTCTCCTGGAAAGGAACTATGTTTTGCAACCAATCTTAATATTAGTTATTGATATGAGGGTTCTCTGGGTCATTTGAGGTGAGATAGTGCAATATTTAAACAGCTCTGCATAAAAAAATGAATAGGAGGTTTAGGGGTCAATTGTAGAGTCCTAAAAAGGAGAATATAGGAGGTCAACAGACAGCGAGGAGGCTCAGAAAAATGGAAGGAATTTGGAGGCCAAGCGGAATATATAATCAGTGAAAATAACCTTTTGGCAAGAATAGATAAAGGAATTTAGTAAACTTTTTATTGAAGTGCAATACATGGTACCACCATGGTATTGGGAACATGTTTGGACTGGCAAGCAAACTGATGAGATACAATAGCATTTAGCCTAGCACTAAATTTGCTTAGCTTTATAGTAGGATACAGGACAGGAAATTAAGCATGCATGATGCTTGGGTCCCTCCTCACCTGCCTAAAGAGCGTGCATGAGCTTGTGGTATTTGGATGAGGTTGTGGTATGTGGGGGTTTGCCTTGATGCAAAGAAGCTTCTATGTGGGTTTCCCACCAGTCATATAGGCCTACGGTTCACAGGTCTCCCAGCCCCATGTACTGTCCCATAGATTGTAGGTTTCACAGTGCACAAAATGGATGTCTGTCCCTGGTACCCAATATTCCAAATTTATCTTAATTTGGGTCATTTACAAGAAACTCGTGCTGGGATAAGACAAACCTAAAATTTCCCAAGCAGGCATAGTTCTGGGAGAAAAATGGTACAGACCTGCTATTAACTCTTTGCTCACACATACATAAAGAAAAGTACACAAATCATGAGTATGTAACATCATTGATATTGGCAAAGTGAATACATCTCTGTAACCAGACTCAGATCAAGAAATGATACATTCTGGCCAGGTGTGGTGGCTCATGCCTGTAATCTCAGCACTTTGGCAGGCCAAGGTGGGTGGATCACTTGAGGCCAGGAGTTCGAGACCAGTGTGGCCAACATGGTGAAACCCCACCTCTACTAAACACACATACACACCCACAAATTAGCCAGGTGCAGTGGTACATTCGTGTAATCCCAGCTACTTGGGAGGCTGAGGTGCACAAGTGAGAATCGCTTGAGCCTGGGAGGCAGATGTTGCAGTGAGCCAAGATGGTGCCACTATACTCCAGCCTGGGCAACAGAGTGAAACTCTGTCAAAAAAAGAAAAAGAAAAAGAAAAAGAAAAAGAAAAGAAAAGAAAGAAAGAAAACATTCTAGAATTCCAGAAGCCATTCTCATTCCCTATTTAAGTCACTAACCCAAGAGTAATTAATATCCTGAGTTCCAACACCTTGGATTTGTATGGGTTATTTTTAAACCTTCTATAAATGGAATTTTATGATATGTTTGTTTGATCCACCTATGTTGTATGTAGTTGTATTTCATTTATTCCCATTTCTGCATTGTCTTGAATTGTACAACTATTTTACATATTTATCTATTCTAATTTCAATGGATATTTGAGTTGTTTCCAATTTTTAACTATTTTTTAAAATTATACTCTAAGTTCAATAAACATACATGTGCATGTGTCTTTATAGTAGAATGATTTATAATCCTTTGGGTATATACCCAGTATATACCCAAGTAATGGGATTGTTGGGTCAAATGGTATTTCTGATTCTAGATCCTTGAGGAATCACCACACTGTCTTCCACAATGGTTGAACTAATTTACACTCCCACCAACAGTGTAAAAGCATTTCTATTTCTCCACATCATCTCCAGCATCTGTTGTTTCCTGACTTTTTAATGATTGCCATTCTAACTGGTGTGTGATGGTATCTCATTGTGGTTTTGATTTGCATTTCTCTAAAGACCAGTGATGATGAGCTTTCTTTCATATGTTTGTTGGCCAAATAAATATCTTCTTTTGAAAAGTGTCTGTTCATATCCTTGGCCTATTTTTTGATGGGGTTGTTTTTTTCTTATAAATTTATTTACATTTCTTGTAGATTCTGGATATTAGCCGTCACATGGATAGATGGCAAAAATATTCTCCCATTCTGTAGGTTGCCTGTTCACTCTGATGATAGTTTCTTTTGCTGTGCAGAAGCTCTTTAGTTTAATTAGATACCATTTGTCAATTTTGGCTTTTGTTGTCATTGCTTTTGGTGTTTTAGTTATGAAGTCTTTGCTCATGCCTGTGTCCTGAATAATACTGTCTAGATTTTCTTCTAGGATTTTTATGGTTTTAGACCTTACATTTAAATCTTTAATCCATCTTGAGTTAATTTTTGTATAAGGTGTAAGGAAGGGGTCCAGTTTCAGTTTTCTGCATATGGCTAGTCAGTTTTCCCAGCACCATTTATTAAATAGGGAATCCTTTCCCCATTGCTTGTTTTTGTCAGGTTTGTCAAAGGTCAGATGGTTGTAGATGTGTGGTGTTATTTCTGAGGCCTCTATTGTGTTCCATTGGTCTATATATCTGTTTTGGTACCAGTACCATGCTGTTTTGGATACTGTAGCCTTGTAGTATAGTTTGAAGTCAGGTAGTGTGATGCCTCCAGCTTTGTTCTTTTTGCTTTAAATTGTCTTGGCTATATGGGTGCTTTTTTGATTCCATGTGAAATTTAAATTAGTTTTTTCTAATTCTGTGAAGGAAGTAAATGGTGTCTTGATGGGAATAGCATTGAATCTATAAATTACTTTGGGTGGTATGGTCATTTTCACGATATTGATTCTTCCTATCCATGAGTGTGGAATGTTTTTCCATTTGTTTGTGTCCTTTCTTACTTCCTTGAGCAGTGGTTTGTAGTTCTCCTTGAAAGGGTCCTTCACATCCCTTGTAACTTCTATTCCTAGGTATTTTATTCTCTTTATAGCAATTGTGAATGGGAGTTAGCTCACGATTTGGCTCTCTTTTATTGGTGTGTAGGAATGCTTGTGATTTTTGCACATTGATTTCGTATTCTGAGACTTTGCTAAAGTTGCTTATCAGCTTAAGGAGTTTTTGGGCTAGGATGATGGGGTTTTCTAAATATGCAATCATGTCATCTGCAAACAGAGGTAATTTGACTTCCTCTCTTCCTATTCGAATATCCTTTATTTCTTTCTCTTTCCTGATTGCCCTGGCCAGGACTTCCAATACTACTATATTGAATAGGAGTGGTGAGAGAGGGCATCCTTGTCTTGTGCCGGTTTTCAAAGGGAATGCTTCCAGCTTTTACCCATTCAGTATTATACTGGCTGTGGGTTTGTCATAAATAGCTCTTAATATTTTGAGATATATTCCATCAATACTTAGTTTATTGAGTGTTTTTATCATGAAGGGGTGTTGAATTTTGTTGAAGGCCTTTTCTGCATCTATTGAGATAATTATGTGGTTTTCGTCATTGGTTCTGTTTATGTGATGGATTAAGTTTATTGGTTTGTGTGTGTTAAACCAGTCTTGCATCCCAGGGATGAAGCTGACTTGGTCGTGGTGGATAAGCTTTTTAATGTGCTGCTGGATTCAGTTAGCCAGTATTTTATTGAGAATTTTCGCATCGAAGTTCATCAGAGATATTGGCCTGAAATTTTCTTTTTTTTGTTGTGTCTGTGCCAGGTTTTGGTATCAGGATGATGCTGGCCTCATAAAATGAGTTAGTGGGGAGTCCCTCTTTTTCTATTATTTGGAATCGTTTTGGAAGGAATGGTACCAGCTGCTCTTTGTACCTGTGGTAGAATTTGGCTGTGAATCTGTCTGGTCCTGGGCTTTTTTTGGTTGGTAGGCTATTAATTACTGCCTCAATTTCAGAACTTGTTATTAGTCTATTCAGAGATTCTACTTCTTCCTGGTTTAGTCTTGGGAGGGTGTATGTGTCCAGGAATTCATCCATTTCTTCTAGATTTTCTAGTTTATTTGCATAGTGGTGTTTGTAGTATTTATTCTCTGATGGTGGTTTGTATTTCTGTGGCATCAGTGGTGATATCTGCTTTATCATTTTTTTATTGTGTCTGTTTGATTCTTCTCTCTTCTTTATTAGTGGTCCATCTATTTTGTTAATCTTTTCAAAAAAAACAGCTCCTGAGTTCACTGATTTTTTTGAAGGGTTTTTCATGTCTCTATCTCCTTCAGTTCTGCTCTGATCTTAGTTATTTCTTGTTTTCTGCTACCTTTTGAATTTGTTTGCTGTTGCTTCTGTAGTTCTTTTAATTGTGATGTTAGGGTGTCAATTTTAGAACTTTCCCACTTTCTTCTGTGGGCATTTAGTGCTATAAATTTCCCTCTAAACACTGCTTTAGCTGCGTCCCGGAGATTCTGGTATATTGTGTCTTTGTTCTCATTGGTTTCAAAGAACTTATTTATTTCTGCCTTAATTTTGCTATTTACCCAGTAGTCTTTCAGGAGCAGGTTGTTCAGTTTCCATGTAGTTGTGCAGTTTTGAGTGAGTTTCTTAATCCTGAGTTCTAATTTGATTGCACTGTGGTCTGAGAGACAGTTTGTTGTGATTTCTGTTCTTCTGCATTTGCTGAGGAGTGTTTTACTTCCAATTATGTGGTCAATTTTGGAATAGGTGTGATGTGATGCTGAGAAGAGTGTATATTCTGTTGATTTGGGGTGGAGAGTTCTGTAGATGTCTATTAGGTCCACTTGGTCCAGAGCTGAGTTCAAGTTCTGAATATCCTTGTTAATTTTCTGTCTCATTGATCTGTCTAATGTTGGCAGTGGGGTGTTAAAGTCTCCCACTGTTATTGTGTGGGAGTGTAGGTCTC
The DNA here is from genome assembly GCF_000001405.40 of Homo sapiens. Lineage (NCBI taxonomy): Eukaryota > Metazoa > Chordata > Mammalia > Primates > Hominidae > Homo > Homo sapiens. Next base: position 48,060,339 of record NC_000004.12, on the reverse strand, counting down.
TTTGTAGGTCTCTAAGAACTTGCTTTATGAATCTGGGTGCTCCTGTATTGGGTGCATATATATTTAGGATATATATTATATATATATATGTATGTATGTATGTGTATATATATATGTATAATCACCGAGAAGTTAGCTCTTCTTATTGCATTGATCCCTTTACCATTATGTAATGCCCTTCTTTGTCTTTTTTGATCTTTGTTGGTTTAAAGTCTGTTTTATCAGAGACTAGGATTACAACCCCTGCTTTTTTTGCTTTCCATTTGCTTGGTAAATCTTCCTCCATCCTTCCTCCATCCCTTTATTTTGAGCCTATATGTGTCTTTGCACATGAGATGGGTCTCCTGAATATAGCACACCATGGGTCTTGACTCTTTATCCAGTTTTCCACTCTGTGCCTTTTAATTGGGGCGTTTAGCCTGTTTACATTTAAGGTTAATATTGTTTTTTATGAATTTGATCCTGTCCTTTTGATGCTAGCTGGTTATTTTGCCCATTAGTTGGTGCAGTTTCTTCATAGTGCCCCGTGAGTTCTATTGTTCTTTCCCTTTCAGGATGAGCTGCTGCTGGTCCTCTGCTTCTGTCGGGCATAGAGATCCCCCTCACAGGAGTCCTCCCTGCTGATCATGGGCTCAGTCCCCAGGTCCTAGCCACTGCTCTCTAGAAAGCCATATCCCTTAGTGCTCAGCCTCTCACACATTCCGGGACCACTTTCCCATTCTCGGTGCTGTGGAGCTTGGGCCTTGACTCTTGAAACAAAATTATTTTGACACTTGTTAAAATGATATGGGAGACTTTATTTGAGAGTATTTCAAATAGTAGAGAGAGACTGAACTCAGCTCTGACTACAGCAAAGACAGCTGGGGACAGTAGATATGAAATAGTAGAGGGATTTTTGCTAAACTGGCTTAACAAGATTCTAACTAAAGGCAGGTCAAGGACTAAGATATTAAGATATCAAGGATGAGGAATTTGATCAGATAACAAGGGCTGGGGACTTCTTGCTAAACTGAGTTAGCAGGATTCTTGCTAAAGCCAGGCCAAGGATGGACCTAAGATAAGGCCTAGATAAGAAGAGGGCTCGTAGAAACGTTAACTAAAATTTGATCAAGAGGGGAATCTGTTACCATCCCTCATATTAGCTGCCAGTCTCAGGAAAGCCAGCCTCTCGCCTCCAGATCAGCACATTTCTGTTTCATCTTTAAGCACCACCCTCAACCCACTCTGGATGTCACAAAATGATATCCAGATTGTCTTCACTGGATCTAAGTCTCAAACACTATTTTCATTCTGGGGAACTTAGGTGTTATAAGAAGCACAAACCTTGTGAATCACAATCCTGCCTTTTTTTCCTGGCATGAGAGTGGGGAAGGAGAGGCTTTATTACTTACTTTTTGATGAACTTCCAAACTTTCAAAACCAAATGAAATGTCTTTTTATCAGTGAGTTGCTTTTCTCTTAAAAACATACGCAGTTCCTTTACCCATATTGTACTTGTGCTCTTTCCTGTGTCTGCCTTGAATTGTGTTACCATGGGAACAACTTGTAGACACTAGCAACACTGAGGGTGCAAGTAGGGGCAATATGCTTTTCAGGTTTCCTAACGACAGGGTGTGTGGTATGTGCAAGGTCAGTTTCTCAGCTCTCTTTGGAGAATCTTCTTCATTCAGACTCTAGTTTCTCCAGATCCAAGTGTTCTTGGATCTCAGCACAGTTCACATTTTGGGCTGGATAATTGTTTGTTGTAGGAGGACGTGCTGTGTGTTGGAGGATATTTAGTAGCATCTTTGGCCTTTACCCATTAGATGCCAATACCCCTCCCCCAGGAGAAACAACCAAAAATGTCTCTAGAACATTGCCAAATGTCCCCTGGGGGATGAGAACCACTGATTTCATTACCAAAGGATCTTGCCCTGGGTTTAAGGAGGTCCATGGACTTGGATGGAGAAAAAATTACATCTTTATTTTTATTAATCTCTAAGCTTTAGCATTTCCCATAATTCTAAATGTGAATTCATATTTAGAATTCTAAATGTGAATTTACATTTAGAATTATGGGAAAAAACAAAACTCTAGTACTTTCTATAAGCAGTTTCTGTGACTGTCAAAATATGAAAAACTATTATTTTCATATCATGGGAGATTTTTCAACTTTCTCAATTTACATTCATCACTACTTCAAAGTTGCGATAGTTTTTAGAACTGTCACTAGATCTTGTCATTTAACACAATAAAAAAGACATATTATGAAAACACATTTGTTTTTTAAATATTTTGATAACTTTATGTCAATATAATTGGTTTCCTATTTAGTTCTATGTAATTCTATTTTATGCATTTAAAAACATTATTCCAGGGAGGAGCCAAGATGGCCGAATAGGAACAGCTCCGGTCTACAGCTCCCAGCGTGAGCGACGCAGAAGACGGGTGATTTCTGCATTTCCATCTGAGGTACCGGGTTCATCTCACTAGGGAGTGCCAGACAGTGGGCGCAGGCCAGTGTGTGCGTGCACCGTGCGCGAGCCGAAGCAGGGCAAGGCATTGCCTCACCTGGGAAGCGCAAGGGGTCAGGGAGTTCCCTTTCCGAGTCAAAGAAAGGGGTGACAGACGCACCTGGAAAATCGGGTCACTCCCACCCGAATATTGCGCTTTTCAGACCGGCTTAAAAAACGGCGCACCACGAGACTATATCCCACACCTGGCTCAGAGGGTCCTACGCCCACGGAATCTCACTGATTGCTAGCACAGCAGTCTGAGATCAAACTGCAAGGCGGCAACGAGGCTGGGGGAGGGGCGCCCACCATTGCCCAGGCTTGCTTAGGTAAACAAAGCAGCTGGGAAGCTCGAACTGGGTGGAGCCCACCACAGCTCAAGGAGGCCTGCCTGCCTCTGTAGGCTCCACCTCTGGGGGCAGGGCACAGACAAACAAAAAGACAGCAGTAACCTCTGCAGACTTAAGTGTCCCTGTCTGACAGCTTTGAAGAGAGCAGTGGTTCTCCCAGCACGCAGCTGGAGATCTGAGAACGGGCAGACTGCCTCCTCAAGTGGGTCCCTGACCCCTGACCCCCGAGCAGCCTAACTGGGAGGCACCCCCCAGCAGGGGCACACTGACACCTCACACGGCAGGGTATTCCAACAGACCTGCAGCTGAGGGTCCTGTCTGTTAGAAGGAAAACTAACAACCAGAAAGGACATCTACACCGAAAACCCATCTGTACATCACCATCATCAAAGACCAAAAGTAGATAAAACCACAAAGATGGGGAAAAAACAGAACAGAAAAACTGGAAACTCTAAAACGCAGAGCACCTCTCCTCCTCCAAAGGAACGCAGTTCCTCACCAGCAATGGAACAAAGCTGGATGGAGAATGATTTTGACGAGCTGAGAGAAGAAGGCTTCAGACGATCAAATTACTCTGAGCTATGGAAGGACATTCAAACCAAAGGCAAAGAAGTTGAAAACTTTGAAAAAATTTAGAAGAATGTATAACTAGAATAACCAATACAGAGAAGTGCTTAAAGGAGCTGATGGAGCTGAAAACCCAAGGCTCGAGAACCACGTGAAGAATGCAGAAGCCTCAGGAGCCGATGCGATCAACTGGAAGAAAGGGTATCAGCAATGGAAGATGAAATGAATGAAATGAAGCGAGAAGGGAAGTTTAGAGAAAAAAGAATAAAAAGAAATGAGCAAAGCCTCCAAGAAATATGGGACTATGTGAAAAGACCAAATCTACGTCTGATTGGTGTACCTGAAAGTGATGTGGAGAAGGGAACCAAGTTGGAAAACACTCTGCAGGATATTATCCAGGAGAACTTCCCCAATCTAGCAAGGCAGGCCAACGTTCAGATTCAGGAAATACAGAGAACGCCACAAAGATACTCCTCGAGAAGAGCAACTCCAAGACACATAATTGTCAGATTCAACAAAGTTGAAATGAAGGAAAAAATGTTAAGGGCAGCCAGAGAGAAAGATCGGGTTACCCTCAAAGGAAAGCCCATCAGACTAACAGCGGATCTCTCGGCAGAAACCCTACAAGCCAGAAGAGAGTGGGGGCCAATATTCAACATTCTTAAAGAAAAGAATTTTCAACCCAGAATTTCATATCCAGCCAAACTAAGCTTCATAAGTGAAGGAGAAATAAAATACTTTATAGACAAGCAAATGCTGAGAGATTTTGTCACCACCAGGCCTGCCCTAAAAGAGCTCCTGAAGGAAGCGCTAAACATGGAAAGGAACAACCGGTACCAGCCGCTGCAAAATCATGCCAAAATGTAAAGACCATCGAGACTAGGAAGAAACTGCATCAACTAACAAGCAAAATCACCAGCTAACATCATAATGACAGGATCAAATTCACACATAACAATATTAACTTTAAATATAAATGGACTAAATTCTGCAATTAAAAGACACAGACTGGCAAGTTGGATAAAGAGTCAAGACCCATCAGTGTGCTGTATTCAGGAAACCCATCTCACGTGCAGAGACACACATAGGCTCAAAATAAAAGGATGGAGGAAGATTTACCAAGCCAATGGAAAACAAAAAAAGGCAGGGGTTGCAATCCTAGTCTCTGATAAAACAGACTTTAAACCAACAAAGATCAAAAGAGACAAAGAAGGCCATTACATAATGGTAAAGGGATCAATTCAACAAGAGGAGCTAACTATCCTAAATATTTATGCACCCAATACAGGAGCACCCAGATTCATAAAGCAAGTCCTGAGTGACCTACAAAGAGACTTAGACTCCCACACATTAATAATGGGAGACTTTAACACCCCACTGTCAACATTAGACAGATCAACGAGACAGAAAGTTAACAAGGATACCCAGGAATTGAACTCAGCTCTGCACCAAGCGGACCTAATAGACATCTACAGAACTCTCCACCCCAAATCAACAGAATATACATTTTTTTCAGCACCACACCACACCTATTCCAAAATTGACCACATAGTTGGAAGTAAAGCTCTCCTCAGCAAATGTAAAAGAACAGAAATTATAACAAACTATCTCTCAGACCACAGTGCAATCAAACTAGAACTCAGGATTAAGAATCTCACTCAAAGCCGCTCAACTACATGGAAACTGAACAACCTGCTCCTGAATGACTACTGGGTACATAACGAAATGAAGGCAGAAATAAAGATGTTCTTTGAAACCAACGAGAGCAAAGACACCACATACCAGAATCTCTGGGACGCATTCAAAGCAGTGTGTAGAGGGAAATTTATAGCTCTAAATGCCTACAAGAGAAAGCAGGAAAGATCCAAAATTGACACCCTAACATCACAATTAAAAGAACTAGAAAAGCAAGAGCAAACACATTCAAAAGCTAGCAGAAGGCAAGAAATAACTAAAATCAGAACAGAACTGAAGGAAATAGAGACACAAAAAACCCTTCAAAAAATCAATGAATCCAGGAGCTGGTTTTTTGAAAGGATCAACAAAATTGATAGACCGCTAGCAAGACTAATAAAGAAAAAAAGAGAGAAGAATCAAATAGACACAATAAAAAATGATAAAGGGGATATCACCACCGATCCCACAGAAATACAAACTACCATCAGAGAATACTACAAACACCTCTATGCAAATAAACTAGAAAATCTAGAAGAAATGGATACATTCCTCGACACATACACTCTCCCAAGACTAAACCAGGAAGAAGTTGAATCTCTGAATAGACCAATAACAGGATCTGAAATTGTGGCAATAATCAATAGTTTACCAACCAAAAAGAGTCCAGGACCAGATGGATTCACAGCCGAATTCTACCAGAGGTGCAAGGAGGAACTGGTACCATTCCTTCTGAAACTATTCCAATCAGTAGAAAAAGAGGGAATCCTCCCTAACTGATTTTATGAGGCCAGCATCATTCTGATACCAAAGCCGGGCAGAGACACAACCAAAAAAGAGAATTTTAGACCAATATCCTTGATGAACATTGATGCAAAAATCCTCAATAAAATACTGGCAAACCAAATCCAGCAGCACATCAAAAAGCTTATCCACCATGATCAAGTGGGCTTCATCCCTGGGATGCAAGGCTGGTTCAATATACGCAAATCAATAAATGTAATCCAGCATATAAACAGAGCCAAAGACAAAAACCACATGATTATCTCAATAGATGCAGAAAAAGCCTTTGACAAAATTCAACAACCCTTCATGCTAAAAACTCTCAATAAATTAGGTATTGATGGGACGTATTTCAAAATAATAAGAGCTATCTATGACAAACCCACAGCCAATATCATACTGAATGGGCAAAAACTGGAAGCATTCCCTTTGAAAACTGGCACAAGACAGGGATGCCCTCTCTCACCGCTCCTATTCAACATAGTGTTGGAAGTTCTGGCCAGGGCAATCAGGCAGGAGAAGGAAATAAAGGGTATTCAATTAGGAAAAGAGGAAGTCAAATTGTCCCTGTTTGCAGACGACATGATTGTTTATCTAGAAAACCCCATCGTCTCAGCCCAAAATCTCCTTAAGCTGATAAGCAACTTCAGCAAAGTCTCAGGATACAAAATCAATGTACAAAAATCACAAGCATTCTTATACACCAACAACAGACAAACAGAGAGCCAAATCATGAGTGAACTCCCATTCACAATTGCTTCAAAGAGAATAAAATACCTAGGAATCCAACTTACAAGGGATGTGAAGGACCTCTTCAAGGAGAACTACAAACCACTGCTCAAGGAAATAAAAGAGGACACAAACAAATGGAAGAACATTCCATGCTCATGGGTAGGAAGAATCAATATCGTGAAAATGGCCATACTGCCCAAGGTAATTTACAGATTCAATGCCATCCCCATCAAGCTACCAATGACTTTCTTCACAGAATTGGAAAAAACTACTTTAAAGTTCATATGGAACCAAAAAAGAGCCCGCATCGCCAAGTCAATCCTAAGCCAAAAGAACAAAGCTGGAGGCATCACACTACCTGACTTCAAACTATACTACAAGGCTACAGTAACCAAAACAGCATGGTACTGGTACCAAAACAGAGATATAGATCAATGGAACAGAACAGAGCCCTCAGAAATAATGCCACATATCTACAACTATCTGATCTTTGACAAACCTGAGAAAAACAAGCAATGGGGAAAGGATTCCCTATTTAATAAATGGTGCTGGGAAAACTGGCTAGCCATATGTAGAAAGCTGAAACTGGATCCCTTCCTTACACCTTATACAAAAATCAATTCAAGATGGATTAAAGATTTAAACGTTAGACCTAAAACCATAAAAACCCTAGAAGAAAACCTAGGCATTACCATTCAGGACATAGGCGTGGGCAAGGACTTCATGTCCAAAACACCAAAAGCAATGGCAACAAAAGCCAAAATTGACAAATGGGATCTAATTAAACTAAAGAGCTTCTGCACAGCAAAAGAAACTACCATCAGAGTGAACGGGCAACCTACAACATGGGAGAAAATTTTCTCAACCTACTCATCTGACAAAGGGCTAATATCCAGAATCTACAATGAACTCAAACAAATTTACAAGAAAAAAACAAACAACCCCATCAAAAAGTGGGCAAAGGACATGAACAGACACTTCTCAAAAGAAGACATTTATGCAGCCAACAGACACATGAAGAAATGCTCATCATCACTGGCCATCAGAGAAATGCAAATCAAAACCACTATGAGATATCATCTCACACCAGTTAGAATGGCAATCATTAAAAAGTCAGGAAACAACAGGTGCTGGAGAGGATGTGGAGAAATAGGAACACTTTTACACTGTTGGTGGGACTGTAAACTAGTTCAACCATTGTGGAAGTCAGTGTGGCGATTCCTCAGGGATCTAGAACTAGAAATACCATTTGACCCAGCCATCCCATTACTGGGTATATACCCAAATGACTATAAATCATGCTGCTATAAAGACACATGCACACGTATGTTTATTGCGGCATTATTCACAATAGCAAAGACTTGGAACCAACCCAAATGTCCAACAATGATAGACTGGATTAAGAAAATGTGGCACATATACACCATGGAATACTATGCAGCCATAAAAAATGATGAGTTCATGTCCTTTGTAGGGACATGGATGAGATTGGAAACCATCATTCTCAGTAAACTATCGCAAGAACAAAAAACCAAACACCGCATATTCTCACTCATAGGTGGGAATTGAACAATGAGATCACATGGACACAGGAAGGGGAATATCACACTCTGGGGATTGTGGTGGGGTCGGGGGAGGGGGGAGAGATAGCATTGGGAGATATACCTAATGCTAGATGACACGTTAGTGGGTACAGCGCACCAGCATGGCACATGTATACATATGTAACTAACCTGCACAATGTACACATGTACCCTAAAACTTAAAGTATAATAATAAAAAAAAAACATTATTCCAGCTAGGCATGGTGGTACACGTCTGTAGTCCCAGCTATTCAGGAGGCTGAGATAGGAGGATCACTTGTGCCCAGAAGGTCAAGGCTGCAGTGAACTGTTTGTGCCATAGCACTCCAGCTGGGGCAACAGAGCAATAACCTGTCTCAAAAAAAGGAAAAAAAACAGAAAAATTATTCCAAGAAGGAGTATAAAGCCTTCCCTAGACTTCTAAAGAGATCTGTAGCATAAAAAAAGATTCAAAACTCTTCTGTATCCAGTAGGATTTCTGAATCTGGAGGGATATATGCTGGGCCACACACAACCAATCAGCCACTTACTGTTGGCTACAAAGCGACCCATGAGGATTTAATTTTGGCCAGTCCAGCAAGCTGATTCCCTGATGTGCATATCCAGCCAAGCCTTTTTCACCCCACATATTGTCGGGACTGGTGCTTGGTTCTGGTTTGCATGTCCCCTTTACTACTGGCCTTGAACCCTCTATGGTGGGATCCAAGACGTGATGAGTGAAGAGCCTCAACTGCCCCCATGTTTGGCAGCAGAGAGAGAGAAGCTGTCTCCAACCACCCCCTCCAATTGGCCTGGGGTTCATCTTCAGATGGGCACTTGAGCCTCTCTTTTCCTCTGGAGCCACACCCCAGCTAGTTGAAGGGAGACAAAGTGGGTGAATCATACCTCTCTGGAGGCAGGGTAGCTCCATGCCACTTTCAAAACAAGACAAAACAAAATCCAATTTGAACTGGCATTTTTGGTTATTACTACCAGGCAGGGTGTGCTACTGGCATCTAGTGAGTAGAGACCAGTGATGTTGCTAAACATCCTACAAAGAGCACATACCCCCACAACAAAGAATTATCCAGCTCAAAATGTTAACAGTTCTAAGGCTAAAAGGGGTATCATTAGACCCTGTGACTGTGAAGTCCAGGGGTACAGACATTCACCCTGTTATCATCCTTCCAGCTCCATTTCTCATGTCTCAGGCTGCCTCCTCTTCCACCCCTCCCAGATGAAAAGTGGATGTTGTGGTCACATACCTTAACTTGACATACTATACTATCCAGAGGGAGAGAACGTCTCTATCCCAGCATTTCCACCAGAGTCCTGAGGTTCTCTCTGACTGGATCAGATCCACACGCCCTCCAGGAACAAATCTCTGTAGCTAGGGATATGGAATGCTTTGACTGGTTTGGACTTGGGCACATGTTTCCTCAAGAGCCACAGCTGAAATCCATTTACCTTGAAAATAGAAAATGAGAGCCATTCAGAGGGTCTGGAAAGGGGAGTGATAAATGCTGGAATGATAATCAACAAATACCAAATGCTCGTCTTTTCCCAATTCCCCTCTTGCTTTCTGGCCATTTTCCATGCAGTCCATCATCTTATCTTATCTTTTCTTTTCTTCTTTATTTTTTTTTCTTTTCTTTTCTTTTTCTTTCTTTCTTTCTTTTTTTTTTTTCAGACAAGGTCTCACTCTGTTGCCCAGGCTGGAGTGCAGTGGTGTGATCTTGGCAACCTCTGCCTCCTGGGTTCAAGTGATTCTCCTACCTCAGCCTCCAGAGTAGCTGGGATTATAGGCGTGTGCCACCACACCCAGCTAACTTTTGTATTTTTTGGTAGAGACGGGGGTTTCACTGTGTTGGCCAGGCTGGTCTCGAACTCCTGGCCTCAAGTGATCTGCCTGCCTTGGCCTCCCAATGTGTGGGAATTGCAGGTGTGACCCACTGCACCTGGCCCCACCATCTTCTCTAGTAACAAACTGGAATGCTTCAGCTATGACCTTTGTTTTTCTAATGCAAATTAGCTCAAACATGATGAGTAAGTTGGGAGAATGTTGTCAATATTTAGTGCCGGTTGGCCAGGTTCTGTTTTCTCTAGTACTTTAACATTTTGAAGTGATCTGGGGGCAAATTTTCTCAAAATTAGACAGCCTTAACAATATATGAAAATCTTAAGAAAAAGCTGACAATCCTATGCAGGTACCTTCCTTGAGTGCAAGCAGTGGTGGATTTGGTGGCTTCCACCTCATGGAGCTGTCTGGGAAAGCTGAAGATGAAGTTGAAGAATCTGCTTGGATTGGAGCAATGTGCTCGGCTTCCTCTCTGTACCTGGATCTACAACCTCACTGAGCTCACCTCCTGCTACTCTCCCATTCATCCATGCGGCCCCTGGCCTTCCTGCTGCCCGCTGCACATGCCAGCCAGTCCCTTTCATCTCAGGGCCTTTGCACCTGCTGCTGTTCCCTTTGCTGGCAATGTTTCTGGATACATGTCTCACTTCCCCATCTCCTCCAGGTCGTTGCTCAACTGTCGCCCTCTCCTTGAAGCTTTCTCTGACCACCTCCGATTAAAATCGCAACCCCACGTGGGCATTCCCTGTCTCCCTTCTCTGTATCATTGTTCTCTATAGCTCTTAACATTATATAACAAATCATACACATTTTTTTTTTACCTATTTCTTTGGTCTACTGTCTGTCTTTTATCCCCACTCTCTTTCAACTGTAACATTTGTGAGGGCAGGTATTTTTGTCTGTTGCATTCACTGTTGCATCTCTAGGTCCTAGGACAGGGCCTGGCATAGAGCTGAGCTAAGTAAGTATTAATGGCATGACCCAGTTAAATAAAAGTAGTGGGATCACCCAGAAGCTTCATTTTCCAGAGATGTGAGATCCAATCTGGTAGGCAGCCTCCTCTCGGGATTCTGGGCCAACCCATTGCATTTCTATAGAGCAATGGGCTGTTTTTTCATCTAGTTCCACGTGACAACCTCAGCTGGTCATTGTCCTTCTTCTTTTTGGTATAGATCTTACTTTTTTCAGAACAATTTGGGTTTACACACAACTTTCTGTATCTCCCTTTCTCTGTTTAAATAGACAAAGAAAAATACACTATGTTAGGGACTAATATCAGATTGATAGAAAAAAAAGACACCTGAATACATCTATGGAGAAATACAAATCCATATTTTATAAACAGATAAATACTTTGGGCTGGGCGCGGTGGCTCATACCTGCAATCCTAGCACTTTGGGAGGCCAAGGCGGGTGGATCACCTGAGGTCAGGAGTTCAAGACCAGCCTGGCCAACGTGGTGAAACCCCATCACTACTAAAAATACAAAAATTAACCAGGCGTGGTGGCAGGCGCCTGCAATCCCAGCTACTCAGGAGGCTGAGGCAGGAGAATCACTTGAACCTGAGGGGCGGGGGCTGCAGTGAGCCTAGATCATGCCACTTCACTCCAGCCTGGGTGAAAGAGCGAGACTCCATCTCAAATAATAATAATAAGAAGAAGAAGAAGAAGAAGAAGAATACTTCATAGAAGAAGCAGATTATCCTTACGTCTACAGCAGGAATGGAAGTTTCCTCACACTACTGTTAGATGTACAGACAAGCTGTAGCTCTTTTATTTTGCCTGTAACTTCTGTAGATTTCCTCATGTGTCCCTACTGGCTGGGTAGGGCTGGCGAAACTTGATTGATTTTAACCCTATAACTTTAGCTTAGTGCAATGATGAAAATATTCTCATTCAGTAAAATGGATAGGCTCTCAGGTCTTGCTTCTCCTTTTCTGTTTCTGCCCAACACAGCATCTGAGTAGAGCAGGGAAAGGGGGAACTTTATCTAGGAGTGACATTCAACATAATTAACTGATTTGACACAGACACAGACCCACTGGAGTGGATGCTAACAGCTAGCAATTAGTAGCCCTTCCAATGCAGACTGTGACTCTCAGCCCTGGCAAGGTGACCTCACAGCGGTGAAGTGAAGGGGAAGGGCTGTTTGTATTGGAGCAGTGTCTCTTGGCACCTCTGATCTCCACAACATTTCTTATCATCCTAGTTGCTGCTTATCCAGCTAGCTTTTGCAGGTGGAGCTGGTGACTGGTGTGGACTGGTCTTTCCTGACTTGGCTAGGGCACAGGAGTTCTCCCTGGCTGATTTGACCTCACCCCAGCTCTTGCTGGCACTGCAGGCTTATGGTGTAAGTTTAGACTCTGCCACAGTCTTCATTGGCCCCTCAGCCTGGGCTGCAGGTCACCTTGCTCTTGAAGGGTGAGTGCCATGTCATTTCTTTGGGAAATGATTCAACTCAGCTGCTTCCAGAGGACCATCTTGAGCACATGTGGGAGCTTCTGGGTCCTGTCCATACCACACAGGGACTGAGAATAGCTCAAAAAGCTAAAACTTTACAATTTTGCACTCCTGCCTCTACCCTCACTCCCCTGCTTAATCATGCTGTGCTGCAGAGTTTGTCCATGGCTGCTTTCCAGACAGTTCGTGGGGCAATTCCCTCCAGGAATCTGAACACAAGGCAGAATGCAAGCCTCCCTGCCCTTGCCAGTACCCTCTACCTGGCCCTCCTGCCCCTGCAGTATCTTTAACCCCTCTAATATCACTCTCCCTCTTCTGCCCGCAAACCACTGGGCTGGAGAATGTGAGTGTTTCACTTCCTCTTCCTGGTGTGGTTTTCACACACTAGAATGATCTGACAGCTTTTCAAAAATACCATTGCCCGTGTCTTACCTTCTCATCCTCCTTCATCTCCCCAGTTCTGATTTAACTGCTCTTGGGGGACCCAGGCATTGGTAGTTTTAAAACCAAGCACCCCAAGTGATTCCAATGGGCAGCCAGGGTTGAGCGTCGCTGTTCTAGGGCAGTTGTTATTAAACGTCCCTGCCTATTAAAATCTTGTGGGAGCTTTAAAAAATCCTGATGCCCAGGCTGCACCCCAGGCCAATTGAATCAAAATATCTAGGGAAGTCATTGGTATTTTTAAAGGGTCCTTGGGCTATTCCAATGGCAAATGTGAAAACTAGGGTCCTTCTAAGCCAGTTCTTCTCAAACTTTAATGCACTAATACATACAGTCACCTGGGGACCTGGTTAAAATGTAGATTCTGATTCAGGAGGTCTGTGGTGGAGCTTTAGATTTTGAATTTATAACAAGCTCTCAGATAATGACACAGGTGCTGGTCCTTGGACCATATCATTCTTCCCAGGGTGGCATTTGTCCCCCAACTCCCTTAACTAACAGGATTTCAGGAAGAGGAAAACTAGCTTGCGGGTAAATAGAAGACTTTCAAAAGGATTATACCCATAATATATGGCAACAGACAGCTTCCCAGTGGACACTGGGTTTATATTCCAAAAGTCACCTACAACTCTCTATTCTTCATGTTTTGGAAGGCTAAAATACTCAATTTTGAGGGCCCTCTCATAGCAAGCATACCACATGAGAAAGTTCCATGTAGTGAGATATAGCTAGAAGTGCCTGGGGAGGACTTCCTTTCCCAAATACAAAGCCCAGGTCTTAATAGAAGGAAAAAATTTTTTGTGTCTTCCTGCTTGGAATATGGCTTTGGGACCTGGAAGTAGAGCACCCATCTGTGACTCTGAGGAAACGGGCATGAAGATGAAGTCCTGGAGACAGGGTTGCCAAATAAAATATGAGACAACTGGTAAATTTGAATTTCAGATAAATAATGAATCATTTTTTAGTGTATGTGTTGTGGTCACCCTCTATATTGTCATCAACCCCAGAAATGGATGAACCCCTTACCCCAAATTTGGTTCAAAGATTGGGATTATTGATGCCATACCCCAAGAGGATATGAAAAGGTTTATGACTCAAATAATGAGGCTTTCTGAGGAGCACAGGGCAGGCTCCCAAGCAGGTCTGAAAATAGGTTGAGCAAGTGGGGAGGGCAGGCTGCCTTGGGGTTTTATGAAAGGGCTGAGGCCGGTGTGGTTTGAACTTCCAGCTGGCACGGAGGAAGGGAATTACTTTGACTTTCTTATCGTCTTGTCCAGGTGTAGGGAAGAAGGGGCAGGGGTGTGCTGGGGCTTGCAAGTTGTCAGCAAATATGGAAAACAAAGTCAGACTCTTTATTACCATAACTATGTTACAAATATTTTATGGGACATGCTTATACTAAATTTTTTCCATTCTTTATCTGAAATTCAGGTTTAACTGGATGTCCTAACCTGTGTTTTTATTTGCTAAATCTGGCAGCTCCACCTATGAAGTAGAAAAATAGAAGCCTGGTCCCTCCTAGTGATCTTCAGATGCTGCACTGATTCTGAGTTGCCCACTTCCAGACTTGTTATATGAGACAAGGCATTGGTGGTTTTAAAACCAAGCACCCCAGAAATCAGAGTGCTTTATTTAAGTCTTAAGAAATAGGACTTAAGTCTTATTCCTAAATGTTGCATTTCTGCTGACTCTTCTGATGGCAGCTAGTGGGCTATCCAATTCCACTTAGAAATCTTTATCAAGCCCTTAATTATACTGATGACTCTAATAGGAATGGCTATTGTGGATGCCAAGGACAGCACTCAAATGCAGCTTTGCTGCTTCCTAGCTTCCTAAGCTCTTCACCAACTTGTGCCTCCTCTTCTGTAAAATGGGCATGATAACCCATATTTCACAGAGTTGTTAGAATTAAATAAGATTGTGTGTATGAGATACTTAGAACAGTCTCAGTACTTGATAAGTCTTAGCTAATATGTACTTATTTATTTGAATTAGTTGAATTGCTTGCAGTAAAAATGTTATGGACTGAATGTGTCCCTTGTTTCACCCAACCAAATCCATTATATTGAGATCCTAAGCTCTAATTCGATGGTATTTAAGATGGGGCCTTTGGGAGGTGATTAGGATCAGATGAGGTCCTGAGGGTGGAAACTTCTTGATGGGATTAGTGCCCTGATAAGAAGAGATGTCAGAGGCTGTGCACAGTGTCTCACACCTGTAATCCCAGTACTTTGGGAGGCCGAGGTGGGTGGATCATGAGGTCAAGAGACTGAGACCAACCTAGCCAACGTGGTGAAACCCCATCTCTACTAAATGTACAAAAATTAGCTGGGTGTGATGGCGCAAGCCTGTAGTCCCAGCTACTCAGGAGGCTGAGGCAGGAGAATTGCTTGAACCCAGGAGGTGGAGGTTGCAGTGAGCTGAGATCACGCCACTGCACTCTGGCCTGGCGACAGAGTGAGACTCCGTCTCAAAAAAAAAAAAAAAAAAAGATGCCAGAGAGCTTGCTCTAGTCTCCTTCCCAGCTCCCCCACAGCAATAAGGCGGCTATCTGCAAGCCAAGAAGAGAGCCTCACCAGAACGGAAACTTGCAGGTGCCTAATCTTGGACTTCTAGCCCCCAGTGCTGTGGGAAATTTCTGTTGTTTAAGCTACCTAGTTTATGGTATTGTGTTAATGGCAGCTCAAGCTGACTAACGTAAAGATATTCTATGTCAATTTTCATGTAAATATCTTAGGTATGTTATTAATAACATTGTTGAATTCGCTATGTTTTTCAAGAAAGTATAACTATCATTGTTGGGGGAGGGTGGGAGCAGATTATGTACCTTATTTCAGAGATGGTCAAAATCTAAGAAATTGAGAACAACCACAACCACAGAATGTGTATATCATTATTTCAGCACTTTTTTTGAAAGGAACTCTGAAATTGGGATGTGACTTCTAATAGGCGAGGTCTTAGATTAGATCTGTGGTTTTCAACCCTAGTTGCATATTCAAATCATCTGGGGAGATTTTAACAAATATTGTTATCTTGATCCTACCCTCAGATGTTCTATTTAATTGGTCTGAGGTGGGGCCCAGGCATGAATCAGACAGACCTAAGGAATAGGTAAGTTAATTAATTAATTTGTTTGTTTGCTTGAGACAGAGTCTCACTCTGTCACCCAGGCTGGAGTGCAGTGGTGCAATCTTGGCTCACTGCAACCTCTGCCTCCCGGGTTCAAGTGATTCTCCTGCCTCAGCCTCCCAAGTAGCTGGGATTAAAGGCGCCTGCCACTATGCCCGGCTAATTTTTGTATTTTTAGTAGAGACAGGGTTTCGCCATGTTGGCCAGGCTGGTCTCGAACTCCTGACCTCAGGTGATCTGCCTGAGTAGATCTCCCAAAGTGCTGAGATTATAGGCATGAGCCACCGCCCCAACAGGAATAGGTAATTTTAAAGTAGATTTTAAAACCCTCTGCAGGTGAAGGTAAATGTATAGCCAGGGCCAAAAACATTAGATTAGATAAAATACTTTATGTACAAATGTTTACTCTGGGTTGAGGCTTCTTGTGAGGTTTATTAAAAAGTGGATCACAGGGAGAAAGATTCCCCTCAATGCTGATGACTAACAGCTTTTCAACAGGCTATCGCTGGTTAACTTCACATGTTTTAGCTAGTTTCCCTGCTAGTTCACTGATGGACAAGGGTTAAAAGCAGTTGTGTCAGCCACCAGAATAGCTATGGATCAAAGCTAAGTAGAGCACAGGGAATACAACGCTATGTAACAGAGAGCCAGAAACCCATCAGGGAGCTTGTGGCTTCTCCTTACTTGATTTCAATAGTACCAGGACTCTGGAACAAAATACTAGAGGTGCTGAGAAACTGGTGGAATTCTACACTATGTATCTCATCAGGAGGCTGTGCTATATGCAGAATTCCATGAAACCTTAGCAAAGAGCCAGAGATTCAAGTATTTCAAAAGGGGATTTTTTATTGTGTGGAGTCTGCTGGTTGATTAGAGAAATGACAATCAGGTGAGTATATTTCTGACTAAAGGCAGTGATATCTGGTCTGTTTGGTAATGAAATTGAGCATGTTTCTGCTTAGCTACATATTTTGCCTCTCGCCCTTTATATTCTCATTCATGATGATGAAGTCACCTTTCAGAGACACCAGACACATACATGTGTTTGATGGCAGTGTTTATTCTTCACTCTGTTGGACTGTGAATTGTTTAGATATTGTGAAAGTAGATCACATGTTTACATTGCAGGTATCTCCTTTCTCCAGCCCCTGCTATCCCACGCTGAACAGCAAAACAAAGAGTAACACTTTCTCTAGTTTGACTAGTTCCTCCAAGCTTTTCACTTTTCCTTTTTTGCTGCAGGTTAATCTTCAATCAGCAGATCTCCCCGTAAGAAGTGAAACTGTTTTGTGTAACCTGAATTGCATTGAATTCCTTAGGTCTGTCTGATTCTAAACCAGTTTGATTCTCACAGTGAGAAATCAACATGGCACTGATGGTGGTCCTTTTTGTCCAGATAAACTTGATCCAGTCTGTTTCAGTATTGGCTGAAAAGACCAAATCACTGCGTTATTTAAATTCATGCCCTGAGATCCTGAAAGTGGAGTCTCAAAACTGATAGAAAGCCTTGCCTTTTAAAAATGTGCATGCGAGATTACTCAGAAGGAATTAAGTTCTAGCAAGCTAACAATGGTAAACAAAGCCTCATTTCATTCTTCCCATAAAAATTTGTTTTCTTTTTCTTCCAAGTCTTGCCCATTCTAACCCAGCTTTACAGTTCCATGGTCAAGGAGAGGAGATATTTCTTTTATTGAAATACATTTTATTGAAAACTCTTGGTAATACGATGAAACATTAGCGTGAACACAAAGGCAAAAGCAAATTAAGCGACAAAGAGGCCTTTTGAGCTGAAGGGCTGAAACCGCCATTGCAGAATATAGCTAAGAGGATTGTTGCAGTGAAAGATGTCTGACTTAACTGACTCCATCTTGCTTCCAACCTCCAAGCTGTCCTTGTTCATTCCTGGGCGTAGGCTGAACTGACTTTGGGAGGAACTTAGTTTATAGTTTAACTTTGAAACAAAAACGTTAACAGCCCTTTCCCAAAACAAATTCCTTCTTGCCTGTGGAATAGACTGCCTTTGTAGGACTAATGAATTCACCACAAAATTATAAATTATGGTTTACGAGTCATGTAGCTGGATGCTACAAAATTCTGACCCTTCCCAAATTGCTCCTGGGGATAACATCACTATTATAAAACCTAAGATCAGTACTTGAGATATTTTGTAGAACCTGCACCTTATGGATCAGCTGGCACCACCCAGGTGGATAAACTGGCTCATCGCATCTTGTGGCCCCCACCCAGGAACTGACTTGGCTCAAGACAGCTTCTACTCCTTATGATTTCATTGCCAACCCAGCCAACCAACACTCCTGACTCACTGGCCCCCCACCCACCAAATTTTCCTTAAAAACTCTGATCCCCGAATACTTGGGGAGACTGATTTGAGTAATAATGAAACTCCTGTCTCTGCACTAGCCAGCTCTGCATGAATAACTGTCTCCACTGCAATTTCCCTGTCTTGATAAATTGACTCTGTCTAGTCAGTGGGGCAAGGTTGAACCCATTGGGCAGTTAGAAGGCTATTTTGCCCATTCCTGAAACAATCTGTGTTATTGGCCTTGAGCTATGGGGCGTGCTTGAGTTTATTTTCTGAATGTTTGCGAGGCACAATTAACTCAGGGAGGAGCCATATGTCATTACCCAGTACCCATTCTAGAGGTAATGTAGAGGTTTTCTCTCTCTCTCTCTCTCTCTTTTTTTTGGTTTCTTTTGTTTTTTGGAGAATGGAGTTTCACTCTTGTTGCCCAGGCTGGAGTACAATGGCACAATTTCGGCTCACCGCAACCACCGCTTCCCGGGTTCAAGCAATTCTCCTGCCTCAGCATCCCAAGTAGCTGGGATTACAGGCACGTGCCACCACACCCGGCTAATTTTTGTATTTTTAGTAGAGACAGGGTTTTGTCATCTTGGCCATGATGAAACCTCCAGGCTGGACGAAACTCACCTGAGCTCCTGACCTCAGGTGATCCGCCCGCCTCATCCTCCCAAAGTGCTGGGATTATAGGTGTGAGCCTCTGGGCCCAGCCTCTTCTGCTTGATTTTTTAAAGACAGGATCTTGCCCAGGCTGGAGTGCAGTGGCATGATTATAGCTCACTGCAGCCTACAATTCCTGGACTTGAGGGAATCTCCTACTTCTGTTTCCTAAGTAGTTGGAACTACAGGGACATGCTACCACACTTGGCTAATGTTTTTAAAAATTTTTATAGAGACGAGGTCTAGTTTTATGGCCCAGCCTTGCTCAAACTCCTGGCCTCTAGCTATCCTCCCACCTTGGCCTCCCAAAGTGCTGGGATTATAGGCTTGAGGCACTGCACCCAGCCCCTAGATAATTTTTTGAATTTTTATGAATTTAAAACAATTGAGGGTGTTGTTCTCAAACAGGAATTCAAACCAAAACAGAAAATTTATAACATGATGTGGCTAATCCATGAAGCAAAGCTGTAGTTCCACAGAGCTAGAAGAAAACTCACTGAGGGTTTATAAAGCATGGTACCAAATATATTTATACTAGTTATTGTTCTGAGGGGAGATTTTATTATTGACAGCTTTGAGCTTTTGTTCAATTTGAAGGATAAGAGTTTCTTCTGTTCAGGTGCTTTTGTTTAAGCTGTTACATGGGAGATGGTCTTGCAGAGAGCCTTCTAAAAACAAATTTCAATTTCAAGGGAAACAAAATAGCAACATTAACATCAGTGCAGTTTTTTTTTTTTTTTGAAACACTGAAACATTTATTTTGTGAGATGAGTCAGAGCCTCCCTCTGTTGCCCAGGCTGGAGTGCAGTGGCATGATCTCAGCTCACTGCAACCTCTGCCTCCCAGGTTCAAGCAATTCTGCCTCAGCCTCCCAAGTAGCTGGGATTACAGGCGCGTGCCACCATACCCAGCTAATTTTTTATATTTTTGGTAGAGACAGGGTTTCACCTTGTTGGCCAGGCTGGTCTCGAACTCCTGACCTCAAGTGATCTGCCCGCCTCGACCTCCCAAAGTGCTGACATTACAGGCATGAGCCACCGGCCCAGCCTGAAACTTTCCTTTTAATCTCAAAACAAAATGGGAATAGTTTTGCCATTACATATGCTTAACATTTATAAACTAAAAACTGAACTCAAAAGCATAATTAAATAACATTTTATTGCAAATGAAAAATATACAAACATTTAAGATTTATAAACTTTCTAAAATCAACAGTAAAAACACTTGCAAAATATAAGGCTTCATGAACAGTTTATTCAAAATATTTGAGAACATTTCATATATTCATATATTTTTCCACAAAGCTTTGTTGGCGGGGCTAAATAGCATTTAGTTCAGTTTTTCTGGTTTTATTAAGAAAAATATTTTTATTGGAATAATTTTGTATTGGTGTTGAGATAGTATGATGAATTCACTTTCACTTGCATTATTTAAAATGAGATAATGTGACAAATTGAGAAAAGATGAATGTATAAAAATAGGCACTCAATGGTCCTTTTAAGTCTCTAGTGACAAGACTGTAAGAATTCAAATGTTGATTCAAAGAAAAGTACATTTTACTAAGTGCCTATTATCAGGCATAATGCCAGATGCTTTCCATGTATTTAATACTTTAAAATATGTGTTAATTTCATGTGCTAAATCCAAAGGGTCTTATGAAAATTGTGCAATCTGAACTTATAATAAATAACCATTGACCTAAGAATAAAATTGTAAGACAAAAGTATAATGAAACTTATCTTTACAGAAGTAGGAAAATCTTTCCATTTGTCCTGTGTGAGCACAACTTTGTAATCCTTAATAACACACATGCAGATATTCACATAATAAATCTTAAGATATGTACATGATGACAAAGTATTAAAATATATACATAAACTACCAGTTAAGACTAATAGTCTGAATATAGGGGTCCAGCATTTTATTCTT
Source organism: Homo sapiens (assembly GCF_000001405.40). Taxonomy (NCBI): domain Eukaryota; kingdom Metazoa; phylum Chordata; class Mammalia; order Primates; family Hominidae; genus Homo; species Homo sapiens. The sequence goes on along the minus strand of NC_000004.12, from coordinate 48,039,383 downwards.
CCTTAGAAAATATCTTCCTATTTGGGAATTTTTTTTTTTTTTGAGACGGAGTCTTGCTGTTACCCAGGCTGGAGTGTGGTGGCACAATCTTGGCTCACTGCAACCTGCCCCTCCTTGCTTCAAGCAATTCCCTGCCTCAGCCTCCGGGGTAGTTGGGATTATAGGCACCCGCAACCATGCCTGGCTAATTTTTGTATTTTTAGTAGAGACGGGGTTTCACCATGTTGGCCAGGCTGGTCTTGAACTCCTGTCCTTGTGATCTACCCGCCTCAGCCTCCCAAAGTGCTGGGATTACAGGTGTGAGCCACTGCACCCAGTCAAAAATTTTTTAGTGTTAGATTTGCAACAACATTTTTTTTTTTAATGCATGTGCATCAGTAACTTTTATGTAGACAGTTTTCAAATATTTCATTGTTTCTCAGCATACTTCAACTCATTAAATCTTTCCCAGTCTTCCTCCTGGGCATGCATACATGTCAACATCAGTTCAATTTCCTGTCCAGGGTACACAATGAGCCTTGTGTTTGGGAACCTTTGACCTGGTCATAACGTACCAAGGGCAAACACCTTGTAAAAGGTGACACAAAGAAATGTCTGAAACTTAAATTCGCCAGAACACAGAATCACCAGAGTCCCAGGTTGGATGTCAAGAAAAGTGCCATTAATTTCCTCACCAAGGTGTCCTAGAGAGATCAATAAAGTTCTTAATATTAAAAGAAAAAATATTAAAATTTCTGCAATTTTCAAATGCCACTTTATCAGAAGATACTTTTTTGGGTCAGGGTCTCACTCTTGTCACCCAGGCTGGAATGCAGTGGCACAATCATAACTTACTGCAGCCTTGAACTCCTAAGCTCAAATGATCCTCCTGACTCAGCCTCTTGATGTTTTTTACATTTTTTAGAGACATGGGGTCTAGTTTATTGCCCAGGCTGGTCTCAAACTCCTGGGGACTAGAAATCCTCCCACCTGAGCCCCCCAAAGTGTTGGAATTACAGGTGTGAGCCATTGCCCAGACAGAAGATACTTTTACTACAAACTTGTGTTCATAGCTTATATATCTGATATACAAGTAAAGTGAAACAGCAATCAACAGAGTAAACACATTTTTGACCTGAGGTATCAACCCATGGACCTTCCATGGATTATCGATTTTCAAAAACGTAGAATGCATTAGAATTGCACTCAACACTAAACTATGCTGAAAAGACTATAATGTATAATGGAACATTAGGGCCTTGCAGCCATCTCAGGTAGGTTGTCATTGTGAACATCAGTCATTGTTTAATAGAACTGTGGAAATGCTGAAGTTAGTTTAATCGAATTCTGAATAATAAAGTTTACCATTATTACCTCAGGTAGTCTTGAAGTAGCTTAGAAACAAAAACCAAACCTAATAACATTTAAGGTTAGAGCAGAAAAACATTCAGTCTACCTGAATTTTTTTTTTTTTAATGACAACTTTTTGGTTAGGATTTTTGTTTTGAGAAAAATAAGATTGTTATAAAAATAAGATAGCCAATTTATTTTCCATAAAATCAATAAGTGACAGTAAATCTGTCCATCACATTAAAGACCACCAAAAATGTTATTCCTGCCATGCATTTGAAATGAGAGGGGAAAATTTTATAAACATTTTAATGTGCGAAAAAGGTATTTTCCTGCAGTAGCCCCTGAGATCTTAGTATTTTGTTTGCCAGGAAGTTAACTTTCTATCCTATTAGAATATATCTATTTTTAAAGGTTAGTAACTAATTATAATTTCCTTAATAAGGGTGAAAGTGCAAAATTTCAAGAGAGCCATTATGATAATTTGTTCAGATTTTTCACAAAGATTTTTCTAGTTGCTTCCAAACAGTCTGTGGAAAACTCACTCTTTAGGGATAAAACATTTGAGAGCAATCGAAATGTAGGATATAATCCTGAAATAATGTAGCAATCTTTTACAAAAATCTCTATATCAACAAGAAAAATAACCTTTAGGATAATAGTAAAAGAAAAGGAAAAAAAATGAACATAAGTGACTCCAAAGCTGAATTCACCTGGACTTCTTCAGAAACTCCATTTTGTCCTATGTCTTCCAGACCTGAGTTAATTAATGGAACCTGTGAAAACAATCACGTGTCTGTGTTTTTGTGAGAAGAAAACTTTTTCCTTTATCTGAAGTATTTTTCTCTTCCTCCGTTCTCCCTCTTTAACTGGTAGTAAATTCCTATGATAATGTCAATAAGTTACAATTCATAAACTCTTCATGGGTGGGTATGTCTTGTGTATTCTAGCCCACTAACAAATAAAGCAGGCTTTTTTTTAAATTTCTTTTTTCTTAAAATAACTAATTAGCTATCTAGTTTAAGAAGGAGGTGCAGAAGGAAGAACAAAGCACCCGTGGTTTCACTTCTGTTTTAAAAAAAGTTTTTTAAAGCAAAAGCCCCTGGCCCTTTCTCTTCTTCTTTTTTGAGACAGGGCCTTGCTTTGTCACCCAGGCTGGAGCACAATGGCGCAATCTGGGCTCACGGCAGCCCCAACCTCGCAGACTCAAGCAATCCTCCCACCTCAGGCTCCCGGGTGGCTGGAACTACAGGCATGTGCCACCACGCCTGGCTAATTTTTGTATTTTTTGTAGAGACAGGGTCTCGCCTTGTGGCCCAAGGTGGTCTCGAACTCCTGAGCTCAAGTGATCTGTCCGCCTTGGCCTCCCAAACTGCTAGGATTACAGGTGTGAACCACCATGCCTGGCCTCTCTTCTCAGTTTTAATATGAGAAATTACATGATTATACCTTTCTGAAATCTTGTTGAGTTTGAAATTATGACTCAACGGAGAATATGACTGATACTGTGTCTATCAGAACACTGCTAACTGTATATTGGTGAATGACTGTAAGTCTAAAAATAGCTACCAAAGAAATGAAGAGCCACCTGGCAGAGACAAAGATACTGTGACCAGAAGAAGGAGATTATTCTGAGACACACATAGCTCTTTGACTTCTTTGATCCTTAGAGAGTATTTCAAAGTTTGTAGAGATTCTGGAGGATAATCAATTTGATTTTCAAATTCAATGGCCAAAAAAATGGCATTTTTACTTGGCCTCACATCTAAATTAGTTAGAACTGCAAAAATGCTAACTTTCCTAGCAGTTCTTCCAAGAAGCAAGCATTCATTTTCCTCTTCGTGTGTCTCATATTGGTTAAAACTCAGTGTTTCTAGAGACTTCAGTCATCAGTTCTACTAAACAAGGTAACGTCATCATTGTATCCTGGGGCTGAACACTCCAAGTTCTCTAGTAAAACATAATTGTTTTCATTGACATTCAGAGAGACGGCTTCTTTCTTAGCAGTGGATGTAAGCTCACTCCAAGTAATGTCAGTATTTTTAAAAGCATGTAGAAGGAAGATGCCAATGATAATAGTGAAGAATCCACTCAGGGTCCCAATGATATCTCCAGCTGTCATGCCATACCACTCTTGGAATAAGATGGCAGAGCAAGTCACTACCATGGATGTGAAGAATACATAATAAATGGGTGTCACAAGAGAGGTATTAAAGGTGTCCAGTGCCTTGTTGAGATAGTTAATCTGTGTAGTTACTGAAAGCACAAGTACAGCCAGCAAAACAAAGACCAGCGGATGTTTGTAAACTGGCTTCCATTCTATCAGCTCCTTAATGGCAATTCCCAGGCCTTTCACAGAAGAAACTGAAAACGCTCCAATCAAGGAACAGATTGAAATATAAACCAATATATTGGTCTGTCCTTTCTTGGGAGCCACAATCAAAATCAGCACCAAGGAGATCACAGTTATGATCACAGCAAAGGAAATAAACCCTGTTAGAAGGAGAAAAGAATTTGACTTTAGAAAATGCTCACAGGATTATACCTTTCTGAAATCTTGTTAGTCATGAGTTTAAGAGCATAGGTATTTTAGAAATAGAAGTGAGATCAAATTAAAAACAACATTCTATTGCATAGTTCTCAATATTTTACAAAGGATTTTCACAAACATATCATTTAAATCTCACCAATACCACTATGAGCTAGGGCGAATATTATCAGATTAACTTTTTATTTTCAGAGGAAGAGAGTGGCAAAGATTTGATTTTGAATATATGTCTTTTGCCTCTACCATCCCCACCTCTCCCTTTCATTGTGTAACAGGGGAAGCATGAACACAAAAATAAGTTCTGCCATCTTTTCAGGAGAAATAATAATCAAACCTCACTGTGTCTCACAACCCACAATGCGGCCCACAATGTAGAAAGCTTATTACAATATTATTACAGATACTATTTGGTGAGGAGAGAAAGTGGAGCAGAATTTGAGTGGTTCTTTAGGTTGAATCACAGACCTGGGTCTCTCAATTTCATTTCCATTTCATGCAAAGATGTGACTTCCTCTTCTTGTGGGGCATGGATAACCATCACAGTTGACCCCAATATACTTAATATGCAGCCTATTTTCCCATGAATGTTCAAGTGCTCGTTTAAAAAGTAGGAAGATAATATTGCACTGTTGGGAGAGAAAAAATTAAAAATCACTATAGCTCAATTACCTTTTGATCCCATGGCAGCTCAGAAGTCACACTGTGGTACATGCCACCATGTATCCCAATGAGCTGACTGGAATATGCTATATGACACTGAAACCCTAGATTGGTTTGAAACTCAGAACTGATGGGCAATCAAATATGCTTCACTGTTTTTATATCTAAAGAGCTATAATATTCTATATCCCATAATCTTCCAGTGATCTTACAAGAGGTTCTACTCAAGTCATTTTCAATTTACCCATCTTTTCCTGTAAAGCCAAACAAAATAGAAAATCTTTTATATCTTACTGGCATGATACATTTAGAATATGTATGCCCATGGATGTTTCCAAGAAAGATACATTCCTAAAGAAAAATTACTCTGCTCAGGGCTAATAATCAGCTAGTTCACACCACTACAATCAAACGGACCAGGGGTATCCAATCTTTTGGCTTCCCTAGGCCACACTGGAAGAATTGTCTTGGGCAACACATAATATACAGTAACAGTAATGGTAGCTAATGAGCTAAAGAAAAAAAAATCACAAAAAAAACTCATAATATTTTAAGACAGTTTACAAATTTATGTTGGGCCACATTCCAAGCCGTCCTGGGCCACATGCAGCCCATGGGCCATGGGTTGGAGAAGCTTGATACAGACTTTCAAAATATCAAAATACTTCCTTACCACCTGTTACTGCTCTGATACTTAGACCTATCCAGTACTGCTAATGCTTCAGTTGCTGTGGTTTCTGCAAGCCAGCCTCCTTCCTCTAATGCTCTGGCATCCCCATGAAGGCAATTAAGTACCCATCTGTCCTCAAGATTATGATAAATTACCAGGTACTTTCCTAGAGTTGCCCTCATGTGGCCACCTTTAGGACTGCAGCCTTAGTGAAGATACTACTATTACTACTACTACTACTAGCTATTCATTGCATAGACAAGTGTTTGAAGTGCTTTATGTGTATTAACTCACTTAATTTTCATAACAATCCTATACAGAAGCTAAAAAGAATTTAGTAGGCTCAATCATAGGTTTTATACTAGAGGTTGGTAATGAATAGAAAACAAAAAGACAAGAAAAGAACAGACAAAAATGTATATGCTTATCAAACACATTCATTTGGGATCATAATAAACTCAGAAAAATTAGATCCACATTCCATGAAATAGGAAAATTATTCCTGTTTCCACTATCAAAACTACAGGGTCTCCAAACAGAAGTATCCAGCAAACAATGCAAGAATTGTAGTGAGAGTTAAAATTTAACCAAAACACCATGCTTGTAAAAGTCCTCTGATAACTATGGTCATTAACCACTATGATGAGGAAAATAATTGACAGGACTCTGGCAATTTGTTCTGATGAGAGATTTAAAAAATCTTCTATGCTTCATTGCAGTGTTACAAATGTAAAACACATTTATGTTAGTAGGAAATCAAACTCACTGTGTCTTAGGTTTTTAAAATAATAATGTGACAGTCTATTTCCTATTTCTACTGTTATTTTATAGTCTTCTCAAGTTATTTTTGTGATTTCAGGCAAGAAAAAGTATTGTTCTCACTTTATGAATGAGTAAACTGAGCCTGAGTGACTTGACCAAAGCTTCCCAGGAGCCTCAGAAATAATTTGGGTTCATCTAGACTTTTAGAGCCCAGGTTGGTCTAGATTTGTGTGTTTGCTTTTAGATATCCATAGCCATATGTTTATTATGGTTTAAGTTTATCTTGGTCTTAAAATACCTACAGAAGCCAAGTTCCCTGTTGCTCACATACCTTATGAGAACACTCAAAGCACCCAGAGGGGTGACCAAGGTGGCAGGTGCAAAAGCATAAGCAGCAAAATTTGCAGCCTCTCCTGCTCCCACTAGAAAGCAAGCAGAGATATTGATATAAAAAATGGGCTTACTTGTCAGAAGAGAAAAACAAATGACTCATGCAAAGCAGTGGACTTTTAACCCAAATACATGGGAAGATCTAGCTAAAAAGAATGATGTAACATGTTTTATAGCAGGTAGGAGATAATTAATATTAAGAGATGCAGACAAACTGTAATACCAGGTGATAAACTCAAAAGATGCAAAAAATGGTGACAGATGAGTACTCATTTTAAATGGCTTTCAATAGAAATTTTTAGCTACTTCAATATTGAAGACATATTTGGTGACTCTAATGAAATCTAGTAGAGGTAGCTTTGTAGTAAGCAGAGAATTATTTCACTTGCTCAAGAATACCTACAGCTTTGTAGGTTACCCACAGAAACCAAAACCAGCTTGGAAAATTAGAATGGTTAAATCTGGTGTGTAGGTAGGGAATAGCCAGAAATACCTGCCATAGGCCCATGAAGTTAGATATCCCTCTATTGTAAGTGATCTATAAGCAAGTAACAGTATCTCAGTAGCTTAACGAGATCCAGGCAGCTGTTTTAAAGTCATGATATGCTCCTGAATGTAATCTTTTTCTTATCTGAGGAACTCTAGACTTGCATGATATAGTGTGCTATAAATAACTTCTAGAGTGAGAGAAATCCCTTCAAGAGCTGGGCTCTGGTACTGGGGCCAAGTTATTCTCACAGAACACAGTGGGAAACTTGCCCACAGAATGTAGTATTTCATGCTGGCAACTACACCAGGCAAATGCTTATTGTAGAGAGAGAAAGGAACACCAGCATGATTTTTTTCTTTTTCCCTTTGTCTGGCTGCTACGCTACATCCCCCCAAATCTATAGGAGTATTCACCATTAGGAAAACATCATTAAACAAATCTAAATTTACAGAACAGAATAATTAAGACATTGCTATCATCGAAAGAATCACGGCAAGGCCGGGCATGGTGACTCATGACTGTAATCCCAGCACTTTGGGAGGCAGAGGGGAGAAGATCACTTGAGGTCAGGCGTTCGAGATCAGCCTGGCCAACATGGTGAAACCCTATCTCTACTAAAAATACAAAAACTAACCGGGTGTGGTGGCAAGCGTTTTTAATCCCAGCTACTCTGGAGGCTGAGGCAGGAGAATCGTTTGAATCTGGGAGGCGGAGGTTGCAGTGAACCGAGATCACGCCACTGCACTCCAGCCTGGACGACAAGAGCGAGACTCTGTCTAAAAAAAACCGTGGCAGTTTTCTTGGAATATTAAGGTTTCCTTGGATACTTTATATTATTTATATTTTTATCTTTATAGATAGCTTTCCAGGAAAACAACGACTTCATGATTAAAGTACTGTATATATATCACTTACTTAATCTCTAATGTATGCTTTTCTCTCTTCAATACTGACATAAACTTTTTTACACGGTGAAAACAAAATTGCAAATGTAGTCACATAATACTCTCCTCATATTTTCATTATAAAGTATGGGTAGAGGGTGGGGAGATGCAAGTAAGACAGAAAAAGAGAAAGATCCAAATACCTATCTGGAATCTTCCCAGACAGCCCTTGTCAATTTTTATTCAAATAAAGAAAATGGATGTAAAAGCACCCTAAAAACTGAAGGGGTGGCCGGGCGTGGTGGCTCACGCCTGTAATCACAGCACTTCTGAAGGCCGAGGTGGGTGACCTGAGGTCAGGAGTTCGAGACCAGCCTGGCCAACATGGTGAGAACTTGTCTCTACTAAAAATACAAAAATTAGCTGGGTGTGGTGGTGTGTGCCTGTAATCCCAGGTACTCGGGAGGCTGAGGCAGGAGAATCGCTTGAAACTGGGATGCAGAGGCTGCAGTGGGCCGAGATCCTGCCAGTGCACTCCAGCCTGGGCCACAGAGCAGGACTCCATCTCAAAAAAAACAAAACAAAAAACAAAAAAACCCCAAAAAAATCCACAATAAACAAGAACTGAAGGGGCTATACATATTTAAATTCTCTTTATTAATCATCCTTTTAGATTCCACCATTTATTAAAGAAAAGGTACCCAGTTCCTTCTCATAACAGGATCTTACAAATACTGAAATGTGTTGCTTGGTTTGGGGAAATTCAGGGAAGCTTTAAGACTCCTGGCTACAGAGGGAATTTATGATGCCCTTTTTGAGGGGAGCCTCCGCTTTGGGATTTAAGAAATTTCACTTAGTGGGGAGACTGAAGTCAGCAAAAGTGGCTGAGGGAGATGAACACTGCCTTCTATTTGGACATCACATTAGCATTTAGAAAGTGCTTTCAGATCCTGTAAAGTCTCGTTTAATCCTCACAGCAGGTCTGGGAGGAAGGAGAGTGCTGACACCCTTCATTTCTTCTCCATTTGTTCAGTACCAAGCAGCCACAGAAGCCTTTCACTTATCCGTGTTGTCCTGGCAAGGAAACTGTACTCTTTCTTGAGAAAATATGCAGCTACAATAGTTGTTCTAATTAGGAGGTGGGAAAATATGAAAGAAAAGTACTTTTCTCTATTGTTATGGTGAAGAAAATACAAGAAGTCTGTGGTTAAAATGTAATATTTCAAAGGTCAACTTTTTCCCTTGCATTCCAGGACAGTACTGAGAGCACAGGGGGTGGGAAATAAGAGTAAAAATTAATTTATTTATATATAATAGTATATATAGGACAATATATTGACTAACACAAAAATGTTTAGACTTAAATTCCATCCTTGTTCCATTCTTGACAGGAAGATTAACCAATTATGAAAAATTTCATGTAATCTATTTACTATCTTACAAATAAACAGTATTCTCAGTATTAAAAACTTACTTGACAGCAATCCTACCCACCAGAGCCATTCCTTCAGGTAAGAATGTCCACCTTGTCCTAAAATACAAAAAGTAAAAATTAACAAAAAATGGGTTCTACACTGGAGGAAGGTTTGAAGAATTAACTTCTAGGAAGCGTACTGGATTATGGTTAGAAAAGTTAAGTCAGTAAATCTAAAGTCTCTTAGCTTATTTACTTGGTCATTTCCAAAGCTCTTCTAAAGCTTTTTTTCCCCCAATTTACAATGATTTAACAAATCCCCTAATGGATTAATTGCATTTAGATTTTTTTCCGTGTTTCTGTTATAAATATAATGCTCTCACGAACCTCCCTACGCATTTACCTTTGCAACACTGGAATGATTATTTCTTCACGATAAATTCCTAGAAGTGTAATTGTTGGGTAGGAGGAAATGCATTTTTTAAAGAACTTTACATGTATTACCAAATTGCCCTCCAGAAAAGTTATGTCAATTTTTTTAAAAACTTTGCAAATTTGAGTCTTAAAATGGTATGTCATTTCAATCTGCATTTTTCTGTTTGTCACCCATTTTATTCTTTCATGAATCAGGAGTTCATTTTTGTTTTATTTTTCCTGATTTTTAAAATAGATTCAGGGGTACAAGTGTAGTTGTGTTACATAAATCTACTGTAAAGTCTGGCCTTTAGTGTATCTATCACCTGAATAGTGAACACTGAACCCAACAGGTAGTATTTCATCCCTCACCTGCTTCTACCCTTTTACCCTCCCACCTTTTGGAATCTCTAATGTCCATTATTCCACTTTGAATGTGCATGTGTACCCATGGTTTAGCTCCCACTTATAAGTAAGAACATGCAGCTTTTGATTTTCTGTTTCTGAGTCACTGCACTTAGGATAATGGCCTCCAGTTCCGTCCATGTTGCTGCAAAAGATATGATTTCATTTCTCTAACAGCTAAGTAGTATTCTATGGTGTGTGTATATAATTATACCACATTTTCTTTATCCAGTCCTCTGTCGATGGGCACTTAGGTTGATTTCATGACTTTGGTGTTGTGAATAGTGGTGTGATCAACATTTGAATGCAAGTGTCTTTTCATAAAATGATTTCTTTTCCTTAAAGTAGATACCCAGTAGTGGGACTGCTGCATTAAAGGGCAGTTCTATTTTTAGTTCTCTGAGAGATCTCCATATTGTTTTCCGTAGTGGTTGTACTAATTTACATCCCCACCAACAGAGTATAAGCATTCCCTTTTCTCTGCATTCTTGTCAACATCTGTTGTTTTTTGACTTGTTAATAATAGCCATTCTGACTAGTGTAAGATGGTTATCTCATTGTGGTTTTAATTTGCATTTCTCTGGTGATTAGTTACACTGAGGATTTTTTCATATATATGTTGGTCGCTTGCATGTCTTTTGAAAAATGTATGTTCATATCCTTTACCCACTTTTTCATGGGTTTGTTTTTTTCTTGTTGAGTTGTCTGAGTTCCTTGTAGATTCTGGGTATTAGACCTTTGTCAGATGCTTAGTTTGCAAGTTTTTTCTCCTATTCTGCAGGCTGTCTTTTCACCCTGTTGATTATTTTTCTTGCTCTGCAGAAGCTTTTTACTTTAGGTCACATTTGTCTATTTTTGTTTTTGTTGCATTTCCTTTTGAGGACTTAGTCACAAATTCTTTGCCTAGGCCAATGTCCAGAAAAGTTTTTCCTAGTTTTTCTTCTAGGGCTTTTATAGTTTCAGGTTTTACATTTAAGTTTTTAATCCATCTTGAGTAGGTTTTTGTATATGGTCAGATATAAGGTCCAGTTTCGTTCTTCTATATATGGTTCTACAATTTTCCTTGCACCATTTGTTGAATAGGGTAGCCGTTCCCTAGCGTATATTATTTTCAACTTTGTCAAAGATCAGTTGGTTGTAGGTATCTGGCTTTATTTCTGGGTTCTCTATTCTGTTCCACTGATCTATGTGTGTATTTTTATACCAGTACCATGCTGTTTTGGTTATGATAGCCTTATAGTATAATTTGAAGGTACTGTGATACCTCCAGCTTTGTTCTTTTTGCTTAGGATTGCTTAAAACTTTCTGTATGATGTTTCCATGTCATCCCTTTGTTTTTCCACAAATCATAAGTTTTTCTTAATTTGTAGGAAATTTTATTTAATCACCAGGTTCACCATATTTATGTCAGTCAGAGGTGTGGACATAAATACTTCATTTCAGCTATGGTTAAAATTAAAAACAGAAAACATAAATAGTAAATTACATTGGTAGTAATGAGGACTGTAAAGGGAAGAAGATGGTTGACATAAGAGCTTTTGAGAGTTTGGATTAGTCAATGAGAGAATAACAAGCATTGGGCAGATGCACTCTGCTTAACCTCTACCTTGTCATGCTGAAATCAAGTTTCTGTTTTGTCTACTGAAAAGGACAAAATGTTTTTAAGGTATTCAAAAGGTTATCTTCCTACTACTCTAATCTGTGACTTTGTCATTATATTTACTATAGAAAATGGAGTTTTCTTATCAATTTTAATATACTTAGCCCTCTGCATTTGACCTAATTGATTTTGTTATAATTAAACAGGATATATAAGCTATGAAGACTATTTTGCAAAGTAGTTAACTGTGCTTATTTAGGACTTTCTTCTTAAGAAATTGGCAAATTACTAACTTGGAATTATATTACAACCCTGGACCTGACTATTGTCTAGTTGGTATCTTTGGGTACTAGTGAAACAATATTTATTTATGTATGTTTATTGGTCATTACATTTACAAATAACTAAGTTGGAATTATGTTACCACACTGAACCTGACTATTGTCTAGTTGGTATCTCTTTGGGTACTAGTGAAACAATATTTACTTACGTATGTTTATTGGTCATTTGCATTTCTTATTTTGTTTGTTTCTTGTTTATATGCCATGTCTATTTTCTGTTAGGGTACTAACCTTTTTACTTATTGACTGCAGTCACTTTTTATATATTATGAAACTATACTTTGTCACATATTTCATCATATTTCCCCCAATATATCATTTGCTTTTTAGTTTCAGTTAAAGTGTTTCCATATAGGATTTTTTTTGTCAATCTAGATAATCTCTTCCTTTATATAAAATAAATTATTTATCTTTATGCTTAGAAAAGCCTTCTTTTTTTTTTAAATTATTTCATTTTTTGGCCAGGCGCAGTGGCTCACACCTGTAATCCCAGCACTTTGGGAGGCCGAGGCGGGCGGATCATCTGAGGTCAGGAGTTTGAGACCAGCCTGGCCAACATGGTGAAACCCCGTCTCTACTAAAAATACAAAATTAGCTGGGCGTGATGGTGCATGCCTGTAATCCCAGCTACTTGGGAAGCTGAGGCAGGAGAATCGCTTGAACCTGGGAGGTGGAGGTTGCAGTGAGCCGAGATCATGCCACTGTACTCCAGCCTGGCCGACAGGGCAAAGCCCCGTCTGAAAAAAAAAAAAAAAATTTTATTTTTAAATTAAATTCTAACCTATCTAGAATGTATTTTGCTGAATGGTGTGAAGCAGAACTTTCATGTTTTTCTCCTCTAATTTTTTCCAATTATCTCAATACTTTGAATGATTTGTCCTTTCTCCACAGTTTCGAAATGTCACTTTTTAAAATAACAAATTCAATTGTTATATATACTTGGGTCCACTTATAAGTTTTAAATTATCTGTTATGATTTTGTCGCTTTAATGCCAGTATCAAATTGTTTTAATACAGCATATGTTTTCTTTTCTGATAGTACAAATCTCCTCTCAATAGTACTCTTTTATAAACTTGCTTGTGTAATTTATAATCATTGATTTTTTTCCATATGGATGTTAGAAAAAAGCTTAGATCTTATAGTACACTTGATGAAAATGAATAGAAAACTCATGGTTAATGAAGGGATAGTCAGGTAGACCTACTTAGCATCTTAAGTGTCACTATAAATAGCAGCCTAATTCTATTGTTGTCCATTTATTAATTTAATAAATATCTATTAGGTGCCAAACACTGCTAGGGAAGGTTCCTGTTCTTGAGAATCTACTATCAATAAGCAAGTAAACCTGTCAGCAACAATAAACAATACATGTACAACTAAAAATTATCCTAGGTACGGTGAGGGAAACTATTAGTGCAATGACAGAGAATAACGGGGGTGGGGTGGGGAGACCTGCTGTGAGAGGATGGTCAAGGAAGGCCTTTCTGAGGTGATGCTACTCACACTGAAGTCTGAAGGATGAGTGAGCTGAATGAAGGGCAGGGAGAAGGGTTCCACGCAATGGGAAGAGACCTGGGGGTGGGACAGAACCAGACATATTCCAGGAACAAGAGAAAAGTAGGTGATGGGGAGAAAAGCAAGAGGAAGTTGGAGAGGTGGCAGAGATCAGAGACTGGGAGACACAGCTGACTCCATCAAGAAGATAGAGACTAAGATAAACCGAGCCAGTGAGTTATTATTACTGTAGCCTAGGATAATTCTTAGTTGTACATGTGTTCTTTTTTATTGCTGACAGGTTTACTTGCTCATTTATAGCAGATTCTCAAGAACAGGAACCTTCCCTAGCAGTGTTTGGCACCTAATAGATATTTACTAAATCAATAAATGGATAGCAATGGAATTAGGCTGCTATTTATAGTGACACTTAAGATGCTGAGTAGGTCTGCCTGACTATCCCTTCATTAACCATGAGTTTTCTATTCATTTTAATCAAAGACCTAAGTATTTTTCTAACATCCATATGGAAAAAAAATCAATAACTATAATTACACAAGCAAGTTTATAAGAGTATTGCTGAGATGTGGCCTCACATCATTTCTGCAGTTAGAAACTTAAATTCATTAGTTGCATGTGTTTCTTACCAGCTCTAGTAAAGCCCTTGCTGGCCAGTTGCAAGAGGCCCTTCTTTTTCAGTATGAAGCTGGAGCCAATAAAAATACTTGAGCTTACTGCCAGTACCAAGCCCACATAAAGACTGTATTTGTTTTCTACATTTGCTGAAATGCTCAAGTTGTTTATGCTGTAATTCAGGTCCGTGTAGAGCACAGGAGAAGCCAGCAGCTGTGACACATTTGTGATCTCACACCAAGCCTGGGAGGAGTTTGGACAGACCAGAGACAGCACATATCCTGGAAAAAAGGAAAGAAGAGAATGTCAGGAATGAAAGGGAGAGGTATTAATGCTTACCGGCTTTCTGCAGGAAACAGAGCCTTGAGTGGATGGTACTGAAACATTTTACTACATGTAGGGAAGTCGCTAACAGGTGGCCCACAGACCTATAGACACTGTCAATTTGGCTTGCACAGATTTTTAAAAATGATTTTTAAGTGTTTAGCTGTCATCATTTAAAAATGAGCTATTTCACATGAAAGCCTGGATTCCCCCTATAAATTCGATCTGGGAACACTTATGTCTTTGTTCTGGTGAATCAGCAACTTGATGGAGCAGCGAATAGCTGTTCAGACCGGCTTGTGCTCAACAGTTCAACACAGCCCATCACATCCACTTCACTCTGCATTATCAGCCTGGCTACTGGAAAGCAGGGCTTGTGGGGCCTGAATGTAGGGAGAAAGCATAGCAACCTCAGTCTAGAAATCACATTGCAAGAAATCTGTTCGCTGGGCATGGTAACTCACACCTGTAATCCCAGCATTTTGGGAGGCCAAGGTGGGATGATTGCTTGATCCCAGGAGTTTGAGACCAGCCTGGGCAACATAGTGAAACCCCATCTACATAAAAAAAATTGAAAAATTAACCGGGCGTGGTGGTGCACGTCTGTGGTCCAAGCTACTCGGGAGGCTGAGGAGGGAGGATCGCTTGAGCCCAGGAGGATGAAGCTGCAGCGAGCTGCGATCACACCACTGCACTCCAGCCTAGGTAACAGCAAGACCCTGTCTCGAAAAAGAAAAAAAGAAAAAAGAAATTGGCTGAGCATTATGGCTGTAATCCCAGCACTTTGGGTGGCCAAGGCGGGTGGATCACTTGAGATCAGGAGTTCGAGACCAGCCTGGCCAACATGGTGAAACCCCATCTCTACTAAAAATACAAAAATTAGCGGGGCATGGGCATGGTGGTGCATGCCTATAGTCCCAGCTACTCTGGAGGTGGAGGCAGGAGAATCACTTGAACCCAGGAGGCGGCTGCAGTGAGCTGAGATCGCGCCACTGCACTCCAGCCTGGGTGACAGAACGAGACTATCTCCAAAAAAAAAAAAAAAAAAAGAAGAAATCTGTCTAACTCATTTGGTGGGGTATGAGTCATTTGGTGGGTATGAAGAGTTATATATTTCAAAAAACGTTTTAAAAGTGGGTTTAGTTTTCTAGTTTAGTTGATTTTTCAGGTCTGTTAATCCACTTTGTCCTAAAGAAAATGGAATCTAATAAAAAGAATTTAAATATCATTAGGCTTTTTAAAAAATGAGATTCAAAGAAGCATGTAAATCCCCTGAACCAAGTCCACTATTATAAATGTCTTGGAATTTTGAGGCTAAACACTAAAATACAAAATGAAAACGTTTTACACTATGTAAGAAACTTTTTATAATCTGTTCTCCACTTGAAAAGACACCAACAAGGTGACATTGTGACAAGATGTTCTGTCTTCCCATCTTTCCTTTAAAAATGGCAAATTCTCCCATTATGAATTACCCTAAACAAAAGAGGGTAAAGGAAAATTAATCAGAAACAATTTTGTAATTCAATTTTTAGAAAAGTTTTACATTTCAAAAATCTTAAGAAGGCATATAAGCAACAAGAGGCAGTTTGATCAAATGATGTCTTAGCAACAAGACTTCCATAAGTGGACCTATGTACCCCTGGCAAAGCTTCATGAAGCCACCTGAATTTTACCACATGCAAAGTTAAGAAACACCCATGAAGTTCAGGTCTGGAAAATAATAAAATAATGGAATTCAAGGTTTTCATGACTATTATTTCATTTATCTCTGTAATTTGAAAATGATCCAACTTTGTTTCAGAAATCCAGAATAGTTGGACATGGTGGCTCACCCTTGTAATCCCAGCACTTAGGGAGGCAGAGGCTAGAGGTTTGCTTGAGCCCCGGAGTTCAAGACCAGCCTGGGCAATATAGCGAGATCTCCACAAAAACAAAAACAAAAACAAAACAAAACAAAGAAATAGAAATCCAGAATAAACTCAAAGTCAAAACTAAATATCCTAACTGCTGCAAATTTTCATTTCTTTTTTTTCTGAGACAGGGTCTCACTCTGTCACCCAGGTTGTAGTGCAGTGGTGTCATCACGGCTCACTGCAACCTTGACCTCCTGGGTTTAAATGATCCTCCCATCTCAGCCTCCCAAGTAGCTGGAACCACAGGCATGCACCACCATGCCCAACTAATTTTTTTAGTTTTTTTTTGTAGAGATGGGCTCTCACTACGTTGGCCAGGCTGATGCTGCAAATTTTCAAGCAAGCTAGCCCTTAGCAATCTTGTTCCACACGATGTTTATCTCATCTAAGCCCCAAGAAGGGAAAGTGATTAAGTATATTTTTGTAAGAATTTTGATTACATTCATTCCTAAGAAAACATCGGACCTGACTTACCAGTGAATTCCATGGCTGCATTCATGTCATTTACTATGCAGTTAACATAACCACTCCAAAACTTTGTCTCTGAAATCAGTGTGGGTAGATCTCATTCCAGTGAAACAATATTCCTTCTAAGCTGTTGATACAGCAAAATGTTTCTGACATTGTAGGGGGTGTGGGAGCAGAGGGTCATAAGGGAGATCAAATGATCACTGTTGCATTTTGCAAGTTCTCATTGCAACTGGCAGGCATGAATGCTCCAAGTTTTATGGCAGGAAAAATAATAAAAATCTTGTCTGGTTACTGACCTTAGGACTTAAATTGTTTTATGCTTTGGGAACATGTTAGGGAGAGAGCCTACAGCAGATATGACTGAAAGAGGAAAGAAAGGATGGGTTAGTGGATGTGGAGTGGCCTACGGGAGAAGGGAAGAGATGGGTAATGGATGGTGTGTGGGCAGGGAATTTGGAGTGTTTTAAAGGAATCAAAGACATCTCAAGTCACAATTGGCTTATCAAGATTTAAGTAAGCACAGTAATTTTCCAGGGAGTTTAATCCAGACTTTATTCCACAGAAAGAGAACATCTACTCCATTCATTATGCTTCATTTTTAACAGACACTATCAATAGTCCTCTAAAGTGACTGTACCAAAGTACACTCTTGCTAGCCACGAACATGTACTTCTTCTTTGATGTTATTTTTCTAAATAGAGAATAATGAATATTTAGGAAATATATATTATAAATATATATATATATACACACCAATGTATCAACCAGCCAGTTTAAGAAATAAAGCATCACCCCTCAGAGTTAGTAACTATCCTGATTTTCTCTTTAACATTCTTTTGCTTATAAAAAAGATTTTCTCCATATATCTTGAAAATGCTTTTGCCTCTTTTTGCACCTATGAAAGTGTAATGATAAAGAATTTGTTCTTAGGTGACTTGTTTTTGAGATTCATCAAAACATGATGCATGAGGCTGCAGGATTTGTTTTTTCCCCACTGTTCTAGAGAATTCCACTGTATAACTATCACACAACTAATTTTTCTGTTTTATAGTTGATTGATATTTAAGTAATTTACAGGTCCCACAAACAGTACTTCTAATGTTCTTATATTATGTTGAACTATATGAAATTGATGATAACTGAACAATTTGAACCCTATGACAAGTAGTTTCATATGTTTCAACCTAATATTTATCTTCTATGTACAGGTGTAATAGTTTACATACACACACCTTTAACATTTAAAAATGAAGATCTACTATCTATAATCATGGGCAAGTTGAGTAATGGCTCTTGGTTTCAGTTTCCGCATCTGTAAAATGAGGGACTTTGACTCAATGATTCTAAAGTTTGATCATAACCTATGTTTGTTCTCAGAATTACTTACAATACTGGTGCCTCATAAATGTTGCTGATGGACCAGTTCTAAACTCATAGGCACTGATAGAGGAGAGATATTTTAAAGAAACTGATGCCAATATATTAAGTGACACTGGCCAAAGTTATGTAACTGCTAAAACCAGGGCCAAGTAACCCAATTCCCAGCCAGCATTCTATTTCAGAAAAATAAAAACATAAAGTACAAGAAAAAGCCAGTTGAAATTTATTATTCATGTTTATATAAGGATGAAATGCTTTAAATAATTTGTCAAATATTTGCCTATAGAGAATAATAATATAAATTTAAATAATAATTTAAATTATCCAGTTTATTACATGGAATAGAAATCTGGTTTTAAGAAAGTCAATAATTGTATAAAACTACCTTTTTAATCACCGCAAGATATTTCCAGTTGGGGGTCTCACCATCTATTCTACTGTGATAGTTTGGATTATTATTCATTCAGTATTCAGCCCCTTACCTTTCCCAATGTGGGCAAAGGTGCTTCACCTGATGTTGGGCTGGAAGTAAGTTGGTGGCCAATGGGAAGTCAGCAGAAGTGATATGAAGCTAGATTTCAAAGATGCTTATGTGGTTGGGTTTACTCATTTGCATCTCTGTAATTCCCTGAGGAGCTGCTGTCCCTTCAGCCTCTGCACCCAAATGAAGACACATGGAGCAGATCTGAGCTCATCCCACATGAAGGAGCCAAACCCAGGTGGACATTAGCCTGAAGCAGAGACATATAGGTGAGCCCCATCTAGATCAGTCAACCTTCAGCTGACCTAGAAACCTAAGCAAGAATATGTGATATACCTGCCTATTCATATTAGCATGGGAATGACTGAATGAAATCTCTTTATATCTGTTACAATTTATTCTCCAAACGCTAACCAGTGGGAAGTAGGTTATATCACTCCCTGGCTTAATACTCCCTGTCCCCTGTCATGGTTTTTCATCTCAACTTACAACAAAATCTCAACTCCTCACTAACTTTGAACTTTAAAGCTTCTCATGCTCTGAAACTGGCTCGTCTCTGACATCATATTGCATTACTCTCCCTCTCACCCCTCTCTGAAACACTAATCTTCTTTTCCTTCATTCAACAAATATGTATGGTGTACTACCTGTTGGGCATTTTCTAGAATCTGGAGATAGAAAAATGAATACAACAATGGTCCCGCTCTCTTATATTCCAGTGGGGGCAGATAGGATTAACAAACAAATAACTATACGTATGTTAAGAGTGCCATAGCAAGTAGTAAAAGCAGCATCAAGGAATATATTTTTTAAAACAGGATTAAACAAAAGAGCCTCTCTGCTAAGTCTAAAAGCAGAAACCCTGAGGGGTTGAAGAAACTGCAGTCAGCCAGGTTGCCTGGGGTGACAGAAAGGGAGATGGTATGAGATGTGGCTAAAGAGTAGGTGGGAGAAGGATCAGGTGAAATGAACCTTTAGACAAGTAGGTCTGATCTTGTCATTCCTCCTTCCAAAACTCCACAAGGGCTTCCCTTCTCATTCCGAAAAAAATCCAAAATTCCCACTATAGCCTATAAGGCCCTGTGGAATCCTGTCTCCAGCTGCCTAACCTCATTCCCTACTATTGCCTTTTCTTCTGTTCCTTTCATAGAATAAGTTCCTTCTCACCTTAAGCTTTTTAAAAAGCAGCTGTTCCTGAGCCTGTTACAGAGTGCTGGCTGGCATAGCTAGCTTCTTCTGAGTGAGAGGACTAAGCAACTCAGAGAGGCCTTTCCTGCCTTCCCAATCTAAAGGAACCTCTCAGTCACTTTCCATCATATGTTCCCAATCAAATAGACTTCCTCATATGGCTTAATTACAGCTTTATAACAACCTTCATACATATTTGCATTTGTTTCTTTTAAAGATAATTTTGGATTAGAGACTCTTTTGAAGCATCTATAGCTTTAAAAGTCAAAACCAATGTGGGGTGGGGGATGGCTCATGCCTGTAAACCCAGCACTTTGGGATGCCAAGGTAGGAGTATCACTTGAAGTCAGGAGTTCAAGACCAGCCTGGTCAACACAGTGAAACCCGTATTAAAAATACAAAAATTAGCTGGGCATGGTGGCATGTGCCTGTATTCCCAGCTACTTGAGAGGCTGAGGCAGGAGAATTGCTTGAACCCAGGTGGAAGTTGCAGTGAGCTGAAATTGCACCACTGCATGCCATCCTGGGTGACGGAGTGGCACTCCGCCTCAAAAAAACAAAAAAAAGTCAAAACCAAAGTATGAAATTAACTTTTTCTTCATGGAAGTTCAACTGGAATGTTCTATCTTCAGATCTCATGACTGACCCCTTGTCATTTGGGTCTCAGCTTGAATATCACTTTCGTAAGGGGCTTTCATTGAATACCCAATCTAAACATCCCAACACTCTTGATACATTACTGCTATTATAATGATCTTTTAAATTACTTTGTTTCTTGCATAGTAGCTGCCATCTGAACAGTAAGGTGCCTGAGAGCAGGAACCTAGTCCTAGAGTCTGGGACCAGACTGTCTTGCAGATCCCTCTATCCCAGCACCTATGCCAGTGCTTGGCACATGGGACTCTTGTTATTTGAATGAACAAGTGAAAAATTGAGTCTTTGTTTACTCCATGTCAAGCTCTGAGTGGTGTAGTTCATATGTAATCCCACCTGCACCTACTCTTCAGAACTGTAAACTGGAGGGATGACCCCCAATTTATAGACAGGAAAATGCTCAAGGAAGCTAAGTTACAGCTCAGACTGTCTGATGCCAAAGCCTAATCTCTTCCCACTACTAATAACGTGCATTCAGATTTCTAAGTCTTTCTCACCAGCTTTTCACACAATTAATTACCATGGTTAATCACAGGTATTAAGCCTGGAGCTTAAATGTTTCTTGTTGGAACTCAATGCATAAGCAAAGCAGGAAAAACATCCAGAAGCTCAAACAAGTGGGTGTAATTCATATACCTTCCTTACTTACAGATCCTTGGGTAAACAAGTGTGGGTGTGTTAGTAACTGTCAGATTTGCTGGGTTAGAAATTATTTAGAAAAAGGGCACACAACCTGACTCTCTAGGAAATAATTCTAGATTCAGCTGCCTTAAAATTTTTGTTTTTTAATAGTTTGTGAGTTGTTCAGGCGTTATTGCTCTTTTTCAGAAAAAAAGACTAGAAAATAATTCTAGATCCAGCGGCCTTAAAAAATTTTTTTTAATAGCTTGTGAATTGTTCAGGCATTTTTCTCCTTTTTTTGGTGTCCCTTCTCTTCCTTGCTAGCATGGTTTGGACGAGCTCACTTGTTAAAAAGGAATAAGCTGGAAGAGTCAAGAGGAGAGGAAACTAGGGAAGTTGCGAGCACCTTTGCAAAGGTGTATATGTATATACATATATATATATATATATGTGTAAGGGAACTATATATATATGTGTATATATATAGTAGTTCTTACCATGCCTTTCACTGCCTCCCTTCCCCTTTACTGCATTATCAGGTAAATTAAAAAGCTGCTTTCCCCTTGGTACGGCGAAAACCATCATTTCAATGTATCTACATCCTTCCAGTCGCTCCCCCTACCCCCTTCCCTACTTTTATCGGGGCCTTCTGTATGGAGACTGCAGAAAACCCGCCAGTGTTGCGAACACTTGGCGAAGGGCAAGGAGCCTCGCCCAGAGATTTCACGGGGCTCAGGTGAGAAGCAGTAAGAAGAGCCTGCAAACGAGTGCTCCCGGTTCCAGGTTTCCTCTCCAGTACGGCTCTCGCCTTAAGCAGCCAGAGTGACTGCACAGCGAGTCAGACAGGCTCATGGGTTTGGAGACCTTTTCATTTCCAAGGAAGAGGAGAGACGTGGGCGGCCCAGACTTGCCCAACGCCCACCCCCGCGGCCCCGGGCGCCCAACCTCTCGCGGTGCTCGATCCCCGGGAGCCAGCGCAGGGCGCAGCGCAGAACTCCCACGGGCCCCCCAGGCAGACACGCCCTCTGCCCACCGGGTGACGTCGGCCGCAGACTCTGGAAGGGAGCCTGAGTCAGAGGAAACGTCCTTCTCAGAGGGACTCGGGATTCTTCCCATAGCATCCTGAGTTTCCCCGTCCCACACGCAGCACGCGGTAATTTACACTGGTCGGCCTCGCGAATCGAGTGGGAGTCCCACCTGCCTTATTCCACTCAGGTTTTCCAGCACAGCCCGAATCGCCTAGGCACCCATAAATAAGTGTTGAACGCCTGGCTGGACGGCCGACTGACTGAATGAATGAATGAGTGAACGACTACGTTTAGAGTCGGTACAGCCCCCCTTTCCAGTCTCCGCAAGTGTCCGGGGACCGCCCACCCGGTCTCTTCGCCACCCAGCTGCCAGGTCCCTCGGCTCAGGGCAGACACAAACCTTCTCGGCAGGGCTCTCCGGGCGGCAGCCTCACCTGTGCCCCCATGGCCCCGGGAGCGGGCTTCCGGAACGCGGGCGCTTGCTCCTCACCTGGGCCTCTCCACACGCACCCGCGGCGGGCGGGGCTGCGGGGTCTGGGAATGGGGCGCCCTGACCCCGCCCCCGGGGCAGCCTCCGCCAATGGGCATGGCCAGGCGGGGCCTCAGCGCCAGCCGAGCCCTGCTGCCCGGGGCTTGTTGCGAATTCTCAGGGCCCCCGCAGGCCTGGGAGCGGCCTGTGATAACTGGTGTATCTGGCAGGAGTAGCAGCTGCCCCTTGGCGCGACTGCTGGAGCCGCGAACTAGAGAAACACAGACACGCCTCATAGAGCAACAGCGTCTCTCGGAGCGTGGAGCCCGCCAAGGTAACTCCGGGAATTGAGTGGAGTGGAGGCTGCACTGAGGCCCCCTTCTGGCTCCTCTCTGGTCGAAAAGGCTCCCCCGCTAGAGAGAGCCCTGCTGCTTTTGGAAGCCTTCAGGTGTTAGTTGCTTTGCACCGAAGCTGCTGACTGCTGGGGTTCTGCGCCGATTGCCAGGCTCAAGTTTATTTTGGGGGCTGCTGAGCAGACTTTGCCCTTCTGTGCTGTTATCAGCTTCTGTCGCTGTCCGTCCACGCCCGCTATATCCATCCACTCTCCGTTCTGTCTCCAGCAGGCAACTCCCCCTACCCTGCCCCATTTTCTGGGTCATAGGGGTATTTGAAATAAACCTTTAAGGGAAAAGCAATGCCAAAACTGGAAAGACTTATTTCCACGAATTATTAATAACTAATGTTTATGATATCCTTGTTATACCATACATATGCAGGCACATTATGTATTAATTAAATCTCACAGCAGTCTATTAACGCTCAGTTTACAGATGAGGGATTAGAGGCAAAGAGTGAGGTTAAGTAACCAAACCAAGGTTGGAAGACCTGATAGCAGGTATTTACAAAACAAGGAGTGGGCAGGGCTGGCGGGTGGCTCACCCCTGTAATCACAGCACTTTGGGAGGTTGAGGCGAGTGGCTCTCTTGAGTCCACAAGTTCGAGACTAGCCTGGGCATCATGGTGAAACCCTGTCTCTACAAAAATTAGCCAGATGTGGTGGTGTACTCCTGTAGTCTCAGCTACTCAGGAGGCTGAGGTGGGAGGACGGATGACTTGAGCCCAGGAGGTGGAGGCTACAGTGAGACATGATCGAACCACTGCACTCTAGTCCAGGCAACAGAGTGAGACCCTGTCTCAAGAAAAAAAAAGGTGAGGGGTGGGGTAGTGAACAATTCGGGCTCAAACCCTCACCAGGGAGAACTGGGGTGCCTTTGTGCTCTGGCATTTTAACACTGAGGAAAATATTCTCATGTACTCAGGTAGCCTTTGTTCTAAGTAGGCATGAACAGTGCTATTAATTTTATTACCTAAGAGTTTCATAGCAGAGGCCTCAATCTTGTTTTTCTTGTTCTTAGGCGGATGAGAGAAGAGCTAAGAACAAATTAGTCAACATACCAGTCCAAGGCACCCACTTTTATAATACATATGGATGACTTTGCAGAGAAGGAACACCACGGAGAGTGGAATAGGTGAAAGTTGAAAGCGAGGGAGATTTATGCCAATTTTCCATAACAAGCCTTAAAACTTAGACTTCTTTTTGTTTGCTTGTTTGTTTGTTTGGCTTGGTTTGGTTTTTTTTGAGACGGAGTCTCGCTCTGTCGCCCAGGCTGGAGTGCAGTGGCGCGATCTCGGCTCACTGCAAGCTCCGCCTCCTGGGTTCACGCCATTCTCCTGCCTCAGCCTCCCGAGTAGCTGGGACTACAGGCGCCCCCCACCACGCCCGGCTAATTTTTTGTATTTTTTTTTTTAGTAGAGATGGGGTTTCACCGTGTTAACCAGCATGCTCTCAATCTCCTGACCTCGTGATCCGCCTACCTCGGCCTCCCAAAGGGCTGGGATTACAGGCGTGAGCCACCTAGCCCGGCCCAAAACTTAGACTTCTATTTAAACGTTTTCTTTGGATTTCCAACTTAAAATTTTGTCTTTATCAAAAATTAGTAATGATGGTAAACGTGATCTATGGTGCTTATTTTTTATTTAACAAACACTTGGATAGCATTTACTATGTGGCAAGCACTATTCTAATCTCTTTGTAAATATTTGCTTTATAAATCTTCATGAAAATCCTGTAAGGTAGATACTACTACCCCCACTTTACAGCTGAGGAAATGGAGGCACACAAAGATTGAGTAACTGGCCTATGCACACATAACCAGTAAGTGTGGAACCAAGATGCTAACCAAGAAAGCTGGGCTTCAAGTATGTGCTCTTAACCCATTTGGTAATTGGACATTAAAAAACAAAACAGACTTTAAAAAATGTATCTTTATTGAATTTCAGTTGCATATTAAGGTCTACTTTAGGTAAGAGGCATTTTGTTGTAGTTCTTGCTTTTCAATTCTGAAAATAAAGAGAAAAAATTCAGAAAAAAAATATTTAAACTCATTTAAGACCACTGCTTTTCCAGTTTAAATGTTGCCTAGCAGAAATTTATAATATGTATTTTCCTTCATTGATAATTTCTAGATGACTTTGGGGAATACCGTTATAGTACCACACACTGTCTTTAATGACATAAAGTTGGGGGATATTTATTCCCCCGCAAAATCATGTTGTTTGTTTAACTAAAAGAAGAGCATTAAAAAAATCTCCAACTAGCCCATTCTTTGATTCTAGGAAAATTACTCTTCTGACTCAAAAATTAGAATGCGATAATAACTGAGACCCTCTAAAATGCCAACTTCTGTTTTATTGGTCTTTGTGCTAGGACACTTAGACCCAGGGGTGATGGTCAAAATAAATAATGATTAGTAGAGCCTTAGGGCCTCAAGGGACAAGGCCACAGGTCTTTCGAGCTTGGGGAGGTCTGGGAGGGTTCCTGGTGTGTCAAGGTTAACCCCTGAGTTGCTACATTGTAGGGAGGTCTGTGGTTTCTGGGGCAAGGAATAAGATGACTAGACAAGAGGGGTGGTAGCTGGGGAGTAGAAACCACCTTTGCAAAAATTATATCACTGAGAAAATTTTAACAGTAAGCTGAGTAATTCATCCTCCATCTTGCCTTTCCCTTAATTATTCCTGGGTTATTGAGTTGTGAAAGAAAATCAATAGTGGAGCCCCCAAATCACTAAGCTAAAGGGAAAAGTGAAGCTTGGAACTGCTTAGGGCCAACCTGCCTCCCATTCTATTCAAACTCACACCTCTGCTCACTGACATATCTGATCGCCTCCTTTGGAGAGGCTAGTCAGAAACTCAAAATAATGCAACCATTTGTCTCTTATCTACCTATGACCTGGAAAGCCCCGTCCCTGGTTCCAGTATTCCTGCCTTTGCTTTGAGTTGTCCCGTCTTTCCAGACAGAACCAATGTTCATCTTGCATATGTTGATTGATGTCTCATGTGTCCCTAGAATGTATAAAACCCAACTGTGCTCTGACCACCTTGGGCACATGTCATCAGGACCTCCTGAGGCTGTGTCATGGGGTTGTGTTATCAACCTTGGCAAAATAAACTGTAAATTCACTGAGACCTGTCTCAAATTTTTGGGGTTCACATTTTGGTAACCACAGAGGGATTCTGAGTGGAGATGCCCCTGACCTTTGGCAAACCTCTTATCAGTGCTTGGTACCAGCATGAGCTAATTTTACAGCTCAAACCAATAGGACAATTTGCTGAGGTCTGAGAGCACCCCCTCCAGAGAATCCCTGATTTCCCCAAATTTGGTCAAGATCTAAAGTTTATTTTGCTGTACAACTTCTCTTTTTTGGAGTTTTACTTGCTTCTATCAAGAAAGACAAATTTTCTGTTTCCATGACGTTGGAGTTTGGCTCACTTCCAACAGGGAAAAGGAGTGTTTTTTTTTTTGTTTTGTTTTGTTTTTCCTGCTTCTTGAATGGTAGAGAGCAGTCTATAGCCAGAGACTCGTCCCTAGGTAAGTAACTGAATTGGGGTTTGTCTTGGTTAAAGTTAAGATTAACGACCAACTGGTCTTAATTTCTCCTTACCATTAGAGCACTCAGTTATCATATAAATTGTGCCATTGTTTGTTTTGCCTAACTGTTTTTTGTTGTTGTTGTCTGTTTTTTATTGTTGTTTTGGTCTTTTTCCCATTGGGTTTGATCAACTCTATCCAACTTGATCAGGGTTTGATCAACTCTATCCAACTTGATCAAATCCAAAGGAAAGTTCCAAATTATGGGGAAGAAGGCCTGAGAAGTGGCTAAATTCTAAAAAAAAAAAAAAAAAAAAAAAAAAAAAAAAAGATGGTGTGGTGGGGAGGAAAATGGCCAGCAAAAGGAAAAAGAGGAAGGATTTTTGATTTTGACTACTAAAGGGGCTTTGTTTACATAACACCACCCTTTTTGTTAGGCCAAACTGAAAGCA
Source organism: Homo sapiens (assembly GCF_000001405.40). Taxonomy (NCBI): domain Eukaryota; kingdom Metazoa; phylum Chordata; class Mammalia; order Primates; family Hominidae; genus Homo; species Homo sapiens. The sequence goes on along the minus strand of NC_000004.12, from coordinate 48,012,436 downwards.
ATGGCTGTCCTCCCACACTGCTAAGGTCCCACCCGATAGCTAAGGTTGTGCCTTTGTTTTTTTTCCTACCAAAACAGCCCTGGGTTTGGTTCCTAAATCAAGCCCTTTCTGGTTTGATACTTGGTACTTCTGAAATAGCAGCAATTTGTCCTAGCTGAAATATAGTAAGGACTAAACTGATTTTTTTATCTTGCCCAAATTCCTATCTAAGGTGTCTGGGGAGTCATGCCCTACAAATCATAAATTCTCATCAGAAGGGTTTTATTTAAGCCAATATATCATGAGTTATTTTCCAACTTGACTCTGACATAGCATTATGAGACAAGGAAGAAAAGCAAAATTATTTTACCCTAAAACATGTTTCTTTGCCATATCTTGAAGTGGCCCTGCAAAGCTGTTCTTTGTAGGGGAGAATTTGCATCTTTAAAGAATCTCTGTTAACATAGCTAGATCTTTTTCTTCCAGATCCTCCCAATCCTAAAGCGATTAACTAAGATCTGAATAGGAAACATTTTCATCTATTGTCTTTAAGGGCCGCCACTATTAAGACTTCAAAAGAACTTTGGTCTCCACAATCTTTATCTTAATCCGAACATTCCCTTTCTATGAATCCCGTGTCTTTAGGCAAACTCAACCAATTGTCAACCAGAAAATGTTTAAATTTGCCTACAGCCTGGAAGCCCCCCACACCCACCTGGTTTTAAATTGTCCCACCTTTCTGGACCAAACCAATATATTTCTTAAATGTATTTAATTGATGTCTTGTGCCTCTCTAAAACGTGTAAAACCAAGCCTCACCCTGACCACCTTGGGCACACGTTCTCAGGACCTCCTGAGGGCTGTGTCATGCGCCATGATCAGTCATATTTGGCTCAGAATAAAGCTCTTCAAATATTTTAGAGTTCAACTCTTTTCACTGACAATAGTAATGAGATTTTAAAAGATTTTTTTAAAAAAGGAACTCAATGGTTAAAAGTCAGCTTAATTAAAAGCTAACATCCAAGATGTGTGTGTGTGTGTGTGTATGTGTGCATGTGTGTGCATGTGTGCATGTGTGTATTTAAAAGACCTTCATGTTTTGTTTTGTTTTTTTTCTCTCCCAGGACCTTGTCTTTTTTTTTTTTAGTAATTTTTTTTCTTCTTAGTTGACTGAATTCTGTGTTCTTCATTAATATCTATTGCAACTGAGAGACACGACTAGCTGGATTTCCTAGGCCGACTAAGGAATCCCCAAGCCTAGCTGGGAAAGTGACCGCTTCCACCTTTAAACATGGGACTTGCAACTTAGCTCACACCCGACCAATCAGATAGTAAGGAGAGCTCACTAAAATGCTAATTAGGCAAAAACAGGAGGTAAAGAAATAGCCATCTGCTGCCTGAGAGCACAGCAGGAGGGACAATGATCAGGATATAAACCCAGGCATTCGAGCCAGCAATGGCAACCCCCTTTGGGTCCCCTCCCTTTGTACGGGAGCTCTGTTTTCACTGTGTTTCACTCTATTAAATCTTGCAACTGCACTCTTCTGGTCCATGTTTGTTACAGCTCGAGCTGAGCTTTCGCTTGCCGTCCACCACTGCCCACCACTGTCGTTTGCTGCCATCGCAGACCTGCTGCTGACTTCCATCCCTCTGGATCCGGCAAGGTGTGTGCTGTGCTCCTGATCCAGCAAGGTGCCCATTGCCAGTCCCGATTGGGCTAAAGGCTTGCCATTGTTCCTGCACGGCTAAGTGCCTGGGTTCATCCTAATCGAGCTGAACACTAGTCACTGGGTTCTACGGTTCTCTTCCATGACCCACGGCTTCTAATAGAGCTATAACACTCACCACATGGCCTAAGATTCCATTCCTTGGAATCCGTGAGGCCAAGAACCCCAGGTCAGAGAACACGAGGCTTGCCACCATCTTGGAAGCGACCCACCACCATCTTGGAAGTGGCTCGCCACCATCTTGGGAGCTCTGTGAGCAAGGACCCCTGGTAACACAACCGAGGCTTCTCTGGGGTTTTTAAGGAAGAGTATAGTTTAGGCACTTAGAAATGTCTTTGTTTTTAAAGTGCACTGTAAAAGCATCATGTGGTCTAACCTTAAAATAATTCTCTTTTTGAAGACCCAGGATTCAGTGTGGGCTCTGCCCAGAGCTTAGAGATCCAGTTAAAAAATAAATAGTCCCTATCTAAATAAAATTGGTCTCCTTATACAATCCTATGATAGATTTCTATAATTTTATGTTTGATTTGGCATCCATCATCAATCTCCCTCTAGCAGTACCAGACTTTTTCTTTATATACCTTATGATGTAAATTTTGCTATTTGATTTTCACCTGTGTTGTTTCATTTAATATCTAAATTTATGGCTATTTAGCTGACAACTGCCTAGTGTTGTGAAACAGGTTATCAAATATCTGAAAGTCTAAGATAGAAAAAAAAAGGTCTTTATGAATCTATAAGATGTACTTCTATCGGCATGCCTAATATGTCTATGTATTTGTGTGTTGAGTACATAATGTTTCACTACTGAAAATATATAAAAGAGCTCTAATTAATTGGCTTAAAGAAAAATAGAAGCACTTAAATCAAATACCTTCTTAAAAAAAAGGGAAGACTAGTCGAATGCTTTTTCTTTTTCTTTTTTTGAGATGGAGCTTCGCTCCTGTCGCCCAGGCTGGAGTGCAATGGCATGATCTTGGCTGAATACAACCTCTGTCTCTTGGGTTTAAGCAATTCTCCTGCCTCAGCCTCCCATGTAGTTGGCATTACAGGCAAGCACCACCACACATGGCTAATTTTTGTATTTTTAGTAGAGATGGGGTTTTGCCATGTTGGTCAGGGTGGTCTTGAATTCCTGACCTCAGGTGATCTGCCCACCTTGGCCTCCCAAAGTGCTGAGACTATAGCATGAGCCACTGTGCGTGGCTGTCCAATGCTTTTTCAAGTTTACATGATTTAAGTAAAGTCCTTTTTTTTTTTTTTTTTGAGACAGACTCTGGCTCTGTTGCCCAGGCTGGAGTGCAGTGGCATGATATCAGCTCACTGCAACCTCTGCTTCCCGGGTTCAAGTGATTCTCCTGCCTCAGCTTCGGAGTAGCTGGGATTACAGGTGCACAGCACCACCCTCGGCTAATTTTTCGTATTTCTGGTAGAGATGGGGTTTCACCATGTTAGCCAGGCTGGTCTCGATCTCCTGACCTCATGATCCACCCACCTAGGCCTCCCAAAGTGCTGGGATTACAGGTGTGAGCCACTGTGCCCAGCTGTAAAATCTTTACTAAATAAGCTAGCTTTAAAATTACTGATAAAGTAATATTAGAAATGTCTTAAGCATTGCCAGCATACATTTTTGTTTGCATTTATTAATCAAGCAATTTCATACTTATCCCTGCCAAATACTATAAGGTGTCAAAATTTGGCATAGGGGTTACAAACCTATAAACCCAGCCCAAGATTGCTTTCATAATCTTTAATAAATAAGACATTGCTATTGGTTTAATGAAAACAGCTATATTTTGAATTATTTAGTAAAATTACCATAACTTCTGATATTGTGGCATTAGGCAGTGTAATCCACAGGCAGCAAGGAAGTTTGTTTGGGGGAAAGGACTATTACTGTCTTTGTTTCAAAGCTAAAATATAAATTAAATTCCTTCTAAAGTTTGGGAATAAGCAAGGACAGCTTGGAGGTTAGAAGCAAGATGGAGTCAGTTAGGTCCTGTCTTTTTCACTGTCTCAGAATTTTGCAAAGGTGAGTTTCATAACTTTAATTGATGACTATCACAGTTTTCATAAATAATGTAGGTAAATGAATAAAATAAAATAGACAGATGTAATGGGATAAATACTTGTAGGCAAACTTGTCATAATTTAGAATCTAAAGTTATACTAAAATATTTCATTATTTAGGTATTTTCCAATAAAAATATATTGTAGGAAAACATTCTTTCTAGAAAAAAGTGTCCTTTTAAAAAAGGTGGACAATTTTTTTCTAATTCAAAGCTTAAAGGTTGTGTACAAAACAAGGTAAGAGGAGCCAGGAAATAAGAGAGATGTAAAGAAACTTATAGAAATAAAGAGGTATATTTTGGTAAGAAAGCTTAAAGAGAAATAATTTTATATGAGAAAGAATATTACATGGTAAATTTAGACCTAGAATAAAATGACTGGTTGTTTAAGAAAGGGATGTTCAGGACAAACCAGAAAGTCCAAGCATGTCATGAATGGTCTGGGTAAGTCACAATGAAAGAATTTATTTAAAAAAAACCCCAAAACTTATATGATCAAGTTGTCTGTAGTTAAAGGGAAATTACAATGGTCTTTCCAGAGACTTGGTTTGATGTAAAAAAACCCAAAAACATTTATATAGTAAAGAATTGATTAGAACAATAAAAGTTCCTTAGGGTATTGATTTACTCTTAATAAATTATAAGAGATTTTATTTATATCTTAACCCAAAGTTAAACTTCTATTGCATCTTGCTGTTTTTGGTTTTCTCTCCCCTTTTAAAAGGAGTGAAATAATAATGGTTTCCTTCAACTCATATAAGTTTTTGTTTCCTCAACTTCTGTTTGTTGTGGCCTGATGCTAACAATATTCTTAAAGATCTGAAGGAAATGTTTTCTTCCAACATAATGTTCTGTACACTGCAGAAGGGTTTTTCTTTTGCCTTTTGGTAACTGGCCTAACAGATTTTAGGTTTTATAAAAATAATTCCTATGCCATTATTATTAAGTTTTGATTTGCTTAGGAAAAAAACTGAGATTAAATTTTTTTTTTTAAGTTAAGGTTATTACATCCATGTATCTTTCTGTATGTGATTTTAAAGTACTTGTGACATTAAGTTACAGGGCTTTGACTCCTGGGTCTAAAAAGGACACCAAGTCCTGCTAAGTCTTAAAACACCGACAGCAATTAAAACCTCATCTTCAGGCCCTCTTGATTGGCATCAGAATATGCCAATCAAAATAAACTGCATTCCTGAGACACAAGGTCAGAAGTTAAAGCCATTCAACGCCTCAAATTCCAGGGACTATTGTGGAAGCGGTGGGCATGTGGGATTGTAAGGGCTGATTTTAAGAGATAAAATAAGTTCAATTTCTCTATAAATTAACCAGTAATGTCAAAGACACTCTTATTCAAGACCAGCATATGGACCGCTGTGTCAGATTAACAAGATTTTCTTGAAGCATTAACCAACTCCTTAATAAAGGTTATAAAGGTTATAAAAGGCTTATGGAAGTTAAATTTTATGACCAATATTAAGATTTTATAGATTATTTATAAAATTTTGAAAAACAAATTTATTTGGCTTCATGCTGTTTTTATTAGAGCTAATTGTTTAGAAAGTTAAGTGTCCTCTCTTAAAGAATTAAGGTTTTCACTTTTTTTTTTTCAAACCCTTGAGTTATCACTCTGGTTAAATGAATGACTTATTTTACAATAACCTGTAATCCTATTTTGTGATATCAAGTGTAAACCTTTGATATTTGACAAACTTTCCAAAATCAAAATTATAAATTATGTCTTTTTTTTGGCTGGGCACATACCTGTAATTCAAGCATTTTGGGAGGCCAAGGAGGGAGGATCGTTTGAGGTCAAGAGTTTGAGACCAGCCTGGCCAACATGGTGAAACTCTGTCTCTACCAAAAAATACAAAAATTAGCTGGGCATGGTGGCACACACCTGTAATCACAACTACTGGGGAGGCTGAGGCAGGAGAATCACTTGAACCCAGGAGATGGAGGTTGCAGTGAGCTGAGATCATGCCACTGCACTCCAGCCTGGGTGACAGAGCGAGACTCTGTCTCAAAAAAAAATTATGTCTTTTTTTGAACTAATTAATCCTTTAAGATATTATTAATAGGTTCCCTAATGTCAAAAAATGACATATTTGGTTATTTGGTATAAAAATTATACAGGAAACACCATCAAATAAGAAATGGTGTTTGGTTTTCTTTGGGCTGTATTTGTATAAAAATGTTATTGGTATGTATTCTAAAATTATGGGAAACTTCTATAATTCTGATACGACTTAGTGTACATTATCAGTAATAATTATAATTGTTATGTTAAATTATTGTGTGCAACAGAGGTAACAAATTTCCTCATCAATTGTGTCTTTGACTATGGCTGCCCTAAAACTTTTTGTCATCCACAGACAATTATTGTCTTTTTTTGGTTCTCTTTAGAAGGTAGTTTTATAAAACTCTAACAGGTGCTCTTGAACACAGGTTTCTGATAACATTGGAGATTGTGACATCAGAATAGATGAAAAACTTTCAGGACTCATGGAGAGATAAAATATTCATGAATATCAAGCAGAATAGGAATTAACTTCATGGATTAAACTAATAGAAGTCTGAAGTAATCTGTTTAACTTTTTGCCTAAAATGGTGCTGATTCTTTTGTTTTTCAAAGTCAAGAAAATGTTTAAGCTATTTACAGATTCTAACAATTGAGTAAGTATACTCCTATGAATAAAATTTGGAGCATATTTCTTTCTCTGTACCTGATTTCTACAGAATTTGGAAACTATTTGTGAGTATTCTTAACTTACGACAATACAGTTATTTGCATAAATGCAATAAGAATCTGTTTTCATTTGTAACAGGACACAATTGGAGAAACTAGTTACTTTACCGAGGCTCTTTACTGGGATGGTGTGCTTTGCTTTAAGGAATCAAACTTGGCTTATGGAATCAATACAAGCCCCTTGGGAAAACTGGCCTCATACTTTTGTCTATACAGTCCCTGTACAGGGTTCCTGACCTGTGGTAAGTAAAGAATGTCACTTTCTGACAGGTCCAGGAGCCCCAGGTTTATCTTGGAACCTCAACAGGAAAGGAATTTACCCAACTCATAGGTATTTGATGGTACAAATCCATGGCTGGGTTTGACTTTAAAAAAGTCTTATGTGAGATTTCTTCTATGGAATAAAGTACCATCAAAGCCAATTTAAAAGCCTATGTAAAAAAATTATTTTTGTTGCACTGTAAACAAATAATCAGGCCAAGTATAATAAAGCAAGTCAGGGCCGGGCGTGGTGGCTCACACCTGTAATCCCAGCACTTTGGAAGTCCAAGGTGGATGGATCATGAGTTCAGGAGTTCGAGACCAGCCTGGCCAAGATGGAGAAACCCCATCTCTACTAAAAATACAAAAATTAGCCAGGCGTGGTGGCACATGCCTGTAATCCCAGCTACTCAGGAGGCCGAGGCAGGATAATTGCTTGAACCTCGGAGGCGGAGGTTGCAGTGAGCTGAGATCACACCTCTGCACTCCATCCTGGCAACAAGAGCAAGACTCCATCTCAAATAAATAAATAAATAAATAAATAAATAATAAAAAAGCAAATCAGTCCAACCACGATTTGTCTTTAGTAAAAATGGGAAACTGGAGAGGAAAAATTATGTTTCAAAAACTATAGTACACCTGTTCTTAGATTCCAGTCTTGCCTAATGTTTTTCAACTTTTATTATTTTCTACAGTTTGGACTGAGTTCTAATTTTTCTTGGCTACAAGCCTTCAAAATATTGCTTTCAGTTTCTTTTCCTTCTTTACCCCCACCCCCACTCCCCCATTTATCCTAATTTGGAGTCACTGAAAACTAAGCTGTGCATTCATAAAGCCCTGTGAACAGAAGCTAGACAACTTAAACTTCAGAAGAAAATAACAACAACCTATTTACATACATAAGCCACTTACTGCCTGTCTATTGATATGTGGACTTCAGAGTAGTGTGGCCTATATGCATTTTCCAGGATTGTTCCTTTGTTTGTTCTTGTTTTTCTCCCTTCCTCCTCCTATTTTCTCTTTATAGGACATGAGACTTTACAGCCTGCTAAAAGTGAGCCTTCCTAAATAACTTGGGACCTACCCATCTAGGAATAAACCATCCTAGCCATGAGAGATCGGACAAAACCTCAGACTAGAGACGCATTTTCTTCTAAAATGCTTTCTCCAAAGGATTTTTTAAAAGAAAAGTGTAGGGTCCAGCCCCACAGGGTCGGTGGGTTTTCTCCTCGTGTGCAGAGATGAGAGAGTGTAGAAATAAAGGCACAAGACAAAGAGATTAAAAAAAGACAGCTGGGCCTGGGGGACCACTACCACAAAGACGCGGAGACCGGTAGTGGCCCTGAATGCCAGGCTGCGCTGATATTTATTGGATACAAGACAAAGGGGCAGGGTAAGGAGTGTGAGCCATCTCCAATGATAGGTAAGGCCACATGGGTCACGTGTCCACTGGACAGGGGGCCCTTTCCTGCCTGGCAGCTGAGGCAGAGAGAGAGAGGAGAAAGAGAGAAACAGCTTACATTATTATTTCTGCTTCTCAGAGACTTAGTACTTTCACTAATTTGCTACTGCTAACTAAACGGCAGAGCCAGGTGTACAAGATGGAACATGAAGGCGGACTAGAAGCATGACCACTGAAGCACAGCATCACAGAGAGATGGTTAGGCCTCTGGATAACTGCGGGCGGGCCTGACTAATGTCAGGCCTTCCACAAGAGGTGGAGGATAGAGTCTTTTCTAAACTCCCCTGGGGAAAGGGAGACTCCCTTTCCTGGTCTGCTAAGTAGCAGGTGTTTTTCCTTGACACTAATGCTACCACTAGACCACGGTCCACTTGGCAAAGGGCATCTTCCCAGATGCTGGCATTACTGCTAGACCAAGGAGCCCTCTGGTGGCCCTGTCTGGGCATAACAGAAGGTTCACACTCTTGTCTTCTGGTCACTTCTCCCAATGTCTCCTCAGCTCCTATCTCTGTATGGCCTGGTTTTTCCTAGGTTATGATTATAGAGCGAGGGTTGTTATAATATTGGAATAAAGAGTAATTGCTACAAACTAATGATTAATAATATTCATATATAATCATATCTAAGATCTATATCTGGTATAACTATTCTTATTTTATATTTTATTATACTGGAACAGCTCGTGTCCTTGGTCTCTTGCCTCGGCACCTGGGTGACTTGCTGCCCACAGAAAAGGGGGGAAAATGTGAAAGGAAAATATATCTTGGGGCTCCTAAGTCACTAAGCTAAAGAAAAAAGTTAAGTTGGTAACTGCTTAGGGCCAAACTGCCTCCCATTCTATTCAAAGTCAGCCCTCTGCTCACTGGGATAAATGCATATCTGATTGCCTCCTTTGGAGAGGTTAATCAGAAACTCAAAATAATGCAACTATTTGTCTCTTATCTACCTATGACCTGAAAGCCCCCTCCCTGCTTCCAATCTTCCTGCTTTTGCTTTGAGTTATCCTGCCTTTCCAGACAGAACCAGTGTTCACCTTACATATGTTGATTGATGTCTCATGTGTCCCTAGAATGTATAAAACCCAGTGATGCTCTGACCACCTTGGGCACATGTCATCAGGACCTCCTGAGGCTGTGTCATGGGGTTGTGTTCTCAACCTTGGCAAAATAAATTTTGTAAATTAACTGAGACATGTCTCAGATTTTCAGGGTTCACAGGACCAAGCTAACTTTGAAAGATATTTAGGCTATGGTTTAAATGATAATAAGTCTTATCCTAAAACTCATTCACTTTTATAAAGCTAATGGGAGGCCATCAGGCTGTGGGGAGGAGGGGAGCCTGAGTCCTGCTAAGGTGCAGACATAAACCATTGCCAGCCATTATTCCGGAGGTTATAAGATATGAGCTTCCCCAATTACTCCTGCAAATAACATCAATATTGTAGAACCTAACACTGGCCTTTTGAGATATCTTTTCAGGGTTTTTTGTTTTTGTTTTTTTTTTTTTTTTGCATGTCTGACACCCACGGCTCCACCTGGACCAGCCAACCCAGCTCCTATGGTCCCACCCAGAAGCAATTCAGCCCACAGAAGGGCAGCTTTGACGCCTATTTCATCTCCACCCCAGTCAATCAACAGCAAGCACCTATTACCTGGCCACCCCCTCCCTTCCCCCAAACTGCCTTTGAAAAACCCCTGACCTAAGACCTTTGGAGGAGATCATTTGAGTACAAACTCCATTTCCCATGTGGCATGACTAGTCTTGTATCTATTAAACTTTCTCTACTACAGTGTTGTGGTCTGTCTTTACAGAGTGGGGCTTGAGGCTTTTTGCAAAAATGTTGCTGTCCAGCCTAGTACTGTACCTAGCTTATACTTGGTAATCTTTTTCTCAATCAGTCTAGTTAGGAGGTTTTCAATTTTATGAATCTTTATAAGAACTAGCTCTTACCTTTATTGATTTTCCTTACCTATTTTTAAATTTTAATTGATATCTACTCTTATTTTTATTACCTCCTTCCTTCTACTTGGAGTTTAATTTGCTATCCTTTTTCCAGTTTCTAAGGTGAAAGTTTAGACTTTGATTTTAAACCTTTATTCTCTTTCACTACAAATGTTTAAAGCTAACATTTGCCTCCAAATACTGCTTTAGCTCCATCCCACAAATTTTGATATATTGTGTTTATTAATAATGTTTATTATCATTTAGTTCAAAATATTTTAAAGTTTTCTTTGCAATTTCTTCTTTGACCCATGGGTTATGAAGGAATGTGTTCCTTGATTTCCAGATAACTGCAGCTTTTCCAGATATCCTTCTGTTATTGGTTATCAGTTTAATCCTCTTTTGGACACAGAGCATATTCTGAACAATAATAGTTCTTTGAAATGTGTTGAGATTTGGTTTATGGCCCAGCATATGATCTGTCTTGGTGGATGTTCCAAGTTAAATAGAAAAGAATGTGTATTCTGCAGTTGCTGGGTGTAGTGTTTTAGAAATGTCAATTGGGTTAAGTTGCTTGCTCTAAATGTAGTTTATTGCCAATTTTTAAATTTGTTTAACTTGGTCATTAGATACAAACACAAGTAGGATTATTATGTCTCCTTAATTAATAGACAATTTTATCATTATTAAATGTCCCTGTTTATTCTGGTAATACTTTCTGATTTGGAATTTACTTTGTCTGATATTAATATAGCTAAATCAGCTGTGTTATTAGCATTTTTTTAAACAGAGTCTTGCTCTGTCACCCAGGCTGGAGTGCAGTGGTGCAATTTTGGCTCACTGCAACCTCCACCTCCCAGATTCAAGTGATTCTCTTACCTCAGCCTCCCAAGTAGCTGGGATTACAGGTGCATGCCACCACACCTGGCTAATTTTTGTATGTTTAGTAGAGATGGGGTTTCAACATGTTGGTGAACAGGCTGGTCTCGAACTCCTGACCTCAAGAGATCCACCTGCTTTGGCCTTTCAAAGTGCTGGGATTACAGGCCTGAGCCACCGTGCCCAGCCTATTAACATTTATTATTATGACATGCCTTTTTTTTCCCTTTACATCTAACCTATCTGTGTCTTTTTATTTAAAGCTTATTTCTCATAAATGACATTTAGTTGCATTTTACTTTTGTAACCAATCTGAAAATCTTTGCTTTTAATTAGCCTTTTAGTCTGAGTACATATTTTATAAAAATTGATGTGGTTAGATTCAAGGCTAAAGATTGGTACCTTTGATATTTCCTATAATGTAGATTTGCTGGCAATAAGTTCTCCCAGTTTTTGTTTGTTTGAAAAAGATGTATTTTGCCTTTATTTTCAAAAGCTATTTTCCCTAGGTACAAAAGTATAAATTAACAGTATTTCTTTACTTTCAGCACATTAAAAATACTACTTTGTTATATTCTAAGCTTACATTGTTTCTCATTTACAAGTCTGTGATTATCCTTCCCACCCCCCCGCTTCCCCCACTGTATGTAATGTGCCTACTTTCTCCCTCTGGCTGTTTAATTTTTTTAAAAAATCACTTATTGTTGCTGGGCACGGTGGCTCACACCTGTGTTCACAGCACTTTGGGAGGCTGAGGTGGGCAGATCACCTGAGGTCGGGAGTTCAAGACCAGCCTAACCAATCTGGAGAAGCCCCGTATCTACTAAAAATACAAAATTAGCTGGGGTGGTGGCACATGCCTGTAATCCCACCTACTTGGGAGGCTGAGGCATGAGAATCGCTTGAAACTGGGAGGCGGAGGTTGCGGTGAGCCGAGATCATGCCATTGCACTCCAGCCTGGGCAACAAGAGCGAAACTCTGTCTCAAAAAAAAAAAACACTTATTGTTAGTAATTGGGCTTTTATTTGCTTTGAAGTGATTTTATTTGTTTTTATTCTGCTTGGGGTTCATTGAAATTCTTGAATATGTAATTTTATACTTTTCATCAAATTTGGAAAATTATTGGACATTATTTCTTCAAATATTTGTTTTTACCTCCTTGCTTCTAGGGTACCAATTACACATGTTGATCCAATTAATATGGTTCCATGAGTTACTAAGATTCCAATGTTTTATCTCTTTTTGCTTTATTTTGGCAGCTTCAATTGCTATGTCTTCACATTCACTGATTTTATCATCTACATTTTCTATTCTACTGAACAGACATCTAATAAATTTTTAATTTCAGATATTTTAATTTCTAGAAGTTCTGTTATTTTTTCCTGTGTTTTAAATTTGTTTGTTGATTATATAAATGATTTATTTTGAATTCTTGAGCATATTTATAATACATATTTTAATGTCCTTGTTTGCTAATCCATTATTATTATTATTAGTTTTGAAATGAAATCTCTCTCTGTCACCAGGCTGGAGAGTGCAGGAGCATGATCTTGGCTCACTACAACCTCTGCCTCCTGGGTTCAAGTGATTCTCCTACCTCAGCCTCCTGGGTAGCCGGGACTACAGGCGAGTGCCACCACACCTGGCTAATTTTTGAAGTTTTAGTAGAGACGGGATTTCACCATTTTGGCCAGGCTGGTTTCAAACTCCTGACCTCAGGTGATCCACCTGCCTCGGCCTCCCAAAGTGCTGTGATTACAGGTGTGAGCTACTGTTCCCAGACATATGCCATGATTTCTGTCACTTCTGGGTATGCAGCTATTGACTGATTTTTTTCCTGATTATGGGTCACATTTTCCTGCTTCTTTATGTGTCTAGTAATTTCTGATTGAATGCCAGACATTATTAGTCCATATTGTGAAGTGTTTGGATTTTATTGCCTCCTTAAAAGAGGGGAAGGAATTTGAATTATTTGCAAATTAGTTTGATCCTTTATGAGCTTCTTTTAAGACTTATATGGCAGATTGAAAGTATCATAGCTCTCTTTTATCTGCAGGGAATATGTTCCAAGACCCCCAGGGGGTGCCTGAAACCATGGACAGTACCAAATTTTATATACACTATGTATTTTTGCCTATGATAAAATTCAATTTATAAATTAGGCATGGAAAGAGATTAACACCTGATAATAAAATTGAACAATTATAACAATATACTTTAAGAAAAGTTATGTGAATGTGGTCTCTCTCTCTTTCTCTCAAAACATCTTATACTATATTCACCTTTTTTGTGATGATATGAGATGATACAATGCCTATGTGATGAGACGAAGGAGGTGAATGACTTGGCATTGTGAAATAGCATCAGGCTACTATTGACCTTCTGATAATATGTCAAACTTATGAATTGTTTATTTTTGGAATTTTGCATTAAATATTTTAAGACCATGCTCAACCACAAGTAAATAAAGTTGTTGAAAGTAAAACCACAAATAAGGGGGTACTGTATCCTTTAACCTAGAGTTAGGTTAGCCCTGCTATTGAAGTGTGGCTTTTCATGTAAGCATTTAAATTTTTTATTTATTTATTTATTTTTGAGATGGAGTCTCGCTCTGTTGCCCAACTGGAGTGCAGCAGTGTGATCTCTGCTCACTGCAACTTCCACCTCTGAGGTTCAAGCGATTCTCTTGCCTCAGCCTCCTGAGTAGCTGGGACTGCAGGCATGTGCCACCTTGCCCAGCTAATTTTTTTTGTATTTTTAGTAGAGACGGGTTTTCACCATGTTGGTCAGGCTGGTCTCGAACTCTTGACCTCAAATGATCTGCCCATCTCAGCCTACCAAAGTGCTGGGATTAAAGGCATGAGCCACTGTGCCAAGTCCATGTAAGCATTATTAATGCCTGAGGTCTTCACTGAATCTCTCCAGTCTACAGGTAGTAACTTGAATATCTCCAAGGTCTGTGTGAGTTTTGGGATTATTTAACTGTTAATACCTTGGAAGTTATTCTTTGTCCAGTCTGTGGAATTTTCATTTATGCATGTCCAGATTAGCATTCCACAAAGACTGGAAAAGACCTCTCTGCAGATTTCTGGTTCTTTCTCTACATTGCTTCCTCTTCTCTAGTACTTTGCTCTGAAAATTCTGGCTACTTCAATCTCCAAGGTCATATTTCTGACTCCTTAGCTAAACAAGACTGCTGGGCTGTGCTTGGTTTATTTTTCTCATGTCACAGATTAAAAATGGTCTTTGGACAGGGTTCAACTCATTTTTCCCCCATTTCTCTAATGCCATACTTCTGTTGTTGTTTTGTGCATTTTGTCCAGTTTGAAGTCAAGCTACTTTTTCATGAGCAAAAACTTAGACTACAGTATACAGATGTTCCTTTACTTATGATGGTTCATCTTATGATTTTTCTACTTTATGGTGGGTGTATTGGGGTATTAAATGCCTTTTCAACTTATGATTATTTCAATTTATGATAGGTTTATTGGGACATAATCACATTTTAAGTCAAGAAGCATCTATTGTTGATTTGTGGGAGCCCACTGCAATGTTTGAATATAATATTTAAAATTCATGATTTATTTGTGAAGCTGTCTCATTTTATAAATTGTGTTGAGACAATGCAAAGTTTGTACAAGTAGGAATTTATAAAAATTACTACAATCTGTAATGACTCAAAGCGTTGTGAAACAGCACTACCACCAAATAATGTAAAATCTTGATTATCACAATATATTTAGTATTTTTCTGAGAAGGCAGAAAAGTAAATTATATATAATACATAATAACTTACATTTATGTATATCTCTATTTTATTACTAATATGAGTACCCCTGACCCATCAACAGACCTAACCAGACATGTACAATAATAATTAAATCCAGTTGTCTTTGACATTTTGCTAGGTTTTAATCATATTAAAATCATTGCTTTATAGATTTTTAATATTTTGGTTATGAAGGTTTGTTTTTCAAGGTGAGGACAAAAACTCATTTTAACAGCTCATTAGTTTGATTTTAAATATTTAGTAATGTAGTACATAGATATCCATTTGTTTTCTTGCCCCAGTTCTGTTAATGTTAGGGGTAGGCCTGTGGAAGAAGTGGCAGCAGCAACAAAAGTTAGGAGGCTTATATCACATAGATAATTTGTCATGTCTGAGAAAGCTAAATTGAAAGCCAGTTTTGGGGAAGGGTAATAAGCAACAATATTTCCACTATGGACTCTGCAAAAGTCTTCAGGTATATTTAAGGCACAACATTATATAGGTTAGCGTGATTTCATATTTACCTAAGTTTTTGTTTTTTTTCAGACAGAATCTCACTCTGTTGCCCAGGCTGGAGTCAAGTGGCACAATCTTGGCTCACTGCAACCTCCACCTCCTGGGTTCAAGTGATTCTCCTGCCTCAGCCTCCTGAGTAGCTGGGGGACTACAGATGTGTGCCAAGCCCAGCTAATTTTTTAAATTTTCGTAGGGATGCAGGTTTCACCATGTTGGCCAGGCTGATCTCAAACTCCTGACCTCAGGTGATCCACTCACCTCGGCCTCCCAAAGTGCTAGGATTACAGGCATGAGTCACTGTGCCCAGCCCCTAAAAGACTTAAAATCTTAAAATTTTCAGGTACAACCATACTCTCTTCCCCAATAATTTTTTTTCCTTACTCTGGATTTCTTTGAGCCCTTTGTATTTGATTATGTTATTTAACCAGAAACTTAATACAATTACAATGAATTATTTAATAATAAGCTCCAGGAACTATCTCACAGGAAAATAATAATAATCTTAATATTTACTGTAATTAAGGACTCAATTTGTGCCAGGCCTGGTGTGAAGAGTTTTATGTCAATCATTTCTATTTACCATACCTTGATTAGAAGAATCTATTCCCATTATGCTAATAAAAAATGGCAACAACAAGGTTCAGGGCAGTTAAATAATTTTCCCAAGGCTACAGTGCTGTCAGAAATTAGCAAACCAGGATGCAAATCTAAATTAGCAAACCAGGATGCAAAATCTAAACCAGGATGCAAATCTCAAGTCCACTAAATTTCCAATATTCCAAGGAGCTATCAACATCAGTTGCAAGTCTCTGAGGCCACCCCAATCATGCTGAGGGCTGGAGGACTTACTCCCTAAGAGGAGGGATCATGGTGGATGGGAGGCAGGACTAGATTGCAGCTCTGACTCAGATAGACAGAGCAGTGTGTGGAGGCTCGTGTCATGAATTTTTGCACCAGAATGACTGTAGGAATAAATCAGGAAACCTGGGAGTACCCAGAGACCTCTCTGAAGGAAGTGGATTGCTCCTTCAGGACCCAGGAAACACTCCAAATACTGTACTGGTATCCCCAGATGAGAGACCCACAGATGGTTTATGTAACAGGACTCTGTGCAGACAACCCCTAGTACCAGCCCAGAGCCTGGTAGACTTGCTGGGTGGCTAGATCCAGAAGAGAGATAATAATCACTACAGCTTGGCTCTCAGGAAGCTACATCCATAGGAAAAGGGTGAGAGTACTACATCAAGGGAACACCCTGTGGGGCAAAAGAATCTGAACAACAGCCTTCAGCCCTAGACCTTTCCTTTGATAGAGCCAACCCAAATGAGAAGGAACCAGAAAACCAACTCTGGTAATATAAAAAAACAATGTTCTTTAACACCCCCCAAAAATCACACTAGCTCACCAGCAATGGATCCAAGCTGAGAAGAACCCCTGATTTACCTGAAAATGAATTCAGGGGGTTAGTTATTAAGCTAATCAGGGAGACACCACAGAAAGATGAAGCCCAATTTAAGGAAATAAAAAAAAATGATACAAGAAGTGAAGGGAGAAATAATGAAATAGATAGCAAGAATAAAAAGCAATCAAAACTTCAGGAAACAATGGACACACTTAGAGCAATGCAAAATGCTCTGGAAAATCTCAGCAACATAATTAAACAAGTAGAAGAAAGAAATTTAGAGCTTGAAGACAGGGTCTTTGCATTAATCCAATCCAACAAAGACAAAAAAGAATAAGAAAATATGAACAAAGCCTCCAACAAGTCTGGCATTATGTTAACCAACCAAATCTAAGAATTCTAAAAGTTTGGAAAACATATTTGGGAGAAGAATCTAGGAAAATTTCCATGGCCTTGCTAGAGACCTAGACATCCAAATACAAGAAGCACAAAGAACACCTAGGAAATTCATCACAAAAAGATCATCACCTAGGCACATTGTCATCAGGTTATCTAAAATTAAGACAAAGGAAAGAATCTTAAGAGCTGTGAGACAAAAGCACCAGGTAGCCTATAAAGGAAAGCCTATCAGATTAATAGCAGATTTCTCAGCAGAAACTGTACAAGCTAGAAGGGATTCTATCTATCTTCAGCCTCCTCAAACAAAACAATTATCAGCCAACAATTGTGTATCCAGTGAAGCCAAGCTTCATATATGAAGGAAAGATACAGTCTTTTTCAGATAAACAAAAGCTGAAAGAATTCACCACTACCAAGTCACCACTACAAGAACTGCTAAAAAGAGCTCTAAATATTGAAACAAATCCTGGGAACACATCAAACAGAACCTCTTTAAAGCATATATCTCACAGAACCTATAAAACAAAAATACAATTTAAAAAACAAAAAACCAAAGTATATGGGCAACAAGTAGTACAATGAATGGAATGGCACCTCACATCTCAATACTAACATTGAATGTAAATGGCCAAAATGCTCCACTTAAAAGATAAAGAATTACAGAATGGATAAGAATTCACCAACCAACTGTCTGTTGCCTTCAGGAGACTCACCTAACACATAAGGACTCACATAAACTTAAGATAAAGGGGTGGAAAAAGACGTTTCATGCAAAATGACACCAAAAGCAGGCAGGATTCTTACATCAGATAAAACAAACTTTAAAGCAACAGCAGTTAAAAAGACAAAGAGGAACATTATATAATGATAAAAGGCCTTGTCCAACAGGAAACTATCACAATCCTAAACATATATGCGCCTAACACTGGAGCTCCCAAATTTATAAAGCAATTACTAATAGACTTAAGAAATGAGATAGACAGCAACACCATAGTAGTGGGAGACTTCAGTACTCCACTGACAGCACTAGACAGGTCATCAAGACAGAAAGTCAACAAAGAAACAATGGATTTAAACTATACCCTGGCACAAATGGACTTAACAGATATATACAGAACATTCCTTCCAACAACTGCAGAATATACATTCTATTTGACAGTGCATGGAACTTTCTCCAAGATAGACAATATGATAGGCCACAAAATGAGCCTCAATAAATTTAAGAAAATTGAAATTATATCAGGCACTCTCAGACCACAGTGAAACAAAACCGGAAATCAACTCCAAAAGAAACCTTCAAAACCATGCAAATCATGGAAATTAAATAACCTGCTCCTGAATGATCACTGGGTCAAAAGTGAAATCAAGATGGAAATTTGAAAATTCTTTGAACTGAACGACAATAGTGACACAATCTATCAAAACATCTGGGATACAGCAAAGGTGGTGCTAACAGGAAATTCAAAGCCCCAAACACATCAGAAAGTCTGAAAGAGCACAAACAGACAATCTAAGGTCACACCTCAAGGAACTAGAGAAACAAGAAAAAAACCAAACCCAAAACCAGCAGAAGTAAGGAAATAAGCAAGATCAGAGCATAAATAAATGAAATTGAACCCCCAATACAAAAGATAAATGAAACAAAAAACTGATTCTTTGAAAAAATAAATAAAATTGATAGACCATGAGCAAGATTAACCAAGAAAAGAAGAGAGAAAATCCAAAAAAGCTCAATAAGAAATGAAATGAGAGATATTACAACTGACATCACAGAAATACAAAAGATTATTCGAGGCTACTATGAACGCCTTTACACACATAAACCAGGATACCTAGAAGAGATGGATAAATTCCTGGAAAGACAGAACCCTGCTAGCTTAAATCAGGAAGAATTAGATAACCTGAACAGACCAATAACAAGCAGTGAGATTGAAATGGTAACTTAAAAATTACCAACAACAAAAAAGTCCAGAACCAGACAGATTCACAGAAGATTCCTACCAAACATTCAAAGAATTGGTACCAATTCTACTGACACTATTCCACAAGATAGAGAATGAGGGAACCCTCCCTAAATCATTCTATGTAGCCAGCATCAACCTAATACCAAAACCAGGAAAGGATATAACCAAAAAAGAAAACTACAGACCAATATCCCTGATGAACGTAGATGCTAAAATTAACAAAATACTAGCTAACCGAATCCAACAACATATGAAAAAGATAATCCACCCTGATCAAGTTGGTTTCATACCAGGGATGTAGGGATGGTTTAACATATGCAAGTCAATAAATGTGATACACCACATAAAGAGAATTAAGAACAAAAATCACATGATCATCTTAATAGATGCAGAAAAAGCATTCAACAAAATCCAACATCCTTTTATGATTAAAACTCTCAGCAAAATCAGCATACAAGGGAAATACCTCAATGTAATAAAAGCCATCTATGACAAACCCACAGCCAACATAATACTGAATGGGGAAAAGTTGAAAGTATTCCCTCTGAGAACTGGAACAAGACAAGGATGCCCACTCTCACCACTCCTCTTCAACATAGCACTGGAACTCCTAGCCAGAGCAATCAGACTAAATAAATAAATAAATAAATAAATAAATAAATAATAAATGGCATCCAAATCAGTAAAGATGAAGTCAAACTGTCACTGTTTGCTGATGGTATGATTGTTTACCTAGAAAATCCTAAAGACTCCTCCAGAAAACTCATAGAACTGATAAAAGAATTCAGCAAAATTGCCGGATACAAAATTAATGTACACAAATCAGTAGCTCTGCTATGCACCAACAGCAACCAAGCTGAGAATCAAATCAAGAACTCAAACTTTTTTTTACAATAGCTGCAAAAAAACCAAAATACTTAGGAATATACCTAACCAAAGAGTTGAAAGAACTCTACAAGGAAAACTACAAAACACTGTTGAAAGAAATCATAGATGACACAAACAAATGGAAACACATCCCATGCTCATGGATGGGTAGAATCAATATTGTGAAAATGACCACACTATCAAAAGCAAGCTACAAATTTAATGCAATTCCCATCAAAATACCACCATCATTCTTCATAGAACTATAAAAAAATTCTAAAATTCATATGGAACCAAAAAAGAGCCCTTATAGCCAAAGCAAGACTAAGCAAAAAGAGCAAGTCTAGAGGCATCACATTACCTGATTTCAAACTATACTATAAGGCCATAGTCACCAAAACAGCATGATACTGGCATAAAAATAGGCACATAGACCAATGGAACAGAATAGAAAACCCAGAAATAAGCCTAAATACTTGCAGCCAACTGATCTTCAACAAAGCAAACAAAAACATAAAGTGGGGAAAGGGCATCCTTTTCAACAAATGGTGCTTGGATAATTGGCTAGCCACATGTAGGAGAATAAAAGTTCATCCTCATCTCCCACCTTATATAAAAATCAACTCAAGATGGATTAAAGACTTAAACCTAAGACCTGAAACTATACAAATTCTAGAAGATAACATTGAAAAAATCCTTCTAGACATTGGCTTAGGCAGAGTTTTCATGACCAAGAACTTAAAAGCAAATGCAATAAAAACAAAGATAAATAGTTGGGACTTAATTAAACTAAAGTGCTTTTACCTGGCAAAAGGAACAGTCAGCAGAGTAAACAGACAACCCACAGAGTGGGAGGAAATCTTCACAATCTATACATCTGACAAAGGACTAATATCCAGAATCTACAATGAAGTCAAACAAATCAGCAAGAAAAAAACAAACAATTCCATCAAAAAGTGGGCTAAGAACATGAATAGACAATTCTCAAAAGAAGATATACAAATGGCAAACAAACATATGAAAAAATGCTCAACATCACGAATGATCAGGGAAATGCAAATCAAAACCACAATGCGAAATGCAATACCATCTTACTCCTGCAAGAATGGCCATAATCAAAATATCAGAAAATAGTAGATGTTTGCATGGATGCGGTGAAGAGGGAACATTTCTACACTGCTGGTGGGAATGTAAATTAGTGCAATCACTATGGAAGACAGTGTGGAGATTCCTTAAAGAAATAAAAGTAGAACTGCCATTTGATCCAGCAATCCCAGTACTCGGTATCTACCCAGGGGAAAAGAAGTTGTTATACAAAAAGGATACTTGCACACTCATGCTTATAGCAGCACAATTTGCAATTGCAAAAAACATAGAATCAGTCCAAATGCCCATGAATCAATGAGTGGATAAAGAGATCATGGTGTATATACATGTATATATATATAATGGAATACTACTCAACCATAAAAAGGAATGAATTAATGACATTCATGGCTACCTAGATGAGATTAGTGACTATTATTCTAAGTGAAGTAACTCAGGAATGGGAAACCAAATATTGTATATTCTCGCTCGTAAGTGGGAGCTAAGCTATGAGGATGCAAAAGCATAAGAATGTTTTGGGGGAACCAGCCCCCATATTTCAACGTAGGTTCTTTCTATTTTCCCTAAGTGTTGGCTGGTCTGAGAAATAAAGAAAAAGAGTACAAAGAGAGAAATTTTACAGCTGGGCCTCCGGGAGTGCCATCACATATTAGTAGGACCATGATGGTGACGCCGAGCCGCAAAATCAGCAAGTTTTTATTAGGGATTTTAGAAAGGGAGGGGGTGTACAAACAGGGAGTAGGTCACAAGGATTACATGCTTCAACGGGCAATAAAGATCACAAGGCAAGGCAAAATTAGAAATACTGATGGAGGTCTATGTCCCACTGTGCATGCATTGTCTTGATAAACATCTTAACAGGAAACAGGGTTCGAAAGCAGAGAACTGGTCTGACTAGAATTTACCAGGCTGGAATTTTCCAATCCCAGTAAGCCTGAGGGTACTGCAAGAGACCAGGGCGTATTTCAGCCCTTATCTCAACCGCATAAGACAGACACTCCCAGAGTGGCCATCTATAGACCTCCCCCCAAGAATGCATTCCTTCCCCAGGTTTATTCCTTGCTGAGAAAAGAATTCAGTGATATTTCTCCTACTCGCTTTCTGCAGAAAGAAAAATATGGCTGTATTCTGCCTGACCCCACAGGCAGTCAGACCTTTATCCTCCCTCGTTCCCTGAAAATCACTGTTATTCTGTTCTTTTTCAGGGTGCACTGATTTCATATTGTTCAAACACCCATGTTTTACAATCAGTTTCATATTGTTCAAACACATATGTTTTACACACAATTTGTACCGTTAATGCAATCATCACAGGGTCCTGAGGCAACACACATCCTCAGCTTATGAAGATGATGGGATTAAGAGATTAAAGTAAGACAGGCATAAGAAATTATAAAAGTATTAATTCTGGGAACTAATAAATGTCCATGAAATCTTCACAATTTATGTTCTTCTGCTGCAGCTTCAGCTGGTCCCTCCGTTTGGGGTTCTTGACTTCCCGCAATAAGAATGACACAATGGACTTGGGGAATCAGGGGGAAAGGGTGGGAAGGGGGTGAGGGAGCAAAGACTACAAATAGGGTTCAGTGTATACTGCTTGGGCAATGGGTGCAATGAAATCTCACAAATCACCACAAAAGAACTTACTCATGTAACCAAACACCACCAGCTTCCCCAATAACCTACGGAAACAAAAAAAATTTTTTTTTAAATCAGGTGCTAAATTTTGATTATTTAACTTTTCTTAGATCTTTAAGACTGACCAAAATTTTATCAGTTTTCAAGGTCATTTAAATTCAGACACAATAATAAATAATTTACTTATTTTATAATGGTTAGTAATTTATGAGGGGGCTTGAAATTTCAGTTACCGTAGAATGATGGTACCCTGGTAAGTGTACAACTCCCAGAGGTAGAATTGTGTGTGATCAAAATTTTATTTTATTTACTTGTTCAGTGATTAAGGGATTCTGGACAGATTTCATATAAAATTAACTTTCAAGGGTCTGGTTTTACAGATTGGATGCTCATGTTCTGTAACTAATGAGTTTCCCTGTAAACAAATCTACCTGAGAAGTTAAATTATAACCAAAGATAGTTTGCTCATTAGCAGGAATCTAACCATAGATGGAGCACCTCATTTTTGGCAGTTTACACATTAGATTGATCATTTAATTAAGAAATCATGAAGGACGTAACTTGACCTAAGTAACACAGCTAAGCAAGTAGAAAATTTGAAATTTTAACCAAAGTTTGTCTAATGTCCCAAGGTGATACTCTTGACTAGGCAAATTGCTTTTCACAGTAGGGGATCTAATGAACACTCCCTTGCCCAGTGTCTAGCATGTAATATCCTTTTTTTTTTTAAAACTAAGAACAATAGCATTTTCTTAATCCTGTACATTCTATTTAAAGTTGACCCTTGAACAACTTGGGCTTGAACTACATGGGTCCGCTTATATGTGGATTTTTTTCAACCAAACCGATCACCACGTATACCTAGGGATGACTGTACTGTGGACTCAAATTGAGGTCTTTTAATGAGGAAGAGTTAATAGGTACTAAATAAATGTACACTGAATGAATGAATATATTGACTCACATTAGCTATTTTGAGGAGGCAATTTGATGAATTGTCTCAGAAAAGAACACACTTGTATATATTTACTAAATTATGATATTATACTAAATTACAATATTATACTAAATATAATATCATTGAGTCCTGGACCCCCAGACTTTGCCAGTGAAATCTGTATGAGAACTTTTGCACTCAAAGAGCTGTGGAAGGCAGTGTTGTTTATTTCATTATTATTATTTTTTCCTCAACCCATTTAAGGTGGAGTTTATCTCATTATTAATGTTGCTACTCTGAGAGCTGTATAGCCTCCATTTCCTCTTGTTTGGAATCCTAAGTAAAAAAAATACAGAAGTGTTTAATTCATTCATTCCAATGAATATTACTGAGGCACTGACGTGTACAATGCCTTATTTTCCTTTTTCTTTATTTTCCTGTTTTTTGTGAGAGAAAAAAGCCTACAATGCCTTATTTTTCAAATAGAACTCCTAATTCCCCTCTACCCCAAGCTTGCTTTTCCTTATGTCCTTCCTGTCTCATCAAATTGCAACCTCTTTTTTAGTAGCTTTAAGTAAGAAAATCTACAGTCATCCTTGACTTCACTGTTTCACACACACCCCACAAACAATCAATCACCAAATCTTATTGCCTCTGTCTTAAAAATATATCAAGAATCTGACCCGTTCTCACCGCTTCCACCTGTACCAACCTGGTCTGAACCATGCTCACCTCTCACTGAATGAATTACTACAGTTGCCTCCTGACTGTTCTCCACCTGATCTATCTTCTAAGACCTTAACTCTTTAAATCCCTCTTCCCCTTGCTTCCTCTAACTTAGCCACAGTGGCTTCTCTGCTTTTCATTAAACACACCAACACAGTTCTGTCTTTGCACATGTTGTTTTCTTGCTGGGCAAACTCTTCCCTTGGAAGTGGGCATGGCTACCTCTGTGTCTATATTCAGGTCTCTGCTAAATGAGGCCTTTCCTGAAAACCCCATCTAAGATAGTCCTGCCCCACCCCATATCATTTTCTATTTCTTTCCCTTGTTTTCTTCTTTATCATATCAATAATCAACATCTGAGTGCTTATATATTTATTACTTTATTTATTGTCTTTCCCATCTTATTAGAGTGTATGCTCCACAAGGGCAGAAATTAGTTTTGTTACCTATTGACTCTGCAATGCTTAGAAGAGAGCCTGTCATTTAATATTTACATATTTGTTGAATGAATGACTATGCATAGTATCAAACTGAATGCTAGAGATACGGTAATGGACAAGTAATGGGCAACATAGACACGGTTCCTGATCTCATGACATTTACAGTTCCTACAGGGGAAATAGATATAAACAATTAATTACATAACGTTTAATTATTATGGTTATAAACATGAAGGCATCATTGACCACTCTGGCTGAAGGTCTTGGTGTGTAGGAAGACAGACTATCAAATATTTAATAACTTAGGATCAAGAGCCAGAATCCCTCAAATCATATAATTTTTGAATAAAAATACAGAGAATCAGTGTCATGCAAATGAGCATCTATAGTTAGAGGTAGGTTAAATAGGATTATGAAGATTTAGAGGGAGCTGACAAAGCAAGACAGGGAACAAGATTAAAAGTAGCCTACTAAATAGATAATCCAATGCAGCTATGTTCTATCAGTCAAGGTTACTGCAGGTACCCGGAAAAGAAATCCAGTGATAGGTATACAGGGTCAAGCTAATCATGCTTTGGAGGGGAAAACACAACACAACACAACTCAACACAACACAACACAACACAACACAATACTCTTATCCTTTTAAACTTGGATAAATCAGAAAAATATTGTAGTATGTAAGTTTTATATATGCACATGAAATTCCAACTTACCTTCAATTTCAGCAAAAAGATAATCTTCCCAAAGCCTTCCAGTTCAGTTCCTTTCCTCCCCAAATTTTTGGGCTCCTTGTATGTAATCTCTCAGCCCTTTATCACACTGTTTTGTAATCATCTCTCTTTCTCTCTCTCTTTTTTTTATTTTTTTGTTTGCCTGTGTCCTGCCTCTGTGGAGTCTCTGAGGAAGGAACTTTTCTTTGTGCCTCGTAGAAAAGTGCCCAGCACACCGTAGATACTCAAGAATTATATGTGAAATGAATGTACAAACATTTGAGCAAATTTTATGCCTTTATGAAGGATTATTATTTTGCATTGTTAAACACTCTACACACATGAAAACACAGATTCTCATTAAAAATGAAAATATTGAATGAAAATTGAAAATAAATTGAAATTACTTCACCTGGTTATATTTTGCTAGAATTATATAATAAATTACTTAGAAACAAGGTATAAAAATGGCTTTGTGTCTTTTTTTTTTTTGAAATAGAGTCTCACTCTGTCACCCAGGCTGGCAGTGGTGCAATCTCGGCTTACTGCAACTCCGCCTCCTGGGTTTAAGTCATTCTCCTGCCTCAGCCTCCCAAATAGCTGGGATTATGGGCATGCACCATCATGCCTTGCTCATTTTTGTATTTTAGTAGAGATGGGGTTTCACCATAGTGACCAGGCTGGTCTCGAACTCCTGACCTCAAGTGATCCGCCCACCTCTGCCTCCCAAAGTGATTACAAGTGTGAGCCACTGCACCTGGCACAAGTTAATTACTTAGCAGCCACAGATATCTGCTTATGAAAACTCCCATTGCAGCATAATGGGTACAGTTAAGCCCTCAGCAATATGCTGCAAAGCTCCAGTTTAGGTGCTCCACACTTTAGAAGGAAGGAAAAGGAAGAGAGAGCACAATTATGAAGTGTCCTCTTTATATACTGACAGTGTGTGAAATGCTAAATCCATTTAAGTCTCAGAAAAACCTAATGAGGTAGGTGTTATTTCCATTTTACAAATAAGGAAATTGAACCTTGAAAAAGCTAAGTAATTTTCTCAAGACCACACAACTAATCCACATGATCCCAGGAATCCGTAATATTTAGTTCATTCTTAAATATGGTTTTTTTTGGGGGGGTGGGGGAAGATAGACGAAGGAAGTGTGAGAGCTAGTAAAGAAAGCAATAATTTGCTTTATTTTTGAGATAAATCAAATCAGTTATTTGGAATATGGAGAGAGAGAGTGTGTGTGTATGTGAGATTCATTGTGGAAGAGCTGTTTTATAATGACAAGTTCTATGAAGTTTCATGATATTGACCAAGATTTAAGTTGGCTGAAGGAAGAAAGGTTTACTATAATCATTACCCTGTTTTATTTAATTCATTAAAATCATTTAAGAAAGTTTCAAGTAACAAGCAAACCATGAAGAAAATAAACATTCATGGCTACCTATGGGAGCGAATTCTGGATCTTGTCATTTTGATTTCTTTTTAGATATGTTTATTATAATCACATCATCTGTGTATGAGGTAGGTAGGACTGCAAGAAGATTGCTCTAATTAACCCTGGTATATTTTCTAACCAGAAAATATATCTTCCACTTTTAAAAAGAAACCATGTAAATTTATTGCAATGCAATTATTGTAAAACAAAGTTTAACTTTGATATTTGTCTTTTTAAAATTGATAGCCTCTTCTCAAGTATTTACAATGCTTTAGGAACAGTAATAAATGCTTCATATTACTATGTCTCATTTAATCCTCACAATAAACCTACTAGATATTATTATGCTCATTTCATGAAAACTGCAACTGAGACCCAGCAGTTCATTATCATGCTCCAAATCCCAGAGCTAGTGAACAGCAGAGCTGAGATTCAAACTCAGTCCTGGGACTACAAAACCCATATATTTAAGCTCAGTGTGATATCGTAGAAAACTCCCCCAAAGTGGATAACAACAGTTGGCATTAGAGAGGCTAAAGTAAAGTGAACACTGAATGTAAAAACAAAAAGGTCTTCCACATTCAACAACAGGCAGTCATTTTCTGAAGATCTTAACTCCCCAAGAAGCAATATTAAGTTGAAAATATTAAGGAGACCCACAGAGGTCTGGTCTGAGTACTTTCATGAATGCTAGATCCAAATTGGGTAATTAAAAAACATTTCTTAGATGTGAGGGACAATTATATATATTATATATATATGTGTGTGTGTGTGTGTGTGTGTGTGTGTGTATATATATATATATATTTTTTTTATTTGTTTGTTTGTTTTTTTGAGATGGAGTCTCAATGCCTTGCCCAGGCTGGAGTACTGCAGTAGCACTATCTTGGCTCACTGCAACCTCTGCCTCCTGGGTTCAAGCAATTCTCCTGCCTCAGCCTCCTGAGTAGCTGGGATTACAGGCGTGCACCACCATGCCTGCCTAATTTTTGTATTTTTAGTAAAGACGGGGTTTCACCATGTTGGCCAGGCTGGTCTCAAAATTCTGACCTTGTGTGATCCACCTGCCTCCACCTCCCAAAGTGCCGTGATTACAGGTGTGAGCCACCACACCGGGCCTCAAGGGACAAGAATATTATAAAAAGTAATAGTGGGCATTATCAAATTTTGCATTTGTATGCAGGTAAAGTGCTAAGGGGTTTACAGGTGCATTCAATGTAAAGATGAGGAAATTGAATAACAGTTGATGAAAAACGTTTTTCTGTAGAAGAATTCTTTGCTATCACTGTTAGAGGCAATTTGCTGAAATAGGCGACTTGACTAATTTTCCATGTTTTTACCTTCCAGATGTCAAAAGTAGTGTGGTGCTCTGAAGTCAGATAGGCCTAGACATAGAGGTATCAGATAAAACACAGACTACCCAGTTAA
The DNA here is from genome assembly GCF_000001405.40 of Homo sapiens. NCBI lineage: Eukaryota > Metazoa > Chordata > Mammalia > Primates > Hominidae > Homo > Homo sapiens. Next base: position 47,984,026 of record NC_000004.12, on the reverse strand, counting down.
ATTTGAATTTCAGATTTAAAAAACCCAATTTTTAAAATAAGTTTGTCTCATGCAATATTTGATATATACTTATACTGTACTTTTAGTTGCCAAATCTAGTAACCCTCTCTGGGTGTGAATCACAGCTAACTCTGATATGGTAGCAGCCATTGTGACTCTGGACAAATGACCTCATCTCCCAGCCTTCATTTTCTTCTTCAAAAGATGAAGTAGATACCTTTTCTACTTCACAGAATTGTTTTAGGATTTGAAGAAAGTTAAGTTCATTCTCTTGATAATTTCTTTGTGTGTCTGTTGATTACTTCATGGGTTTCCAAATATTTACCATTAATTTCATAGAGATAGACTTAAGACACTGCCATGGTATTCAAGGCAAGGGGCTTATTCTCTTTTTCTTTTTCTTTTTCTTTTACTTTTTTTTTGTTGTTGTTGTTTTTGAGACAAAGTCTCGCTCTGTCGCCCAGGCTGGAGTGCAGTGGTGTGATCTCGGCTCACTGCAACCTCTGCCTCCTGGGTTCAAGTGATTCTCCGACCTCAGCCTCCTGAGTAGCTGGGATTACAGGCACTGTACCACCACGCCCAGCTAGTTTTTGTATTTTTAGTAGAGACAGGGTTTCCTCATGTTGGTCAGGCTGGTCTCAAACTCCTGACTTTGTGATCTACCCGCCTCAGCCTCCCAAAGTGCTGGGATTACAGGCGTGAGCCACGACGCCCCGCCAAGGGGCTTATTTTCTTAAGCAGATTAGGTAGTCTAGAGAGAAGCATGATATAAAAGGATGGACACAATAACATTTTAGCATAAAGCTAAATTGTGGCACAAGAGACCACATGTGTTAATACACTTTTTTAGATCCAGTGATCTAATTTCTAAGTAAACACTAATCACAGAGGTACATAATGAAGAGTAAGAATATTCATTTTGAGGCTGGGCTCAGTGGCTCACGCCTGTAATCCTAGCACTTTGGGAGGCCCAGGTGGGCGGATCATTTGAGGCCAGGAGTTTGAGACCAGCCTGGCCAACATGGCGAAACCCCATCTCTACTAAAAATACAAAAATTTCTGGGCTTGGTAGCACACATCTGTAATCCCAGCTACTTGGGAGGCTGAGGCAGGAGAATTGCTTGAACCTGGGAGATGGAGGCTGCAGTGAGCCGCGATGGCACCACTGCACTCCAGCCTGGGCGAAAGAGCGAGACTCCATCTTAAAAAAAAGAATGTTCATTTTGAAATGTTTTAGACCAGAGGAAAAAATATCCAATAATAGGAAAATGAATCAATGAATTATGGTATAATGAAATACAATAGAAGATTATGTAATCTTAAAAAGAACGCATTAGATAGATATTTAGCGATATAAATATTATCATAATATAATATTACATAAAATCAGAATAATTTTAATTTAAGAATATAATGGTAGGTATAAGGAAAATGTTAATATTGGTTATGCCAAAATAGTAAGACTATGTTTCCATTTTCTTTTCTTTCTTTCTGTAATATCTTTTTATGAAGCATGTTTTATATTAGAAATATGAATTTAATTTTTACAATTCTGGAACTCAGAAGTCAATCTTCCTAAGGTACACAGTACTCCTCTAATTTTCTCTGCTAGGCATCTTGAGGTGCCTCCTCTCTTGAGAGCCTCCTACGCTACTGGAGCTGAAACCATTCAACTGAGGCAATAAGTGTTACTCGGTTGTTCATTGTTCAGCAAGAAAAATATTGCAAATACTGGAGAATGCATGATGTATTTTTGGAGCTAATAGATGGAAATAAAGGCAGTTTTGCTAAATGGAAACAGTATTTATTTCATGTCATTCTGATTTTCAGCCATAAGCAAAAGTTTTGTGAGTATGTAGCCTGTCATATATTGCATAAAAGAGTTCTTAGGGAAATTTACTTTTAGGTTATTAGAGTAACACTGAGACACTAACTGAAATATTGTGATGATTTTTATACATCTAAAGCATGAATTTTTCTTTCAGGCAAGCTCAGCTTTATCCTATTTTATTTCTTGACTAGGTATCTGTCAAATATGCAATTCCTCCATAAAATAGACAATTAAAAGATCAATGACTAATGAAGTGCATCCTACTAATATTTTAAATAACTTTTAATATCATGGCACTGTATTTGAAAATGTAATTATACTTTGTAAAAAACCTAGACGCTATTTTCAAGATGATAACCCTGGGTGAAGTTGGAGGTATAATTTTAATAAAATTCATCAGGCAATAGTACATGTGGTTTACTTTCAAATTTGTTGAGAGATGTAGCTTTGAGAACCCCTCTTTTATTTCTAACTCTCATTCATATTAATAGGCTCAGACTCAAGCAAAGGATAATGATGTTGCTGTTATTTTCATCCATGTGTAAATCCGCAAATCCAATGCCGAGTCATGAAAATCCTACTTTGACAATGCGACGAACTGTTTATTTCCCTGGGAATAATTTTGAAAACTAGCCATTTGTGTATCTTTGAGGAAAGGGAAAAAATCAGCATGTTTATTATTTTTAAAAAATTAGGGCCTGGATTTTGACAATGTCAAGATTTACCGTATATCCCTGTTTGTTTGGATACACCAGTGACGTCCACTTCTAGAAGACAAAGTTATATTACTTAAACAACCAAAGGTAAGAACCCAGTGATAACGATAATTAGAGTTATATTTTTCACAAATGCTTATACTTCTGTTTTGACTCTTTAAAGTTTCAGCTTTTGCTTTGCTTTTCATGTGATGTGCTCTCTAGATACAGCTATGATTGTATTTTTATTAACTTCTCTGTCTTTTTGACAGATAAGTGAATACTCTACCTGGCAATATGATTCTGCTAATCTGAATATCACAAAATAGTAAATGCTACCTGCTTTTCACAAATTTTAGTTTTATTTTTAGAAGTCAAAAACAATACCTTTGACAGGTATGTTTTTCCCCAAAGGAAGTGTCATATACTGATTTTTCTTTCTAAAATTTGGAGATAGGACACTATCAAACTCATGTAAATCTTAAAGAATTCACTCCTAAAAATAAGAGCTCCAACTCACTGGAAACTTAAGTATCAGATACTTTATCAACATTATTATAACAACCTGCATATCCCCTTTCAGAGATGAATAAGTGGTCTGAAGAGATTAAGTGCCTCGCCCGAGGATACAATACTACTCTATGAAGGAGCTAGAATTTAAATCACCTTGCCTTCTTTTAAATAACTGTGATAAGCGTGTATATTTTAATCAGAAAAAACAGTTATTGGCTGGGCCTGGTAGCTCACACCTGTAATCCCAGCACTCTGGGAGGCTGGAGTAGGTAGATCCTTGAGCCCAACAGTTGGAGACCAGCCTGGGCAATATGGCAAAACCTTGTCTCTAAAAAAATGCAAAAATTAGCCCAGGTGTGGTGGCATGTGTTTGTAGTCCCAGCTACTCAGGAGGCTGAGGTGGGAGGATCACTTGAGCCCAGGAGGTTGAGGTTGCAGTGAGCCGAGATCACACCACTGCACTCCAGCCTGAGTGAAAGAGAGAGACGCTGTATCAAAAAAAAAAAAAAAAAAAAGAAAGAAAGAAAAATAAAAAACTGTTATCAATTACTGTCATGTTTTTCTTTAATTAAAAAATGCGTACTGCATTCATCATGTAATAAGATTACATGTTTCAAAATATCAGTGATTTCATTCTATATTGGAAAGTTGAACAGTCTTAAAACAAGATTTTAAAATGTTTCTATCAATAAAGATACCTCTTAAAACGGGCTTTTTACATTTTGACTTTTTGTTTATATATCCTTTAATCAGTTTGTTCAATTACACTCATTCTTTCACTTGGCTAACACCCATAAACACCAATCACTCATTTCATTGTCATTTTCCCACTCAGCAAATAAAAGAGGGTAGGGAGTGAAGTATTAGGGTGTCAATGAAATTAAAAGGCCTATTATTTACCTGTTGTACCTTATGTCCCCTAGAGAATACGCCCTCTTTTCTCCATTCTGGAATCATTTACAAACATTGTTAACAAAAATAATCTCAGTAAAGCAAAAAACTATACAGGCCACAGTCAAAGTTAGAAATTAATGAGGAAAGTGTAAATAACAGACCCTAGTCCTTAGAGAAAAAAATTTTTTCAAAAAGGAAAAGAAACCTCTTTAATTGAAGATATCAACAAAACAGCCATTGCAGATCACTCTCTTTTTCTTGGAGGTAATTTTTTAAGTTAGAAAGTTAATGTGTTGAAAACTAAAAAGTTTGGGTAAAATAAATTATTTTGTAGAAAAACAAATGTCAAATTTAAATTAAGAATCAAGAGTTAAGTTGACTACAAATCATGAGCAAAATTTTAAAAAGTGTCTAAGAACTACCTCCAAAAAAGCTACTGCATCCTAAATATTTTTTACTTATTAATTTATTCAACAAATATTTATTTAGTTCCTACTCTAACGCTAGGCATTTTCCTAGGCAGAAACTTTCCTTTGTTTTCTACTATATCCCCATCAATAGGTCAAAGGAGTAAATCCATAGGATGCTACAGCCATTTACCTCAGGTGATAGTATGTGGTATCTGGGCTACTATATTTTATAAGTTTTGGGTATGGCATTAAGCAAAATTTACACAGCTGGTCCTTTCTTACATATCCTTAAAGTAGAAATATAATGTCCTTTCCCATGAGCAGACAACCCTTGTGCCAAGATTTTTTTTTTTTTTTTTTTTTGAGATGGAGTGTTGCTCTGTTGCCCAGGCTGAAGTGCACTGGTGCGATCTTGGCTCACTGCAACCTCCGCCTCTTGGGCTCAAGCGATCCTCCCGCCTCAGCTTCCTGAGTATCTGGGATTACAGGCATGAGCCACCTCACTCAGCGAATTTTTGTATTTTTTGTGGAGACGGGGTTTTGCCATGTTGCCCAGGCTGGTCTCAAACTCCTGAGCTCAAGCTATCCTCCCATGTCTGCCTCCCAAAGTGCTGGGATTACAGGTGTGAGCCACCATGCCCAGCCTGTGCCAAGATTTTGAACAATGCTAATATAGCTACTTGATAGTCTGGGACAAGTGCTTACAGTTATAGGTAATGGTTCTCAAATGTTACCTTTCCAAAGTACAAATCAACTTGAGCTTTAACAATTTTTATAGCTTTAGTTGATAAAAAGGTAATTGATTAAATGCAATGATATAGTCTTGATAAAACAGAAAATTTTTTATAAAGAAATTTCTTTGACAAAATAAGAAAAATTTATCTGAAATTAATGGGCAAAATAGGAGAAATTCTAGAGACTGAAACAAGAAGTCAAGGAGTGCCTGATAGAATATCTATTATTTAACATTGTTCTATAAATTCTACCCAACACAATAAAACAAGAAAAAAGAATAAGATATATACTTTGAAGAGAGAAAATTATCATTACCTGTGGTTAATATGATTGTTTATCCAGAAAACCCAAATGGATCAATTTAAAACTATATTAAAACTGACAAGATACTTAGGAAGATGATAGGCTACAAAATAAATATATAAGTAGTTTTCCTCTAGACCAGTAATAATTATTAATAGTTAGACGGTATAATACAACAGATTTTATTTAGAAATAACAAATTTAAATACATAGAGTACATTTAATAAGAAATGTGCCTAGCTTATTTAATAAAAATTACAAAGACATACAAGGTAAATTTTAAGAAGTAAATTAGTAAATGAGAAGACATCCCTTGTCATGTGATAAAAATTTAATATGTTAACATGTTGATTCTCCCAAAATTAATCCAAAAATTAAAAAAATCTCTTTAAAGTACGTTGTGAGAGTTTATTTTTAGGGGACTTGATAAAATTATTCTAAAGGCAACTGGCAATAATAAATGTATACACTGTACTGTCATAGGAATAAATAATCATTAAATAGGATAAAAATCACTTAGGGCTGGGCGCGGTGGCTCACGCCTGTAATCACAGCACTTTGGGAGGCTGAGGTGGGTGGATCACCTGAGGTCAGGAGTTCGAGACCAGCCTGACCAACATGGAGAAACCCCATCTCTACTAAAAATACAAAATTAGCCAGGCGTAGTGACACATGCCTGTAATCCCAGCTACTTGGGAGGCTGAGGCAGGAGAATTGCTTGAACCAGGGAGGCAGAGGTTGCAGTGAGCCGAGATCGTGCCATTGCACTCCAGCCTGGGCAACAAGAATGAAACTCTGTCTCAAGAAAAAAAAAAAATCACTTAAATGCAGTCATTAAAGTGATGAGTGTAGATGTATACTTTTTTATTAGACATGCAAGTAGTGTTTTGTGCAATAAAATGCAATAATTAAAAAAATTTTGTTGCTTTTTATGAACCTGTATAAGGCACTGTATAAGGTTCTGGAGACATTAGAGTTCATTAAATGAACTCTAATAAAAATCAGAGCTCACTGTGACCTGTCCTCAAGTCTGGGGGAGAGACACTGACATAAATGGATCATGATAAAATAATGGGTCAGTGCACTGATGATAAGCTCTCTATATTATGTGAGTGTTGAGGAGAAACCATGAGCACTCAGACATCCTAATTCCAGCTGTATTAGTCTGCTATGGCTGCCATATCAGAATACCGCAGGCTGGTGGTCAATAGAAATTTATTTCTCATGCTTCTGGAGGCTGAAGTCCAAGATCAAGGTGCCATCAGTTTTGGTTTCTTCTGAGGCCTCCCTCCTTAGCTTGCAGATGGTCATCTTTTCGCTCTGTCCTCCCATAGTCATTCCTTTGTGCATATCATCCTTCCTGTCTCTTTGTATGTCCACGTTTCCTCTTCTTATAAGGACACCAGTCAGATTGGGTTGGGTCCAGCCTAATGGCCTCACTTTGACTTAATCATCTCTTTAAAGGCCTTGTCTCCAAAAACCGTCACATTCTGGGGTTAGAGCTTCAATATATGGATTTTGGGGGCACACAATTCAGCCTGTAACACCAGCCATTAGAAATATTTACTCTTTTCTTCATTCTTTACCTTTTACACATGCTGTTTCCTCTGCCAAGAAAGCTCATTTCCTCTACTGTCGCAAACTCCTATTCATCTTTCAAGATCCAATTACATATCCCCTGCTTTGGGAAGCTCTGTGATTCTCCCACCTCTAACAGAGTTGGCCTATGCACACGTGATATTGTCATATGAGATTTTTATCACTTACAGGTTTCTCTTACTAATTTCTCTAGGGCTGGAAGCCTGTCTTAATCAACATTCTATTTTCTTTTCTTTCTCACTTCCATACCTCAGCAACCTACACGATGCTGCTGTCAAAGGGAGCGCTCAACAAATGTTGAGAAGCAAAAATATTAATGAAATACAGATTGGATTACATGCTATCTGTAAATTGTTTGCAAGTGAAAATATCAAAACTTTAAATGTACCCTTTTCAGAGATAAGGTATAAACTTGCGAGAGAAGTAGGAAAAAAAGGTTATACAAAATGCTGAATGCTCACAGTGACTGACAAAATCTCCGTGGAATTACAGTCCAGGGAACCTCCCTTGCTGGGTTCTAAGTATCTGCCTTTTTATATGGTTACTTATCTTTATTGTTACTATCAAGAAATTTGCACTTGTCTTCTCTCAGGGGATATAAAGAGAAACGAAGTAAGTTTCTTGACCTTAAGAAGCTTACAGAATACTGGGAAAGTAAGACATTCACCTGTACCCATAATAAACACATATACATATATATATATATGTGTATATATATATATACATATATATGTATATATATATGTATGTGTATATATATATATACATATATATGTATATATATATGTATGTGTATATATATATACATATATATGTATATATATATGTATGTGTATATATATATATACATATATATGTATATATATATGTATGTGTATATATATATATATATATATACATATGAAAGTAAATGCTTAGGGAGAAAGGAGTGATTTAAGATATAGGAAATGCATGCAATGGATGGTGCCATCACAATTGATTTCATGGACTTTTTTTTAAGACTTTCCAAAACACCTGTCATCAGCATGAATTTCTAGAGAAATTTCATTGTGAAACAGATATTGGGGTGAGGAACCCTAAGATAAAAGTCAGGAACTACTTCAGTTCATCAATATTTAATAATTTTTATAATTAAATATTCAGAATTGTGAATACTTTCTGAGTCAATGAAGGTAGAGAAGTGGGAAGGATAACACATTAAGGTCTCCAACCATTGTGCAAAGTCTTTGTTCTTACTCTTGATTGTATAGCATATTGGTTTTAAAGTAAACTTTCTTTGATGATGAAGGATCTTGTGATGCCCCAGGATCATAATTAATATATATGACTTTATAGTTCTAATAACTTTTTAATGCTTATTTAACAAATATTTATTGACAAATATTCCCAGTTCTAGATACTGGGATTATAACAGGGCACAAAAACAGAATTCTTGCTCTTAATTATGCTTACATGCTCTGGTGTTTAAAACACTCTTATATCACTTTGTGTTCTTATAAAATATTTTGTTTAAAGAAAGGAGTATTGGAAAATATATTGGGTTATTTGTTTGTTTTAGTTAATTGACTTTTGATTAATTGAGCTTTTTATTGTATTGTAGATACTACTTTAACATTTTCTGTGAATTGTGAAGATGATGATAATGATTATGATAACAATGATCTCTTTGGTAAAATTGTTTCTTCCTGAGCAAGTACTGGATTTTCTTTATACGTTGATAACAATTTGACTTACCAAGTGTGGCAGGTCCCTGTGTGTGCTGGGGCAACATAGCAACAGTGTTTTGTCAGCTCTGTTTTAGTTTTTCATGAGAATTACAGCTGGCTTATGAGCCTATAAGGATAATTATTATTTTCTTTAATAGTTGCTTTGACAATTTTAAAGTCTCAAAGTGATATTTCAGGGGAAGAGATTAAAGAAAGATTAATCATTTTAAGTTTCTTTGTCTCTTTAACAAGTTGATGGTTCTCTCTTTCTGAACTTAGAGATCATATAAGAATATTATCAACTAGTATTTGTATAACTTTTCACAAACAGCATTCAATATTGCCTTATACATATTTTTCATTACCTCCCCATCGAGACTTATTACAATAGGCAGAGCAGGTATTATTATCTCCACTTTACAGAAGAGAGGACCCTGTAACTCAGAAAGATTTTTTTGTCAGGGTTTCACAGGTAATTTGCTAAAGAGCTAGGGCTAGAAACTAAGCCCTTGTGGAAGAAGCGATTGCTATTTTCAGGCACTGGCTGTTTCTCTTTTGCAGAGCAGGCACAACCCATTCTAGAAGTTACACAACTTGCTGAGCGTTGTTAAATGTTAAAAAAAAAAAAAAACTTAGTTCTGCAATTAAATACTGAGATGGAACGAGTGAGATGAAAAACAGTATTATGGAAAATGTTTATTTTAAATTTATTTTTACCATGCTATATAACAGATCTCCAGACCTTAGTCCTCCTAACTGAAACATTGTATCCTTTGACCAACATGCACCCTGCCCAATAATGGAAAACATTATTTTAAAGCAAAGGTGCTGACACAAATGTCCAGACCTTATTCCTCCTAACTGAAACATTGTATCCTTTGACCAACATGCACCCTGCCCAATAATGGAAAACATTATTTTAAGGCAAAGGTGCTGACACAAATGATTTTTGATATTAAACAGACTCTTGTTTTAAAAATATGACTTTTTTCATTTAGAAATATATTAGGAGAAAATATAGATAAAAACAAAGAAGAAAACAAAAATACCAATGATCCCACCACTAAAAATTTAATGTTTAACATTAAAGTGCTTATTAGTTCTATGTACACACACACAGTTTTAAAATAAAATGTATGATACTATAAATATTACTTCACAATTTGCTTTTTCTTTTTTAAATTTTATTTTTAAAGTTTTATCTAGCTATCTATCATCTATCTATCTATCTATCTATCTATCTATCTATCTATCTATCTATCTATCTATCTAGAGACCAGGTTATGAGACTGACTAATTTTTGTATTTTTTGTATTGATGGGGTTTCGCCATGTTGCCCAGGCTGATCTCGAACTCTTGGGCTCAAAAGATCCGCCCGCCTCAACCACCCAAAGTGCTGGGATTACAGGTGTGAGCCACCACACCCGGCCACAATTTGCTTTTTCTACTTAGCAATATATCATGAACATTTCTTCAAGTTGTTCAGAAGAATATGAGAAAAAATATTGAAATATATCATTTTATTATAAAATTAATGTGTTCATTCTGTAAAACTGATATAAAACAGAAGTATATAATACTACTGTCCAGAGGTAGCTATGTAATTTAGTGCCTACTCTTCTGCACTTTTTTTTTTTACACATCCCGAAGTTAACTGGTTGGTGGATTAGAATACCTTCTTCACAAAAAGTTTGAACTAATGAAGAAGAGAGCATCATTTATTTTACAAAGGTATATATTTTACTTTAAATTTCAATATAGCAAATAATATGTAAATAACAAATGCATCATTTGTAATAATCTTTAGGGGCATTCACACAGAATACTACTCTGGAAACCACTAGCATACAGGAAGCCTTCTACGTGTTGAATAATCTTTGGCTGTCTTCAAGTAATACCTCAGTGGTGTGTGAGTGCTCTGAGCTGCATACTATATAACTATCCTTGTTTAAAGATGGTGCTTTAGACCGGACGCGGTGGTTCACGCCTGTAATCCCAGCACTTTGGGAGGCTGAGGCGGGCGGATCACCTGAGGTCAGGAGTTCAAACCAGCCTGGCCAAAATGGTGAACCATCCCCACACCCCATCTCTACAAAAATATAAAAATTAGCTGGCCATGATGGTGGGTGCCTTTAATCCCAGGTACTTGGGAGGCTGAGGTGGGAGAATTGCTTGAACCGGGGAGGTGGAGGTTGCAGTGAGCTGAGATAGTGCTACTGCACTCCAGCCTGGGCGGCAGAGCAAGACTCCCTCTCAAAAAAAAAAAAAAAAAAAGATGGTGCTTTAAAGTCTGTGTACTATATCAGCCTTTCAGACTGGATTTCTCAATTCAGTTTGTAATTTTATCCAAAAGTAGTTTACTGCTTGGGTGATGTAATACAACCTATATGTGAGCCATAAATTGGTAAACAAATATTTGTTGTGAAATGGCTTACAGGATTTACAGGTTAGTAAAGTACACAAATGACTTTAGTAGATGGCAGGATTTTATGCTTCAGAAAGGTAAAATTAAATTGTAGTTAATAGTCAGAGGACCATAGTCAGAGGTACATAGTTACTTGTGGGACAATAATAATGCTTGACACCTAGTAGGCATTTCTTAAATATGTGTTAAATGTTGAATGAATTAAAGAACCCAACTCAAAAAAGCAGACCAAGAATATAAACATGTAATTCACAGAGAATAAATCCAAATGATTAATAAACACATGAGAGTTTGTCTAACTTCACTAGTAAATGTGAATCAAAAACTGTAGGGTAAAAAATGCTCACCCATCGGATTGAGGAAAACTTTTAAATCTGACAATATTAAATGTTGGTCAGGGTATGGGAAAAAATGATCTACTTCCATAGGTCTAGCAGAATGCAAAATGGAACAGCAACTTTGGGCAGCAATCTGGCTGGCTCTAGTGAACTGAAACTAGAACTAGCAGTTCCACTTCTGGAAACATACATGAGAACCACTCTTGCACATGTGACTAAGGAGACTTAGTCTCCTAAGACTAGGGACTTTTATTGCAGCATTGTTAGTAAGAGCAAAGAAATGGAAACAACCAATCCTTCATTAGTAGGAAAGAAATAAAAATAGAAAAGGGGAACAAAATATTATGTATTTATAGGCTGGAATATTAATAAACAATATTGTAAAATGAAACAGCTGTATGTATATTAGCATAGATAATTTCCAAAATGGTTTCAAGTGAAAAAAGCACAAGTTGCAGAATTATGCATAGAGGAAGATACTGCTTTGCAAACTTAAAATACATGTGCAAAACTATACATTGGTTATGGAAGCTTACATAGGTACGTAAAAGGATGAAGAATTACCCTGAAGGATATACCCCAAACTCACAGTAGTGACTGCTCCTAGGGAAATAGGGAAGGGACTGGGAGATTACAGTGGTTTTTGTTGTTGTTGTTGTTGTTTGTTTGTTTGTTTGTTTGTTTTTCAGAGAGTCTTGCTCTGTTGCCCAGGCTGGAGTGCAATGGCATGATCTCAGCTCACTGCAACCTCCACCTCCCAGGTTCAAGTGATTCTCCTGTCTCAGCCTCCCCAGTAGCTGGGACTACAGGCGCATGCCACCATGCCCGGCTAATTTTTGTACTTTTAGTAGAGACGGGATTTCACCATGTTGGCCAGGCTGATCTGAAACTCCTTACCTCAAATGATCCGCCCACCTTGGCCTCCCAAAGTTTGCTGGGATTGCAAGCGTGAGCCACCGTGCCTGGCCACGGTTTTTTAAAAGAACTTTAAATATAAAGTTTTATTTTTTTCACATGCCATAAAAGGACTGAGAGCCAATTTGACAGAAGTCAACAGTTGTTAATTCCTGGTGGCAGAAATATGAATGATATAATTCATATTTTATAGTTCATATAAAATGAATATATGAATATTTCATAATTCATATATAATGATATGCTGTTTTGCATTTTGAAATGGGGGGTCAGTATATATATTCACTAAGTAATTAATTTACATGATACAACATTCAAAATGTATAAAATATATACAGTGAAAGATATTTTCCCTTCCACTCCAATTGCCCAGTCCCATACTTCCCCTTCCTCAGAGGCAATCACTGTTACCACTTTCTTGTTGCATTTTTCCAGAGAGATTCTCACCACTCCTTTACGCACAGCACACACACACACACACACACACACACACAAATATAGATATTTACATATATATGTATATTTCCTACAAATGGTAGCATACTGTATTTTTTTTTTTTAGATGGAGTCTCGCTCTTCGCCCAGGCTGGAGTGCAGTGGCGCGATCTCGGCTCACTGCAGTCTTCACCTCCCAGATTCAAGCGATTTCCAGCTAATTTTTGTATTTTTAGTAGAGATGGGATTTCACCATGTTGGCCAAGCTGGACTTGAACTCCTGATCTCAAGTGATCTGCCCACCTCAGCCTCCCAAAGTGCTGGTATTACAGGTGTGAGCCACCACACTTGGCCTCATACTGTATTTTTGAAGGATTTCCAATACCTTTTTTTTCCTTCCAAAAAGAGGTCCCATAGATGAAATACTATATAGTATATAAAATATAAAAATAACAAGGTACCAGAGGTAGGAAGAAAGGCAGAGGGAGGGAGGAAGGGAGATTGAGACTGTGGCAGAAGAAAGGGCAATAATTCAGTAGACAACGGTGAAATCTTGTTTTCTTTCTTTTTTTTTTTTAATGGAGTTTTGCTCTTGTTGCCCAGGCTGGAATGCAATGGCACAATCTCTGCCCACCACAACCTCCACTTCCCTGGTTCAAGTGGTTCTCCTGCCTCAGCCTCCCGAGTAGCTGGGATTACAGGCATGCGCCACCATGCCCAACTAATTTTTTATTTTTTTAGTAGAGATGGGGTTTCACCATGTTGGTCAGGCTGGCCTCGAAATCCCGACCTCAGGTGATCCACCTGCCTCAGTCTCCCAAAGTGCTGGGATTACAGGTGTGAGCAGTAATCCTAGCAGGAGATAATTTTGTCAGTTGTGGAGTTGGGGGAGGTGGTGGTGAGATCAGGGTATTGAGTACCCTAGCTATGCTGTTCCCGTGGGCTTGCCTTGTGCTGGCTGTGTTCTTCAACGTTAAGTCACTGTTCCTCATAGTTATTCTGCATAACTCCCCCTCTATCCAGGGCCACACTAAATTCCTCTTCTTGTCCTTGGATCCCAGTGGTATTAACAGTTTGGCTACTTCTAACCCGAGGTTGCTGCAACCATCCTTTGTGGTTTCCCTATACTAACATCTTTGTAAATAGTCTCTTTGGAAATAACCTCTTCCAGAATTATTTTGAGTGTGCCTTTCTTTTTGGTTGGGACCCTGACTGAGAACCTCCTTCAAAAGTATTACTTATCTATTACATATCCTTTTTGTCTTATTCACTGTAGTATTAATTTCTTGAAGGCATATATCATATATTTTGTTAATATCTGTATTCATAACATTGAGTACACTTCCTGTGGCTAGTAGGTATTGATAAATATTTTTGTCTCAAGAAGCAAGAATGGAAGGAATGATGGAAGATGGTAGGATTATAGTCGCCAAGCAGTTTTTTTAAAATCTTAGTTTTGGCGGGGCGTGGTGGCTTATTCCTGTAATCTCAACACTTTGGGAGGCCAAAGCGGGGAGATCACCCGAGGTCAGGAGTTCAAGACCAGCCTGGCCAACACGGTGAAACCCTGTCTCTACTAAAAATACAAAACTTAGCTGGGCCTGGTGGTGCACACCTGTAATCCCAGCTACTAGGGAGGCTGAGGCAGGAGAATTGCTTGAACCCGGGAGGTGGAGGTTGCAGTGAGCCGAGATTGTGCCACTGAACTCCAGCCTGGGCGACAGAGCAAGACTCCATCTAAAAAAAACAAAAAAACGAAAAAACAAAAAACAAACAAAAAACTGAGTTTGGTTTCCTAAAATTTTCTCATTTCTCCCAGTCTCCGAATCAGTTTCCGAAACACAGTTCTCTGTGTTTCTGCTCTATGGAAATCACTTTACTAGGAGTGGGGTTCTGGCTAGTGATTCGGGCATGGCTCATGCCTCCAGAAATTTGTCTCGGTGAAGGGACCAGTGTGGCTAAAGTTTCTTAAAGCAGGAGGTGTCTCCTGGGGGTGGGAGATGGAAGTGGGATCTGACACTAATGGAGAAGGTGTGGAAAAGCTTCTGTGGCTATAGGAAGAGGATTAATGAGCAGTATTAAGAGCCAAGTTGAAACTCCATAGCAGGAATTTATAGTGCATCTAATCCACTTTACCTTACACAAAACTACTATATTAGTCTTCCTAAAGTAAACATGGGATGATGTCATTCTCTTGCCTTAAAATCTTCAATGACTCTTCACTTCATGTAGAAAGAAGAATGAACCTCTATTTTGATGCAGTACTCTTACTTTCACAGACCTGTTTCTTACTTTTTCTCTCTGTGTAGAAATTAAACCAGTTTAATTTCTATTCTCCAGATGGGCTTCCACAGGAATTCCATAGGAATATCTCCTGCCTCTATATCTTTACTCATGAATTTCCATTTGCCTAGAATAGGAAGCCTTTCTCCTGCCCCATTTCCACCTGATAAATCCTACTTACCCAGGCCCCTTATTTTCTGTTTGCTCTTGAATTTATTGTTTCAGGAGGTGTCTCCCATGATGATTTCTCTTCCAACAGAGAGACTCTCCCTTTCTAGTCCCAGATCCTGTGGGCCATTCCTAACTTTAAGCAGCCTCTTGCATTTATGTCTCCTGCTCTTGGGGCAGTAGGAGTGTCCTATTATTGTTAATCTCTGGGTTTCCTCACTGTCCTCTGTTTGACATTACTAACACTTTTGTAGCTAATGCTCTGTATTAAATTCCCTCTATTGAACCACCTGATGTTAGCCGTTTTTCTGATTGGCTGATTTCTGATTCACTGTGTTAGATTCACTGTGTTAGCACACCTGATTGAAAGACTGTGCTTCAATATCTTTGTACAACTCCATCTTCTTCATGGACCTCTTTTCATTATACAGCTGAAAAAGATTAAAAAAAACTCCCCTAGAATATTAAAAAATATCTGTTATTTCAACAATCATATTTTTCTTATGACATTGTACAAATATCTACTAATTTCTAAACAAAATATCTCAGAAATTGGGGAAAGGATGATGGACAATTACAAATAATTATCTAAGATCCCCTTGTAGATGCCAAATACTTGTTCATTTTAGTACTCTTGGCTTGTTCCCCTATAGTCCTCTACTACACTACTAGTTGGGGGGCATACTCATCTTTGGATTTGTTCCTTATCCAACTGGCAGAGAACTCTGTGCATTGTACATGTGTGCTATTTATTAAGTTGGGCACAGACTTATTGCTTGGCATGTGTATTTTTTTTTTTGAGACGAAGTCTTGCTCTGTCACCCAGGCTGGAGTGCAGTGGCGTGATCTAGGCTCACTGCAACCTCCACCTCCCCGGTTCAAGTGATTTTCCTGCCTCAGCCTCCCAAGTAGCTGGGACCACAGGCACCCACCACCACACCCAGCTAATTTTTTGTATTTTTAGTAAAGACGGGGTTTCACTGTGTTAGCTGGGATGGTCTCAATCTCCTGACCTTGTGATCCGCCCACCTCGGCCTCCCAAAGTGCTGGGATTACAGGTGTGAGCCACTGCACCCAGCGGTATTTTAAATTTTCATTTTATATTCTAGTTGTTCTTTGCTATTACATATAAGTAAAATTCATTTTTACATTGACTTTACAGTCCTGTGACCTTGCTAAATTCACTTATTTGTTCTAATCATTTTTTTCTAGATGCTGAAGAATTTATTTTATGGTTGACTACATACACTATTATGTCATCTACAAACAAATAGTTTTACTTCTTTTCCAATTCAGATGCTTTGTATTCTTTTTCCTGCCTTATTGCAAGCGCTAGAACCTCCAGTGCAATGTTGACTACTTCTAGAATATCCTTGTCTTATTCTTGACCTTAGGAGGAAAATGTTCAGTCTTTCATTATTAAGTATAATGTCAACTGTAGTTTCTTTTTTTTTGTTTTGTTTTTTTGTTTTTTGAGACAGAATCTGGTTCTGTCGCCCAGGCAGGAGTGCAGTGGCAAGATCTTGGCTCATTGCAAACTCTGTCTCCTGGGTTCAAGTGATTCTCCTGCCTCAGCTTTCCAAGTAGCTGGGATTACAGGTGCTCGCCACCATGCCTGGCTAATTTTTGTATTTTTAGTAGACACAGGGCTTCGCCATGTTGGCCAGGTTGGTCTCCAACTCCTGACCTCAAGTGATCCACCCGCCTCAGCCTCCCAAAGTGCTGGGATTACAGGTGTGAGCCACTACACCTGGCCAATGTTAACTGTAGATTATTTGATACTTGCTGTTTATCGGGTTGAGGAAGTTCCCTTCTATTCCTGGTTTGCTAAGAGTTCTAGTTATAAATGGGTGTTGAATTTTGGAAAATGCATTTTCTACATTTCTGCATTTCTACATTTGTTGAAATCAACATTTGGTTTCTCTCCTTATTTTTTGTCATTATTATTGTGAATCTTATTGATTACTTTTCAAATTTATACCTACATTTCTCATTTTAAGTTACAAATATACTTATAATAGTTGCTTGTAAGTTTTGTTTGCAAGAACTGATCCTAAAGGTTTCAGATTTGTAGATCTGAAATATCAAGCAGTTAACAGCAACCTTGAAGCCTTTCCTAACCATTATTTTCTGTCTCCCACTTGTGGCATTCAGAAAAGGCCAAAGGCACTAAAGGCAAATAATGCAGAGTAATGTTTCACAAGGTGTGATTCAGGAATCCTTTGCAACAGAATTACTTATAGCGCTTGGTAAAACTGTAGATTTATGTGCCTTACCCATACCTTATTCAGATTCTGCAAATAGGGCCCTGTAATATGCATTTTAAACAAGCTTCACAAGTATATGCATGCTAAATTTAAAGAACCACTAATACATAGTTAATTATGTGTGGGTTTGTGTGTGTAAGTGGGTATACAGCATATCTTCTCTGCCCTTTTATATAAAGAAGGCATTATTATTCTGTTCACAAATGTGTAAACTGAGGTTCCATGAGGTTAAAAAAATCTCACTTGAGTTCATTCAGCTAATAAGTGGCAGAGCCAGGTTTTGAACCCAAGCTAGAGCATGACTTCAATCAGTAGAATATACTGTTCCATGTATTCACAGTTCATGTTCCATATTTGTTTTGCCTGAATTACCCATAAGATTTTCTCAACCATTGCTTTGGTATATTTTTGTGTACTTTGTTATATCCTCGCTTAAGTGAGGAATTTTTGTGAGTCAGCTAAATATGAGAGCTGAATCTTGCTTTCCAAAGCAATTGTTTCTCTTTGATTCACAAATTTCAATTCAAAGACTCATGCATGGGAAAACCAGTAAAGCAACGAAGTCCCTAAAAGAATATTTTTTTTTCTGTTCTTTTCAGATGTTTTGCCTATGATCCTATGATACCTCAAGAGTTGAAAAGTGTATGAAAAGAATAAGCAATTACTATTAAAATTTTTTTCTCAAACTACAGAGTAATTTTACCTTTAAAAACAGATGGAAAAATTCAAAATAAAATACTAGCAGCTGGGACCCAGTAGCATATAAAAAGAATAACTTATCAGGGCCAGGCATGGTGGCTCACACCTGTAATCCCAGTAGTTTGGAAGGCTGAGGTGGGTGGATCACCTGAGGTCAGGAGTTTGAGACCAGCCTGGCCAACATGGTGAAACCTCATCTCTACTAAAAATACAAAAATTAGCCGGGCCTGGTGGTGGGCACCTGTAATCCCAGCTACTCGGGAGGCTGAGGCAGGAGAATCACTTGAACCAAGATGGTGGAGGTTGCAGTGAGCTGAGAACACACCACCGTACTCCAGTCTGGGTGACAGAGTGAGACTCTGTCTCAAAAAAAAAAAAAAAGAATAACTTATCATAACCAAGAAGTGTTTATCATAGAAGTGTTAAAATTATTTATATAGTTCACCATATTAATATTCACAGGAAAATATGATTATTTCTATGAGAGCAAAGGAGACTTTAATAAAACTCAACATTAATTCCCATTTCTAATATTTTAAAAATTGGCAACATAGGAAACTTCCTAACATGAATAAAACATCTACCTCAAACTAATGGTCAACACCATGCTTAAGAATGAAAATCAAGAGGCATTTTCATAAAGCCAAGGACCATACTGGATATCCGTTAAGATAGTTATAACAGAATATCAACATTATTATGTATTATCTTCTGGAAGTTTTAGTCAAGGCAATTAGACATTAAAACTAAATGCTTCTTAAAAAGAGGAAATAATTTTGTGTAAGTAATATAATTGTATTGAAAAAACAGAAATTAATTAATACAAAAACTATTAGAAAAAAATGTTGTAAAGGCCAGTAATGTGGTCAGTTTCAAAATAAATAAGAATAAATAATTTCCTGACGTAGCAAAAGTAAAGAGTTAATATACATCAAGGGAAAACCAAGCTAATGACAAAAGGAACACAAATATAAAACATGTAGGAATTAATAAAAATTTAGAATCTATACATTGAAACATTTTTGAAAATGTAAAGGAAAATAATTTCCTAATTTATTCTATGATTTTAATGCAAATTCCATCAAAATCTCTATAGTTGGAAAGGCAGTTTTAGAATAACATTTCAGATCAGTAGGGAAAAGATGGTCTATTGATTATTGATTAAATGCTAATTAGAATATCGACTATCCACTCAGAAAATATAAAGCTAAATCTCTACTGTATACCTTGCACCAAAATTAATTTGAGGTAGATTAAAAAGAAAACCATAAAACAAGTGGGGAAAATATTTATAAATAATTATAAATTTCAAATGTCTTTTTCTGTTTATAATTTCTATTTTTAAAAGTGATTATGTATGTTTAAAAGTGATTAATAAAAAAAAATTCCAAGTAGAACACTTAGGCCAACAAGAAATTATAGGACAAGAGAAGGACTCATTTTTCTTTAGGGTTAAGCAAAGCCCAGGCTCGGTTTGTTCTGACAATCAGAATTATATTTTCTGTTCTTATTTAATATTTTACTCATATAATTTTTTCTGTGTATTATGATGAATGAAATAATCACATATTCTCCCTTCCCTAGTCATAAGGCATGAGGTCTCCAAAGAGAGTGTTCATTGATGACAACAGGGAGTTGGCATGTGGGGAAATATACCAGAATAGTCATGTCTTCATTCTGATGCTGAAAAGGAGTCAGCGAAGAATTTCTCATCTTAGAAAGCAGTTGTTTCTCAGTAAAAATTACTTTAATTATATTTTAAAATATATGTACACGTTCATTCACAAACATTACAAAAATTCTTTATTTACTATTTATTGGCTACTGCCTGCTAGTTATTTTCATTAATTGTTTGGGTACTGGAGTAAGATAGAAAGCATTATTTATTGTTGTCTTCACTTGAATATTTAACATTTTATAAAATTTAAGTCATTATTGATTTTACTTTCAATAATGAGGTATATTTTATACATTTTTCTATATCAAATGATTTTTCTTTCATTTTAATTTACTTAAGAGTCCTATGAATTGGCAAGAAAAGTTCTAAGAACAGATGGGGACAGTCCTGCCTTGGACTCTTTCAGGGCAGAGTATAAATGGGTGGACATGATTGACAGTTCATTGTAACTCAAAAGTATATGCTACCGTGAGGATTATGTTTATTAAACTGATAGAATAAATTGTCATTTATTGGGCTCTTACTATGTGCCAGGCATAATGCTAAGCACTTAACTCATTTTATCCTCACCACAGTTTGTGAAGCAAATGTTATTCAGGAAAATAAGATGAATTTCCTAAAGAACAAAGTTGTCCAACAATGGAACAGGCTACTCATAAGGCAGGAAGTTCCCACAACCAGAAGTGTTCCAAAAGAGACCAGGTGATCATTTATCAGGAATATGATAGCGGCATTCCTGTTTGAATGGAAGGTTGGCTCAAGTGACATTTGAAATTATAACTGCTTCTAGGTTTCTATGATTCTGCTTTGCAAAGGCCATCACACCTTGTAATATAAACCAAATAATACCAGCAAACTCACTCAATTTAAAATCCAGTTATTGGCTTGGCGTGATGGCCCACGCCTGTAATTCCAACACTTTGGGAGGCTAAGGTGGGAGGATCATTTGACGTCTGGAGTTCAAGACCAGCCTGAGCAATAAAGTGAGATCCCATTTCTACAAAAAAATTAGCCAAATGTGGTGGTACGTGCCTGTATTCCCACCTACCCAGAAGGTTGAGGCGGGAGGACTGCTTGAGCCCAGGAGTTTGAGGCTGTAGTGAGCCATGATCACACCACCGCATTCCAGCCTGGGTGACAGGGTAAGACCCTGTGTCAAAAAAAAAAAAATTCAGCTATTATGTTTTAAACATATCAATTCTTTCTGTCAGTCAAGACACTAAATTAGTGTTGTTTGCTTAAACAGATAATATACGTAGTCTTTGGTTTATTTTTTCTCTTTGAGGTTCAGTGGTCCTCAAATTTAAAAGTGGATTATTGAAATGGTATACTAGAATTATGACAACTTTAATATTAAAATTTAAATATGTTTTGGATTTCTCATCTGTAGTGCAAAAATTTGGGGGAAATTAGAAATCAGTGTAACGAGAAGTTAAAAGCATAGAGTTTTGGCATCATATGTACTCTGGTTCACATAACTACTATATTGAGTATATATTCTGGCTATATGTTCTTGGCAAATTAAGTACATTTTCTGAGTTCCAGATTCCTTATCTGTAAGAACCTGAGGAAATACTTACTTCACAGTTTGTAGTGAGAATTACCTGAATAGAGTGCTTTATGTCTGGCATATAGTAAGAACCCAGTAAATTGTCAAGTAAATTATTACATTAAAGAATGGCATCACTAAAAACGTATACTTTTTTTTTTCATTTTCAACAATATATTTATTCAACCTGGTACTTCCAACATATTATTCCAACATGTAATCAATTTTTTTTTTTTTTTTGAGACAGAGTCTCGCTCTGTTGCCAGGCTGGAGTGCAAGTGGCATGATCTTGGCTCACTGCAACCTCCGACTCCCTGGTTCAAGCGATTCTCCTGTCTCAGCCTCCCGAGTAGCTGGGATTACAGGCACACACCACCACACCCAGCTAATTTTTGTATTTTTAGTAGAGACAGGGTTTCACTATGTTGGCCAGGATGGTCTCAATCTCCTGACCTCGTGATCCACCCGCCTTGGCCTCCCAAAGTTCTGGGATTACAGGCACGAGCCACCGCGCCCGGCCATAATTAATATTTTAAAAATCTGTAATCAGATATCTTGCATTCTTTTTTTACTCAGACACTTCCAGCACATTTCAATTCACATGTTAAATTTCCAGGTAAATGCTCAATCTATATATTTAGATTTATAAAATTCACAATTGAAATTGAAGGTTCGCATAGTCAAGTTGTTCCAAACACACTTAAAAGTCTCCTAATAACTTTATTATCACTTCAAATAGTTAAAATTAAATAAAGTTTAAAATCCAGTCTTCAGTCTCACTAGCCACATTTCCAGTGCTCAGTAGCTACAACAGCTGGTGGCCACCACATTGGACAGTATTTTTATTTTTATTTTTGAAACACAATCTTGCTCTGTCACCCAGGCTGGAGTGCACTGTAAACTTCACTCCGCCCCAGGCTCAAGCGATCCTGTCACCTCAGCCTCCTGAATAGCTGAGACCACAGGCATGCACTACCATGCCTGACTAATTTTTGTATTTTTAGTAGAGATGGGGATCTCACTATGTTGCCCAGGCTGGTCTGGAACTCTTGACCTCAAGTGATCTGCCCTCCTTGGCCTCCCAAAGTGCTGAGATTACTGGCATGAGCCATGGCACTTGGCCTGGACAGCATATTTAGTGTCTGATCATTGGTTCTCAGCTCTGACTACTTGGCAGAATCCAGAATCCACAGAAGAGGGTTTTAAAAGCACAGTTCCACAGCCCCCAACCCCAACCTTACTCAATGGGAGGCTGGAAGGGACTCTGGTTCCAAGAGGCAGCCTGTGTTTCTTGATGGAAGGATGTGACAGGGCTGTATCTTTAATGTTTCACCTTGAATGCTGAAGACAGCTTCAAGGAGGAGATAACTCAATGTATCTTAGTCCATTTTCTGTTGCTTAAAAGAAATACCTGAAACTGGGCAATTTACAAAGAAAAGGAATTTCTTTTTTTCCATTCTGGAGTCTGAGAAGTCCAAGGTCAAGGCACTTCTTAATATTTTTGATGCAAATATTTTTGTATTTAAGAATTGAGGTTAAAATTTTCATACTGTAAGTAAAATGCAAATATATTAAAGGTACAATTTGATGATTTTTGATCTATGTATACACTCATGTAACCACCTTCCCCAATTTTCATTCCAGAAAGTTCCCTTTTGTCCTTTTCAGTAAATTTCACCCCCCTTAGACAACTACTATTTTTACTTCTATCACCAATGTTTTGCCTGTCCTTAAATTTTATATAAATATAGTCATGCAGCATATACTCTTATATCTGGCTTCTTTCATGTTTTTGGGATTCATCCATGTTGTTGGAAGTATCAGGAGTTCATTTCTATTTATTGCTGAAAAGTATTTCATTTTTTTTTAAACCAGATTGTTTATCCATTCCTCTATTGATGAAAATATGGGTTGCTTCCTGTTTGGGACTTCTATAAATATAGCTAATGAAAACATTCTTGTACAAGTGTTTTTATATACATATTATTTCATTTCATCATATGTGTTTTGATAAGCAAAAGATTGGAATTCTAATGATATCCAATGCATCAAAAATTTATTTTAGATTTAGTGTCTTTTTTGTGCCCTCTCTAAGAAGTGTTGCCTATCCCAAGGTCATGAGGATATTTTCCTATGTTTTCATCTAGAAGCTTTATAATTTTAGCTTCTATGTTTAGGTCAGTGATCCATCTTAAATTGAGTAAATACATATACTGAAATTAGTGAGAAACAGAGTAGTTGTGTGTTTGTAGGTAACTGCCAGACAGTTTGCCAAAGAGGTTGTACAATCTTTTGTCCCACCAGTGACATGCGTGACATTTGGGGTGTTGGTCTTTTAAATTTTAGCCATTGTACTAGGTGTGAAAAAGTATCTTGTGGTTTTAATTTGCATTTATTTGTTGACTGATGAGTTAAGCACATTTTCATGTGCTTATTAGTTATTTTTATATCTTCTTTTAGGAAGGATTTGTTGATGATTTTTGTTTATATTTTTATTGGGTTGTTTTTATGGTTGATTTGCATAAAATTTCATAAATTTTATGTATATAAGTCTTGTCAGATAAATGTACTGTGAATATGATTATCTGTGGCTTGCCTTTACATCTTCTTATATGTCTTTTGATAAGCAAAAGTTTATAATTTTTGATGATATCCAATGCATCGCGAATTTCTTTTAGAGCTGGACGTGGTGGCTCACAACTGTAATCCCAGCACTTTGGGAGGCCAAGGCGGGCAGGTCGCTTGAGGTCAGGAGTTTGAGAGCAACCTGGCCAACATGGTGAAACCCCGACTCTACTAAAAATACAAAAAAATTAGCCAGGCATGGTGGCAGGTGCCTGTAATCCCAGCTACTCTGGTGACTGAGGCAAGATAATTGAACTAAGGAAGCGGAGGTTGCAGTTAGCCGAGATGGCGCCACTGCACTCCAGCCTGGGTGACAGAGTGAGACTGTCTAAAAAAATTTTTTTTCTTTTAGATTGAGTGTCTTTTTTGTGCCCTTTCTAAGAAACTTTGCCTACCCCAAAGTTATGAGACTATTTTCCTATGTTTTATTCTAGAAGCTTTATAATTTTAGCTTTTGTGTTTAGGTCTGTGATCCATATTGAATTAATTTTTGTGGTGGTGTGAGGCAGGGGTGGAGTTTTCTTTTTTTCTCCATGTACTTTTAAAATGATAATTTACTTTATTTGCACACTCAGGCCACAAGGTTTTCAAGTTTCCAAAGTGAACATGGAATTAGTGGGACTAATTAAATCTGATATATTTTTGGTGGTCCAAAGGCTCTTAGATGAGTGTGTACCATTGGTTGTTGTTATTGATTTCTCATTTCTTTTGAGTTTCTATAATATTCCCTTTGCCTCTAATTAAACATGATAGTTTTTGCGAGGCTGTTGGGCACCAGCACCCACATTTGCCACCAACTCTCTCCCCAGTGACTTATACCTGTCTTTCTCTATAGTTTCCTGACCTTTCTCAAAATCTCCATGCTTCATGTCTTTGTTGATTGATCACATAAAATCTTCTTCGCAAACATTTTCTTCTTTATGTTGTTAATTTCTCTATAAACAATCAAAGTAATTCTGTTATGGCAAGTGATTTTATTTCTGTAATAAAAATAAATTTATTTGTAGCTTTAACTTTATTACTTATGTTTCTGCATTACTTAAATGAAAAATGAAATAATTATAATGAATTATGTTTAAGGTACTCAGTTAAAACTTAGTGCAGAATTGATTCCACTTTAATGCTAAAAAGCTTTAGTAAATATCAGGTATTACGTTCAAGAGCTCCTGTATGAACTTTTCCGAAGAGCTCACAATCTAGCAGGGGAGGTGGATGTATCAGTACCCATGTAGTAGCCAGTGTGTAGAGAGGTAGACGCACAGAACTATGGGAATAAAAAGGAGGGTGTGCTGGATTCTGTGCCCAAGTAATCATCTACGTCTATTTTTTTTTTTTTTGAGGCGGAGTCTTGCTTTGTTGCCCAGGTTGGTGCGCAATGGTGCGATCTCGGCTCACTGTAACCTCCACCTTCTGGGTTCCAATGATTCTCCTGCCTCAGTCTCCCAAGTAGCTGGGATTAGTCACCCGCCATCATGCCCTGCTAATTTTTGTATTTTTGTAGAGATGGAGTTTCACCATGTTGGCCAGGCTGCTCTTGAACTCTTGACTTCAGGTGATCAGCCTGCCTCGGCCTCCCAAAGTGCTGGGATTACAGGCGTGAGCCACCACGCCTGGCCTCATTGATGTCTTTACACAGGGAATATATGAACTGATTTTTGAAGGCCAAATAGGATTTTTCCTGGGAGAACAAAAAGAGTCAAGAATTCCATGCAAAATGAACAGCATGAGCAAAGTTATTGTTAAACAGAGGTGTATATAAAAATTACAAACATGGCCAGGCACGGTGGCTCACATCCCAACACTTTGGGAGGCTGAGGTGGGTGGATCACGAGGTCAGGAGATCAAGACCATCCTGGCTAACACGGTGAAATATCATCTCTACTAAAAATACAAAAAATTAGCTGGGTGTGGTGGCACGCACCTGTAGTCCCAGCTACTCGGGAGGTTGAGGCAGGAGAATCACTTGAACCCGGGAGGTGGAGGTTGCAGTGAGCTGAGATCCCGCCACTGCACTCCATCCTGGGCGACAGAGCAAGACTCCATCTCAAAAAAAAAAAAAAAAAAAATTACAAACACATCTATCTGATACATTATCAAATGCTTACAACATAGGAGAATGGCCAAAGCTAATCAAGGTTTCTGAATTTTTGAAACCTTAATACTGTTTGTATCTGGTCAGTTCAGTTCTATATCTGGTGGGAGATCTTTTAAATAGCATAAAGATGTTTCTTATCATTGCTAAACTCACCTTTCTTCAAATTTCCTCTAGTGCTTGTGAACTTGAGGCATAAATATCAGTGATTTTCTTATTTCCATTTTTAATTTTAATTTTATTTTTAGAGATGAGGTCACTCTCTGTCACCCAGGCTAGAGTGCAGTGGCACAATCACAGCTCACTGCAGCCTCAACCTCCAAAGCTCAAGTGATCCACCTGCCTCAGCCTGCCAAGTAGCTGGGACTACAGGTGCACATCACCACTCTGGGCTAACATTTTATTCTTATTTTTATTTTGTAGAGATGGAGATCTTGCTATGTTGCCCAGTCTTGAACTCCTGGCCTTAAGCAATCCTACCACCTCAGCCTCCCAAAGTGCTTGGATTACAGGTTTGAGCCACCATGCTCAGTGTGTGATTTTTGCTCACTTCAGTAAAAGATCCATGAATATATTTAAGGAGACAATATTCTCATCATCTTGAAAGGTTAGACTAATGTAAAAATTTGCAGGCTGGTGGCAGTGGCTCACACCTGTAATCTCAGCACTTTGGGAGACTGAGGTGGGTGGATCACCTAAGGTCAGGAGTTCGAGACCAGCCTGGCCAACATGGTGAAACCTTGTCTCTACTAAAAATACAAAAAAATTAGCCAGGCATGGTGGCATGCACCTGTAATCCCAGCTACTTGGGAGACCAAGGCAGGAGAATCACTTGAACCCGGGAGGCAGAGGTTGCAGTGAACCAAGATTGTGCTACTGCACTCCAGCCTGGGTGACAGAGCAAGACTCGGTCTAAAAATAAATAAAAAAATAAAAAAATAAAAATTTGCAGTAAATTCTGGAATTTATTATAATGTAGATATTTAAATGCCAGCAAAAAAGGCAGTTTGACCATTAATGTTTCTCCTAAATTTTCTTCAAACAACAACAATAGCAACAAAAAGTCTGGGAATGTGCTCTGCTTTTCTCCTCTCTATCACCTCTCCCACACTCCTTCCTTCCCTTTTCCTTCCTCTTCTTTCACATTTCCCGTTCTGTCCTTTCCTTCCCCTTCCTTTCCCTCATTTTGGCAACCATTTCCAATGTTCTACAGCACTTCATGTATCTAAAATCAGGAAAAGAATTTGTTCATTTGCAGAAACCGAATTGTACACTGGCCTTTTTCAATAGAAAGAGCTTTAATTCTTGGAAATAGATGCAAAGAGTCATTAGAAGGGCTGGGGCTCTAGGCTGAACCATAGGCATAACCCCAGAACAATATGCCAGAATTAGCCAGCAGGGAAGTTTCTTCCTCTCTTGTAACCTGAAAGTGGGCAGTGAGGAAGCTCCCACTGGAACTGTTTATTCAAGAACGCACTTCCTTAGATGGGAGCCACTTCCACTGCACCTGGCACAACAGTCACCCTACTCCTGCTAGATGCATTCCAGCATAAACTGGATGCCCTTCCTTTGGCACCAGGAAAGCTAGTAACCAGACGGGGATAGCCGCCTCAGAATATCCAACGTGTCCCTGCCCATTCTTGCTGGCAGCCATAGCAGAAATGGAAGATCCATTGTCTTCACCTCACTTCTACCTTCCAAATCTCATACAAATGCATTTAATTGACTAAACCTAAGTGCCGCAAATGCCATCCAGAATCTGAGCTGCAAAGCAGACTCAGTAATGTAGATTTTTAGCTCTTTCAGTTTTTGCAGATCATGAAAGCACACTAGAAGGAGAGAAGAATGGGTTATGTGGGCCAATTCACCATATCTGTCGCCCTAAGAACCATTTCAAAGTCGTTGTAAATTTAGTGAGTTTTCATAACTTCTAATGAAATGTCTCATGAGTATAGCTTTTTAAAACACAAA
The DNA here is from genome assembly GCF_000001405.40 of Homo sapiens. Taxonomy (NCBI): domain Eukaryota; kingdom Metazoa; phylum Chordata; class Mammalia; order Primates; family Hominidae; genus Homo; species Homo sapiens. Next base: position 47,955,895 of record NC_000004.12, on the reverse strand, counting down.
ACTATATTTGTTCATGCCATAAGCATTTCTTGAGTACCTATCATGTGCAAGCACTGCTGTGGTTACAAAAGTCTCCCTTCCAGAGGAGGTTGTAGCCTTGTGAAGATGGTGTGTGTCACAATTTAGCAAGTGGAAAACAATTGAAATATGTACAAAATGCAGTGGCAGAGAAGAGAAGGAAGCAATTACCTAGGTCAAGGGCGAGGAGTCAGTGGCCTGGACTTGAGCAATGGATAACACCTATTTGGACTCAAGAGAAGTGGACTTTTGAAGCCCAAGGAGAGCATATGCAAAGGCACAGAGGTGTGAAACAGCATGGCTCAGGCAGGGAACTGCAGCTGGAACACCACTTTGTACCTTAGTAATAATCTGTTCTCATAGCATAGACCAATCATTAAAAAAATTGTTATATGGGCCAGGCGCGGTGGCTCACGCCTGTAATCCCAGCACTTTGAGAGGCTGAAGGGGGCGGATCACCTGAGGTCAGGAGTTGGAGACCAGCCTGACCAACATGGCGAAACCCTGTCTCTAGTAAAAATACAAAAATTAGCCAGGCGTGGTGGTGGGCGCCTGTAATCCCAGCTACTTGGGAGGCTGAGACAGGAGAACAGCTCAAAACCAGGAGGCAGAGGTTGCAGTGAGCTGATATCGCACCACTGCACTCCAGCCTAGGTGATAGAGTGAGACTCTGTCTCAAAAAAAAAAAAAAAAAAAAAAAAAAAGAAAAGAAAAAAGAGACAGAGAAAAAGAAATTTTATTGGATTCCAAGAATTCATATCCTAATTGAGTCACTGAGGCATGTACACAAAACTGTTAAGTAACAAAATTAGGAAAAAGTGATACTAAAATATTTAACAACTATTACAGTCGTGAGCACTTAACTATCAGAAAAGGATAGTTATAAAGGATGGTTATAAACAACTGGTCTAGCTATATCGGTGAGTACCTTTACATAGCAGCCCTGTTTGAATATAGCCTAAAGGTCCCTGGGCCCATGGAGTCTTTGGATCCAAATAAATTTGCATAGTCATCAACGGCACAGAATTTCAGCTCCACCTACACCCAGAGGGCCTTCAGCTTTACCCCCCCTTCAAAAAGGCTCGTAAGGTTTTCCAGGGAATCCCTGAAGGGGTGCCTCACATGTGCACGTTTTGAACAGAAGTATGTTCTTTAAGTGGCTGGCTCTTTTAAGGGCAGGTATCAAACTCCACGCCTAGGTGATCAAGGCCAGTAGGGAATTAGGAGGAGGAACATTCACCACTCTGCAGTCAGAACCATTCTGGCACCGAGTATTGGAAGCCATGGAAGATGCAGGCGATGTCATCTTTCATGTGGTTATAAAATGGGAAGGTTTTCTGATTCCCCTTGCAGGACGTGCGGCAGGGGTGTGGCTCACCTGTTTGGTCCCCTCCCCCGCCGCTGCTCAAACCCCTGAGGGAAGGGGGAGCACGCAGACGGAAAGGTGCCAGAGCCCAAGTGGGCATGTGTTATAGTGAGCTCCTTTAGCCTTGCTGTCCGGGGACAGCTGAGTGTTAACCTCCCCACCTCCATTCTTTTCCAGAGTACTGGACAAATCAGGTCATATGAACTGTTTGAAAGGTAATGAATGCTGAGACTTTGTTGAACAGTGGAGGTGACTTTCAGCGGGATGGGGAGCTGGAATTCCGGGAAGGTGGAGGGGTGTGGGGATAATCTTCCCCTGGAGTTCCGCCGTTCTGGACGCAACTCCTCTTGATGTTCAGACGCCTCTTCCCTCCTTCTCTGCCGTGCTGCTCTGCTGCTCTCCACCACTCTCTGCCGCTCTCTGCTATTCTCTGCCACTCTGTTCCTCTCGACATTCAGCCGCTTGTGTGTGTGCCCGCTAAGGTCTCAGGTTTATATGGGCACAGGATGGGGGGGACGTGACAGCTAGAGTGGTCTCAGAAAATGCAACATTGAGGCGAAAACAGGAGTGCCTGTTTTCACTTAGGTCCGAGGGCATAAGGTCCGAGGGCATAAGGCCCGAGTGTGGAGCCCTCGCCGGGGACCCCACTCTTCTCTACCCAGCACTTCCCTGTCCCCCTTCCCGTTATCAGTTACTGGCATTCTCAAGGTGGGTTCCCTCAAACTGGAGAGAGGATCCTTCCTGAGGACCATGAACAGAAATCATAGACAAACGGAAGCTGAAGCCAGTGAAGAAGGCAGAGTCTCAGACAGCAGCCAAAGGGGCATGGCCTGTGCTGGGAGCAGCTGGAAAGTGAATTGAAATTCCACCCTGCCTCCTCTACCTGAGCTGAGGAAATAATATGTCCTGACTAGAGTTTAGGCCAGTGTTTTCAAAATATGTTGCTTGGGTATATATGCATCTGAATAATTTAGGGGACTTGCTAAAAATGTGATCAATTTTATCTCTCTTTCCTCTAAAGTTTGAATACTACTCAAGACCCTTTTTGTCCAAATGCCTATGGAAATTCACAGCAGATTACCTCCATTACATCTACTGCTTTTTACTGTTATTTAATTGCTTGATGGGTATGCGAGGTCCCTATGGTTTTGTTCTACAGTTACATTGCTTGAGTATTTCAAAACTGGGATAAATCCAAATTTATAAATGTTTTATAAGTCTGGTACATTCTTAAATTAAAAATTTTTTTACAAAAAACTGGTCAATGGAAATTAGGGGAACAGGCCATGCCTGCATTCTATTAAAGAATAATTCCTATGTAAAACTGCAAACAGATGGTATTATATAGTCTTAGAAAAATGGTAGGGTTGATATGGTTTGGCTGTGTACCCACCCAAACTTCATCTTAAAGTGCGGCTCCCATAATCCCTATGTGTCATGGGAGGAACTCAGTGGGAGGCAGTGGAATCATGGGAGTGAGTTTTTCCCATGCTAGTCTCATGATAGTGAATAAGTCTCATGAGATCTGATGGTTTTATAAAGGGGAGTTCTGCTGCACAAGCTCTCTTGCCTGCTGCCATGTAAGATGTGTCTTTGCTTCTCCTTTGCTTTCTGCCATGATTGTGAGGCTCCCCCTAGCCATGTGGAGCTACAAGTCCATTAAACCTCTTTCCTTTATAAATTACCCAGTCTCAGGTATGTCTTTATTAGCAGCATGAGGACAGACTAATACATAGGGTGAAACTTTTGATTATATATGTAAATATATAAAAATAGCCTTTCCACTAATAAGACTTCTTTCTCCTCAGATATGAAACTATCCATGAAGAACAATATTATCAATACACAGCAGTCTTTTGTAACCATGCCCAATGTGATTGTACCAGATATTGAAAAGGAAATACGAAGGATGGAAAATGGAGCATGCAGGTAAATCCAAACATTTTCCCATGCATTTTTATTATTAGCTACAGTTCTTTAATTTAACTAGATTTAATTTCAATTTAGCTTTATAATTTGTAACCTTGAACTTTGTAATGTATTTAGCAAATTTATTTACACTTTGGAACTGCATAACTTGTCTAACAAATGAACATAGATTTTATTTATTTATTTATTTATTTATTTATTTATTTATTTATTTTGAGATGGAGTCTCACTCTGTTGCACAGGCTGGAACGCAGTGGCACAATCTCAGCTCACTGCAACCTCTGCCTTCTGGGTTCAAGTGATTCTCTTGCCTCAGCCTCCCAGGTAGCTGGGACTACATGTGTGCACCACCACACCAGGCTAATTTTTTTTTTGTATTTTTAGTAGAGACAGGGTTTTGCCATATTGGCCAGGCTGGTCACGAACTCCTGACCTCAAGTGATCTGCCTGCCTCGGCCTCCCAAAGTGTTGGGATTACAGGCATGAGCCACCATGCCCAGCCTGAACATAGATATTATTGTGGTCACTTTTTTGGAAGCATCTATTAAGCACCTATGCCAAACATTTCTTTAGTCAATGGCAGGGCTTTTCCTCAAGTGACATTTTGAATCTAAAGAGATGACATTGCCATAGATACATATGAAAAGTACTCAGAGTATGAAATGCTAGCAATGTGATTTAAAAGTATAATTTAAAGTGCTTACCCTATAAATGAATATAATGTATATGAATGTGGTTGAATTTACTTTTAGTGGGACGAAACATTAGTTAGAAAACTAGTTCACACAAAGGTATAATATGATCTAAGTCCCAGATATCACACTTGCTATTTGATAAATATTAACATCAACCAATGCATCAAACAATAGGAATGTGGAAAACCTAGAAACTAGTTTCTTAGTTAAATGCATTTTACTGAATTATGCACATATTTTATATAATTCTATGTATTTTGTATAGTTCTAACTTTATGCTAACTAAAAATTGTTATGTGTGTTAGTTTGAGAGGGAAGGAAAAGAGGTGAGGCAATTGTCCCCCTAGTGAGGAATGTTGCCTCTCTGCAGTGGTTGAAAACATTAACTCTTCTCTCTCTGCCTCCTATTGGACTGTAGCTCCTTTTCTGAGGATGATGACAGTGCCTCTACATCTGAAGAATCAGAGAATGAAAACCCTCATGCAAGGGGTTCCTTTAGTTATAAGTCACTCAGAAAGGGAGGACCATCACAGAGGTGAGCAGTATGATCCATCCCTTGGTGCTTGTTTTTAACCATTTATGCTTAAGGTTGCAGTGTTTTGAATTTTTGCAATCAGATCATGGTGATGACCTTGAGCAGTAGGATAGAAATAACTCCCACATGCTTAGCGTTCCAATAATCAAACACTAGGCATAAATGGGTTTGTAAACTGTTGTTTCGGAGCAAGCTCGGCAAATGCCTCTGCTATCTACACACAATGTGGGATCTCAGGAGGAATTACTTCTGTTCCTTACCCATGCCGTCTCTTGGGAAATATTGCCACTGCCCGATGATTATTTATGGCCATGGCGTTCCAAGTTGTAAACACTCTTGCTTCATTTTCCCTGAGACCCACTGGGGTCTGTCCCTTAAGAAACCCAGTCCTTTCTGATTTCTTGTTTCTCTCTGATCCTTCTTTCAGGGTCCTGAAGCAAGTACATGTGAGAGGGTTGGCTGTTATTCTCTAAAATGCTCCATCCCTTTTGGTCCTACTTTTAGGAAATAGAGCACTGGAGAGAGGTGCTAGAAGAGAAAAGCAAAAATATCCTTAGTAGGAAATAAAGAAGTTGTGAAAACTTCAGATACCGGACTTGAGATTGCAGAAGGGGTGTGGTGTGGTATTGGTGTTGGAGCTGGGGTTTCCACCTGTTTTACATAATTACTCTTTCTTTACTTTTTTTTCCTTTTTCTTATTTTTCTTCCCATTGACTACCTCCAGCCTTCCCATTGTTTTTATTTAGCTTTTCTCCTCATCTTACTTTCCCTAACAGTCTTAGGTTTCTTGTTGGGAGTTACTGGCATTGAGGTTGGTTCACTTAAGCTAATTCTTGGTATGAACATTGACTGATATGCATTTACTAACCATGTCCATTTTCATAATGTTATGAAGAAATACCCGAGACTGGTTAATTTATAAAGAAAAAGAGGCTTACTGGACTCACAGTTCCACATGGCTGGGGAGGCCTCACAATCATGGCAGAAGGCAAAGGAGGAGCAAAGTCATGTCTTACATGGTGGCAGGCAAGAGAGCATGTGCAGGGGAACTGCCCTTTATAAAACCATCAGATCTTGTGAGACTTATTTACTAGCACGAGAATGGCATGGGCAACACCCACCCCTATGATTCAATTACTTCCCACTGGGTCCCTCCCGTGGCATGTGGGGATTATGGGAGCTATAATTCAAGATGAGATTTGGGTGGGGACACAGCCAAACCATATCACTATGTTTGTTCAAGACACTGGCATTTGGCAAGTCATGCTTCATGGAGGCTCAGGATATACTTTTATGCTTTATGCTTCATAATATGTTTTTGAAATATCTATCATCTACATAGTCTTTAGTAATGAGTAGAAATGGAGAAGAATTTGTTTTTTCAGACCATTTGCCTACCATGGACATTATACAGATGGTGACTACTGTGATTTCACTGCATGTTTTTCATTTCCCAGGGAGCAGTACCTGCCTGGTGCCATTGCACTTTTTAATGTGAACAACAGCAGCAATAAGGACCAGTAAGTATATTTACAATAGAAAACCAAAGTTTTGGTTTTAAAGAAAACCAGTAAAAATGTAGGAATATATCTGAATCTGTTATAGAGGAAACATTTATTAATCAAATGATCTAATACAATGGCAATGATAGTCTTATCATTTTGTTGAAAAGTAGTGTTCATTCATTTATTTGAATACATGTAGAAAAAATCATGTCTATAGTGTTCATGCAGTTGACTTTCTCTGTGAATAGAGTGACTGACAAAAATAAGTGAATTTTTGTCAGGAAATATTACTCCTTTCCAGTTTGAGCCAATGTGTCTTAGGTGAATTTCCTCAGGAGACAGTTTCTGAGATGGAGGCTTGTATGCAGAAGTTTGTTGGGAATGGTCTTGGGAACAATATCTGGAAGGGAGTTGGGGGTCAGTATTGGGCAGAGGGAGAAGTCGAACTTCAGAGAATAGAGCTGATGTACAATGTGATTCTCTGGGGATCCCTGGAGCAGGGATGACCTTTTAGAGTTGTCCCTATTTAGGTAATAGACTTGGGCCTTTGTTCCCATGCACAGTTATTGGAAAAAAGTTGGCCCTAGAAGATGGAGCATAACCATCTGGATGGAGCATGGTGGTTTCCTTCAGCCAAGGCCAGCCAAGGGAGAGGAAAAACTGAGCTGACAGCAACCAACACTCTTGGCAAGTGGGGAATGAGTGCCTGAATTTTGTGCACCACCTGCATAGCCACTGTATGGCCCAACCGTGTGCTGCCCAGATCCATTTTGTTTATATAGAAAATTCACCCCATGTGGGAATACCTACTCCAGGATCCTGGTTATTTTTTCCTGAGAAAGCTTATAAGAGTAAAGTTAATGGGATTAAACTAAGGTCTCTGGCAGTTGCAGGTGGTTTTGAGGCCTCAAATGAAATTCTTCACCCTCTCCGCTTCTACTCATTCTAGGGTCCTCTCACCCTTAGCCAGCACATCTGCTGGTCTAGATGACTTAGCTGGTGGAACAGTACAGACACTCATCCCTGAAGAACTTGAGCCCTGGGTCACCATGCCCTTCTTGAGTCATGGCTACAGTACTTGCCCATTTACCACCAAAACTGGGCTGGAAAATACCAAAAGACCACCTAGGTGCAAATACATCTCCCCTCCCTGCATTGTATACAGCACTGCCTACTTCTGATGATCACGGTCAATAACTTTTGCCAGTGTGGTGACTCTCTTCCTTGCCTGTTGGGCATGAGGGGACCAAAGTGGCTGGGGAGTAGCCGTAGCTTAATGTTTAATGGAACTCTGGCATTCCCTGGCAGATGCATCACCCCTCTGGAAGCCAGGACCTCTAGATCCATAGATCCTTAAGTTGCAAGAATGGGAAACATACCTTTCCTACATTTGTCACCCCTACTTAGACCCCATAGTTCCCAGACCAATGCATTCTATACAGGCATAGAGAACCATACAATGATCATTGTTTTAGCATATATACAGTATCCTAGAGGATGGCACCTTTTCTTCCTAGAGTATAAACTCTATGATAGCACTTCAGCTGTGGTTTCAAAAAGTCCCTCCTTAACTATCATGTCAGTAGCTGACAAAGGTGTGCAGCTTATGATAGGACCACTGGATCCCAAACTCAGGTTCCAATGCCACATTTTTTTTTTTTTGCCTTAAAGTGGGTCCTTGGTCCAAAGTGATGTTAAGCAATATTTCATATATAGTGATCATGCTTCATATGCCCCTAAATAATGGCACTGGTCAAAGCCCTGTGGCAAAAAAGCAAATGAATAGTCATAATATATGTCAGTTCTTATCAATATATTTGATGCCCCTTCCATGGTGTCAGGAGTCCAATTTAGTTAACTTGCCATCAAGTGACTGATTACTTTCCTCAGGAGAAAGCACTGTTTTGGAGTCATAGCATTGGTCTCTGTAACAGGCATGTTCACTACGAGCAAAAAACAGACAAATAAAAACAAAGATTTTCAAACTTTGTGCTCACACTCATAATATGTCCATTCAGTCTGCCTCTTCTGAAATATTTTCCCTGATCTTTCCATCGTTTTCCATCCAGGTCCCTGACCAACCAGTCAAGGCATTTGTGACTGCCCACGAGTCCTTTTACACATGTATATTCTTAATTTGGGCTATTTCTTTTTCCCTTTTTTTTTCTTTTCTTTTTTGAGACAGGTACTCACTCAGTTGCCTGTGCTGGAGCGCAGTGGTGCAATCTTGGCTCACTGCAGCCTCCATCTCCCGGGATCAAATGATCCTCCTGCCTCAGCCTCCCAAGTAGCTGGGATTACAGGCGTGAGCCACCACGCCTGGCTAATTTTTGTATTTTTAGTGGGGTTTCGCCATGTTGGCCAGGCTGGTCTCTAACTCCTTGGCCTCACGTGATCCTCCCACCTCAGCGTCCTAAAGTGCTGGGATTACAGGCTTGAGCCATCGGACCCAGTCTGGGCTATTTCTTTTTCCATACAAACTAGATGACTGTATACTGCTTGAAGCTGTGCCATTGGGGAAATTAACCTCACACTTTCAAGACCACCTCTAAGTGAGGCTGTGGTGCAGACACAGACCATTTTGGCTTGCATCCACATTCTAAACTGACCCATCTATGCAACATGCTGTATCAGCTCCTTCTAAAGAACCCCACATATGACCACAGGTGGGGGCTGATAAATAGGTGCTGAGTGGAAAATGACATAGTGGAAAATAAATGGAAATTTCCAACGTGGAAATGACATAAAGAAGGGTACTGAAGGCCGGGCATGGTGGCTCACACCTGTAATCCCAGCACTTTGGGAGGCCGAGGCAGGCAGACCACCTAAGGTCAGGAATCGAGACCAGCCTGGCCAACCTACATGGTGAAACCTCATTTCTACTAAAAATACAAAAATTAACCAGGTGTGGTGGTGCACGCCTTTAGTCCCAGCTACTTGGGAGGCTGAGGCAGGGGAATCACTTGAACTGGGAGGCAGAGGTTGCAGTGAGCCGAGATTGTGCCACCGCACTCCTGCCTGGGTGACAGAGCAAGACTCCTCAAAAAAAGAAAGAAAGAAAGAAAGAAAGAAAGAAAAAGACGAAGGGTACTGAGCCACCTGCCTGGGCAGCTTACTTATTTGCTCTGATTCATGCTCAATCCCAGATATCTTACTTCATCATATGACGGATTGATACATTATGAATTGTTGTTTCTGACAGAATCCATCTCATAATGGGCATTCTTTTTATGTCCCATGGTTAGGTAATCCTATTTCAGGGCCTGACTAACAGAATGCCATTGATGCAGATATAGTGGACTAATGTGGTGCTCTGAGAAATGTCCACGTGATCCAGGTCCCTCAAGGCTGTCATGACAGTAGGAAAGAAAGTTAATATAGCCTTGGAAAAGAGTGTAGGTGTGTACAGTTTGTTATCCCCTGTGAGTATGAGCTATGTCTGATCCTCTTTCCTGATAGTAATGAAAAATGACATTCACAATGACTGACCCAGAACCTTAGGTATGCAGTGTATATCAAGTGAATGCATTGTTTTCCACATATGACACAGCAGCTGCAATTGGGGCTACTACTTGGTTGATTTTGCAATTGTCTATTGCTATCCATTAGGATCCATTTGGTTTTTGCAGGGGTCTGATGATGAATTATGTGGGGAAATGAAGAGCGATCACCACCCCTGCATGCATTAGGTCTTTAAGGATGGCATTTCTTTTTCTCCCCAGGATGCAATGTTGCTTTTGGCCAGAAGGTGGGAAGCAGCTTAAGGGCTTCTCCTCGGTCTTACACCTCTTTCCTCACAAGCCAAGGAACTAGTGGGGTAGGGGTGGGAGTTGTGCCGATGACCAACTATATACATTTCCCTTTTGTATTCAGGAATTATGTACATTACACTTATACATTTAGGAACTGGAGAAATGATCACAGAGTGGGTCACTGTGTTATTTTCCACATAGGACATGTCAGCTGCAATTGGGGCTACTACTTGGTTGATTTTGCAGTAGTCTCTCTGCCATCCACTAGGATCTATTTGGTTTTTGTGGGAGTCAGATGATAAATTACATGGGGAAATTAAGAGAGACCACCACTCCTCCATGCATGATTTTATACAATTATATACATTTCTCTTTTATATTCAGGAACTTATATACATTCTACTTTTATATTCAAGAATTACATACATTTCACTTTTACATTTAGGAACTGGAGAAATGATCACATAGTAGTGGGTCTGTGGACCCAGTGGGAAACACCATAAGTCATATCTCATCCAGGAATCTATTATTACCAGTCCATCATATGCCCCTCAAGTTTAACAGGGGGCCACGATGATGCTTCAATCCCTAGGTGTCAACATCAACATGGATCCTGTGCCAAACAGTCTTCAATGTATCTAAGTATTCTTTTTTCCCCCAGAGTATAGTGATCTAAGTAATGGTCATAGGTTCTTTAGGAGAAAGACCAGGGAAATCGTTACTGGAATATGTTTGTCATACTGTTGCAGAGTCTTTCTTCATGGGTCTTGGCTTCTCCTCTAGTCATTGGTTTTAGGTCTAAGTACTGGCTTAGGTCTAAGTACTGGCTTAGGTCTGGAACTGTTCAAAGGATTCTGATTTTTTTAAAATTTAAATTGTAATGAATCAATTTATTTTTTGAGATGGGGTCTTGCTATGTTGCCCGGGCTGGTCTTGAACTCCTGGGCTCAAGTGATCCTCCCGCCTCAACCTCCCAAAGTGCTGAGATTATAGCCATAAGCCACCATGCCCTACTAGGATTCTGATTTTTTTGATGGAGTAAGTTGCCCTCAACCTCCTAATTATTCATTCCTGATTCATTTTGGTTGTATACATTAAATAATACCCTAACTAGCTAACAGGCTTCCCATCTGTCTAGGAATACTATATTCTATTAACCTCCTCCATAGCTGTCTATGGGTTAAGACCCTTGGTTACCATCCCCACCTTAATGCTCATTATAATTACTGGACCAACCTTACTTCTGATGGGTAAGCACTGCCATTAGTCTCAGTTATTTCTAGATCCTATTATCCCTATTGCTCTCAGAGAACTCAGTTCTGTAATGACATTTCCCACCATCAGCCCTGGCCTACAGAGGATAGTACCACTGAACTTCTCAAAGCTGATAATATCCCTCTCACCAGCCCATTCCACATCACTTTTGCATCCTTTGAGCCCTCTTTGGGAACATAATTAGCTGGTAGGCTATCTTCCAAACAGTGTATCCACTTCAAGATGCCACTTTTCTGAGTCTTTTGATACCTTCCTCCACCATCTGCCATGGTGTTAATGTTTATTTCATTTTGTGTGGACCATTACCTTTTTCCAGGTTTCCAAGAGCCATTTGAGTAGTGTGTCGACATCATCCTTCAGGATCCATGCTAGGCTGTCAAATCTTGAATAGAAGTGTACTCCCATAGCAGTAAATTCTTCCTTATCCAACTTTATTGTTCTGTCCCTGTTTGTACGTGACCATCTTAGATGTTAAGCCTCACCTCACTTGTCAATCTTATCTTCCATTTCTTCTTAACAGAGGCTTTCCACTTCTGTTGGGTCATTCTTACCCAGATTGAGTCCATTGCACTTAGAAATTTTCCTGCTCTAACATCCTCTCTCTTCTTCTCAACTCCAAGTCTTAGTGATACTTTGAGGCCTAGCTTTAGAACTACTTCCCTTTAAAAGCCTTCTCTGACTATCCTAGTGGTAACAAGATGCCTGTTCATTCATGTCTGGCTAATGAAATTTCCTAAGACTTCTGAGCTGACAATGGCAGCCTGCTATAACCCTAGGTCTGTCTGACTTCAGAATCTATTCCCCTGCTGATAGAGAAAGCTAATCATAGAAAGAGGCACTAGTTACACAGTCTCCACTCAAGAAGAAATTGTATGTGGAAAAAGGTGGCCTTAAATCTGGTAAATTATTCTAATAACTGAGATTCCACCATATTACCAGACAGCTTGTTGATTACTCATGAAAAATGACTTCAGTCAGGGTTATCCCCTCTAAAGAAAATTGATGGCATTTTCTTAAAATTCTGAATGATTTTATTCAAGGATAAATGTAAATGATGTCAAGAAGCTTAAATTTTAAATATTATTTTTAATACATTAACACTTTCGAAGAACACTCTTGGGGGGCTGTTGTTTCTTAAATTTTTCTCCTTGGTTTTATGCCTTTATTCATCTCCATTTGTTTCTATTTCCCAAATCTATTAGCTTAGAAGTTCTTGTTTATTATCTGGATAATTGTCTGCCCCACCCCCCACTTTTTGGGGTAGAAACCTCCAGTAAGAGACCAGATGGGTTTTGAGCACTGGAGCAGGTCTTTGAATGCAAAGCTGAGATTTTTGCTCAATGAAAAAGAAAGTAAATAAGAGTGGAAGACTGTGATTATGTGACAGATATATTATTTTTTTCTTTAGGGAACCAGAAGAAAAAAAGAAAAAGAAAAAAGAAAAGAAGAGGTAAGACTTTGGCAAGAATTACCCCACATTTTTCTGCCCATAACATTTCTGTATTTTAATACTACTTGCTTAATTTTTTCAGCAAGTCAGATGATAAAAACGAAAATAAAAACGACCCAGAGAAGAAAAAGAAGAAAAAGGACAAAGAGAAGAAAAAGAAAGAGGAGAAAAGCAAAGATAAGAAAGAAGAGTAAGCACTTTTAGTGGCATTGAAATAGAAGGAAATTGTGATGGGTTTTAGATGCAGGGATGATTTTCCATAATACAAAGTAGAAAGAAACTTTATAGTAAAGAGCCCTGTGTAAAGACTAAATGTCTTTAAATATTGAAAAATAAACATTTAACATAAATTATCAGAAGTGAATTAAAACTTTTTCCAATTTCCCTAAAATTAGCAATGGTAGCATTATTCTTAATTCTCTCAAGAATTTTCACTGCTAGGGTTAATTCTCTTCCCTAAGCATTGGTGAAGATAACTTATCGCTGAGAAATATTTAGGTTCCAAGGAGGATTAGGTTTCTAGGATCCTACAATCATTTTAAAAACTGAAATAAAAATTTAATTTTTATTTTAATTACATTCTTATAAAGAGTGTGCAACCTAGATCCCTTGCACGCGCAGATCACAATAAGGTTTGTGCTCCTATGAGAATCTAATGCCACTGCTGATCTGACAGGAGGCCGAGCTCAGGCAGTAAACCTCCCTCACCCTGCAGCTCACCTCCTGCTGTGTGGCCCGCTGGGTTCCTAACAGACCACAGACCAGTACCGGCCCACAGCCCGGGGGTTGGGGACCCCAGATCTATGCCACTATTCCCTCTCAGTGGCTGAGGTATACAACTGACTGCAGCATCGCAGTGAAACCAGGGCTTTAGTAAAAACCTAATGTATGCTTTAATATAAGACTGGTCTTAATGAGAAGAGTGGCATTGTTTTACATTTTTACACATCTCTTTAACATTTAGCTTAATAAAACATAGCTGGCCTCTCAAAAAAAAAAAAAAAAAAAAAACTGGTAGTTTTGTTATCTATCCACCCCTCACTAACCACTTTCTTATGACTAGTGCTCTTATGCCATGCTAATCTTCACACTGCAGAGTGAGCTTCTCCAGCTTACTTCCATTTCATTAATTGTGGTTGATGGGCATAACGATGTTTAACATGGTAAATAAAAATGTTCTTGTATCTTGGTAACTATCCCCTTTATTTCTAATTGCCGCTAGGGAGAAGAAAGAAGTTGTGGTTATTGATCCCTCGGGAAACACATATTACAACTGGCTGTTTTGCATCACATTACCTGTTATGTACAACTGGACAATGGTTATTGCCAGGTGTCTATAATTTTTTTTTTTTTTTTTTGTGGATCTCACCCCATTTCTAGTTTCCAAGTTCACTGACTAAACAATTTGACTTAGAGCCCTTTAGGACACACCTCCTTTCTCTACTGCAGGTGGTAAAGAGAGGCTAGATTATTCTCAGTGTGTTTTCCTGGGATCAGGAGGAAGTGCTTCAGTTCTCAATATAATTGGGTCTGCAGTACTGGGATGCATGGAGGGGTCGGGGAAGACTTTTATTTTTTAATTTTTTTAACTTTTATTTGACGTTCGGGGGTACATGTGCAGGCTTGTTTTATAGGTAAACTCGTGTCACAGGGGTTTGGTGCACAGATTATTTTCTCACCCAGGTGTTAAGCCCAGTACCCAATCGTTATTTTTTCTGCTTCTCTCCCTTTTCCCACCTGCCACTCTCAAATAGACCCCAGTGTCTGTTGTTAGAGGGGAAGACTTTTAAACTTTTGGTTGTATAATAACTTAATTAGAACATCGGGAGAAACTATTTTCTTTGACCTATGAGAAAAAAATGTTGCCAATAGTGGAAAAAGATCAAGGATTTAATGTCTTTTAGATGGTAAACATCTCACTCATCCAAGACCAAGCACAACTTCCTAAAGCGTTTTGGGTACAGATAGTCAATACGAACCTGGTGATCGATGTGTTTCACCCAACATATTTTGATTTTAGTTTTAGGCCATTTATTTTTTTAATTTATTTAAAGATTTTTTTGTACAAATTTATCGGGTACATGTGAAATTTTGTTACTTGTATATAATGCATATAGTGTGATTAAGTCAGGGTATTTAGAGTGTCCATCACCCAAGTTCAATACATTTTTGTTAAGTATAGTCTGCTATCAAACATTGAATTTATTCCTTCTGTCTTACTGTATACTTGTACCCTTCAACCCACTTATTCTTATTGGATGTTTTTACTAAGCTGACTAGTATCATGGAAAGGATGTTGGAATTCAGAAGTGTGAGGATCGAAATCCAACCACTCAGGGAAAATATCGGGAGAGCCATGGTTAATTAAAGGACTCTAAGGACCTCTCCTAGCCTGAGTGTGCTGTGCTTCTCATCATGATAAAGAAAATATACAAAGAGAACTTTTACTTAAATTGGCCCCCATTTCTTTTTTATTTATACAAGTGTTTCTTTTTTTATAGAGCATGTTTTGATGAACTTCAATCTGATTACCTAGAATATTGGCTCATTTTGGATTACGTATCAGACATAGTCTATTTAATCGATATGTTTGTACGAACAAGGACAGGTAAATATGTTCAGTTTTGAATATTTTAAAATTTCATGCTTTTATCTCTAGCATTGTAATTTGACATTTCCTAATCCAAGTATTCTTCAAAGAAAACTCACAAAAATCTGTTCTAGAGAAAAAGGCACAGGTGAAGGCAAGAGTCACGATGTATAAACTCATAGGCTTAGATGACTCCAGCTGATTCAGAGGAAGTTACCAGGCAACTTTTTGACAAGTAGATGTGGCTTTCCTCCATTATCTTGTTCATTGGTTTTGTGCCAGGCGAGAGGAATAGAGAGAGCAGAAATATTCTGCCAGCTACAGGGGGAAGCTAACAGGGAGATAATGTAAAGAGTCGTGGGGAAAAATGTCATTGTCCTCAGCAGAGCCATATTCAAAATTTTATAAGAAGGAGGAAAAATGCACATAACTCAGCTTTGTGGTTTATGGTGAGATATTATTGACCAGAGGGGATAGCTTCTGAAGTATTTCTGTTAAGTAGGTAGAAGCTAATTGTTTCTACACTCTCACATGCAAATGTAACCATTATACACAGACTATAACCTTTTAAGAATCATTACGTAAAATTGAACATTCTCTAAATACTAGTATCCTGGAACAATGCCCTGTCATATTTGTAGCTTTGGTAGCCAGTTTAGGAGAAGGAGCAAATCCCTTTCCTAGTGTAATGTATCAGAGGGCTGAAATGCTGGGTTTAAAACACACAAGCCCATGGTAACAGCATAGGAGGGAAGATCCCAAGTGTCTAAGGGAGCAAGAATGAGAGATGAAAATGCAGCCTCAAAGGACACTTATGCTTCACATCGAAGGGGTAAGG
Organism: Homo sapiens; assembly: GCF_000001405.40. Lineage (NCBI taxonomy): Eukaryota > Metazoa > Chordata > Mammalia > Primates > Hominidae > Homo > Homo sapiens. The sequence goes on along the minus strand of NC_000004.12, from coordinate 47,939,942 downwards.
CAAGAATATGCAAAATAGACAGCACAGGGCAAGTACCCAAGCGTCCACGATAGGGCTGGGATTCTGACAAGACACTGGCGTGGGCTATTAGGCACATTGCTAGCGTGTTCAGGAAACCTTCCATGAACTGTGTACGGTGGGGAAAAAAAACAACAACCCATTGTATGTTACTATGCTCTCAATACAACACAATTCTGGTGACCAATATGTATATGGCGTTTCCTCTACACACCAAGCAATTCTGTAACACCAGCTGGGTTAAAATTTAACTGAATTTGGACACTAACGGGAGTTAGAACAGGCCCAACAGGTTAAGGGCTCAGTCTCCCAAGATGATCCCCCACTTCAGATGCCAGTCGTAAGTCTCAGGTTGTGGCTTGTGCTTCTGACTGACCAGCTATAAATTGGAGTTCCCACAGCTCCCTTGTGGGTCTAGTAATTTGCTAGCACAACTTACAGACCATAGGAAAACACTTATGTTTACTGCGCTATTATATTAATAAAGGGTATGATAATGAATACAGATGAAGAGCCAGATGAAGAGATACATAGGGCAAAGTCGGGAAGAGTCATGAGAACAGGGGCTTTTGTCCCCATGGAATTGGGGTGTGGCACCCTCCTAGTTCATAGATGTGTTCACTAACCTGATAATGCTCCAAACCCCATAGTTCAGGGATTTTTATAGAGGTTTTATCATGGAGGCATGATGGACTATTAACTCAGTCTCCAGTGCTTCTCCCTTTCCTGGATGAAGGAGGTTGGGGTAAAAGTTCCAAGCTTCTAAACATAACTTAGTCTTTCTGGTGACCAGCCCCATCTTGGACCTCACCAAGGGCTGCTTCATTAGACCAAAAGACACTTTTCTTTTTCTTTCTTTCCTCTTTCTTTCTTTCCTTCTTTCTTTCTTTCTCTTTCTTTCTTTCTTCTTTCTCTTTCTTTCTTTCTTTCTCTTTCTTTCTTTCTTTTCTTTCTTTCTTTCTTTCCCTCCCTCCCTCCATCCCTCTCTCTCTCTCTTTCTTTCTTTCTTTTTTTCTTTCAAATAATATCATAGAGACTTAAGCTGGTCTCAAACTCCTGCACTCAAGGGATCCTCCTGCCTCAGCCTTCCAAAGTGCTGGGATTACAGGTGTGAGCCACTACACCTGGCCAGAACAAAAGACATTTCTATCACCCAGGAAATATCAAGGGATAAAGAGCTCTGTTTCAGGAACTGGGGTCAAGAACCAAATACCACAACAAAAGATGGACTTAGGGCCGCGCTCAGTGGCTCATGCCTGTAATCCCAGCACTTTGGGAGGCCAAGGCAGGTGGATCACGAGGTCAGGAGATCAAGACCAGCCTGGCCAATATGGTGAAACCCTGTCTCTACTAAAAATACAAAAATTAGCTGGGCGTGGTGGCACGTGCCTGTAGTCCTAGCTACTCAGGAGGCTGAGGCAGAAGAATTGCTTGAAGCCAGAGGCGGAGGTTGCAGCAAGACGAGATTGCACCACTGCACTCCAGCCTAGGTGACAGAGCAAGACTCTGACTCAAAAAAAAAAAAAATGCACTTAGTAACCATATTGCTTAGGAAATTACAAGAGTTTTAAGAGTTCTGTGCCAGGGACCAAATATATATATATATATATCTCACAATATCACAAGAATGCTACTCATGAAAGGAATGGCTTTACCTGGATGGTGATGATAGACCTTGAGAGATTTGTACACTCTCACTTTTGCACTTACAAAATTTTTCTTTTTTTCTTTTTTTTTCTTTTTTTTTTTTTGAGACAGGGTCTCGCTGTTGCCCAGGCTGGAATGCAGTAGTGCTATCATGGCTCACTGCAGCCTCAAACTCCCAGGCTCAAGTGATATTGGGTCTCAGCCTCCCAAAGCACTGGGATTACAGATGTGAGCTGTCTGGCCAAAATTTTACCTTTTATTTCTACAGCAGAATATTTTCTACAGCCATAGGTTTATTAGTATTTGTATTTTATTACATTGTTAAAGGCATATTTATTGAAAATGAATTTTTCTGTTGACCTCAACAAAGTTAATTGACAGTTATTCACAAAAATTCACAATGACATAAAAAGGAGAAACACTGAATTGATTTTATTTTCTATTTTAGGTTACCTAGAACAAGGACTGCTGGTAAAGGAAGAACTTAAACTCATAAATAAATATAAATCCAACTTGCAATTTAAACTTGATGTTCTGTCACTGATACCAACTGATTTGCTGTATTTTAAGTTAGGGTGGAACTATCCAGAAATTAGATTAAACAGGTTGTTACGGTTCTCTCGTATGTTTGAGTTCTTCCAGAGAACAGAAACAAGGACAAACTATCCAAACATCTTCAGGATTTCCAACCTTGTTATGTATATCGTCATCATTATCCACTGGAATGCATGTGTGTTCTACTCTATTTCTAAAGCTATTGGATTTGGAAATGATACATGGGTCTACCCTGATATTAATGATCCTGAATTTGGCCGTTTGGCTAGAAAATACGTATACAGCCTTTACTGGTCTACACTGACTTTGACTACCATTGGTGAAACACCCCCTCCCGTGAGGGATTCTGAGTATGTCTTTGTGGTGGTTGATTTCCTAATTGGAGTGTTAATTTTTGCTACCATCGTTGGTAACATAGGTTCTATGATTTCCAACATGAATGCAGCCAGAGCAGAATTTCAAGCAAGAATTGATGCTATCAAGCAATATATGCATTTTCGAAATGTAAGCAAAGATATGGAAAAGAGGGTTATTAAATGGTTTGACTACCTGTGGACCAACAAAAAAACAGTTGATGAGAAAGAAGTCTTAAAGTATCTACCTGATAAACTAAGAGCAGAAATTGCCATCAACGTTCACTTAGACACATTAAAAAAGGTACGCATTTTTGCTGATTGTGAAGCTGGTCTGTTGGTGGAGTTGGTCTTGAAATTGCAACCCCAAGTCTACAGTCCTGGAGATTATATTTGCAAGAAAGGGGATATCGGACGAGAGATGTACATTATCAAGGAAGGCAAACTCGCTGTGGTGGCAGATGATGGAGTCACTCAGTTTGTGGTATTGAGCGATGGCAGCTACTTCGGTGAGATCAGCATTCTTAACATTAAAGGGAGCAAAGCTGGCAATCGAAGAACGGCCAATATTAAAAGTATTGGCTACTCAGACCTGTTCTGTCTCTCAAAAGATGACCTCATGGAAGCTCTAACTGAGTACCCAGATGCCAAAACTATGCTGGAAGAGAAAGGGAAGCAGATTTTAATGAAAGATGGTCTACTGGATCTAAACATTGCAAATGCTGGCAGTGATCCTAAAGATCTTGAAGAGAAGGTTACTCGAATGGAGGGGTCAGTAGACCTCCTGCAAACCAGGTTTGCCCGAATCTTGGCTGAGTATGAGTCCATGCAGCAGAAACTGAAACAAAGATTAACCAAGGTTGAGAAATTTCTGAAACCGCTTATTGACACAGAATTTTCAAGTATTGAGGGACCTGGAGCGGAAAGTGGGCCCATCGACTCTACATAGAACCGAAAAGCTGGTCATTAACAGGGACATGCCTCATGATCCTTTTGATCCTATGACTGACATCAACTAAAATTTAAAAGAAGAGGAAGACTCAGTTGGGAAATTTTTCCATGAGGAAAATGTGCTTTGGTGCAAGGTACAAGGCCCACACCCTCTCTGAGAGATACTATGATTAAAAAAGCTTTATATCTTGGGATTTTTCACAACTGATAATGTGCAAAGATATAAACTGATTAACTTGTCAGTGTCTGTATTTTCTGATTTTTTCACATACGCTCATTTTATGTAATATTCTTCATAAAAATGAATAAGTAGCCCTCACTTTCATGCCATTTCCATTGTTGAGTGAAGCGTATTTGAAGTAACTGAGAATTACCATGTACATCATATTTGGGATAACATTTTTAAAAATTAGACTGCAATAAAGTAAAATTAATTATGCAACTGTAGTGAAAATGAGTTATTTGATAATTTAGCAGGCAGTTTAGGATCTTGCAGAACTTCAGGGTCATTTTAAGGAAAATCAATTATTTTTGTAGTCTAGGACTGAGAAAGAGTGGTTGAGAGAAACTTTTTACCAATAAAGCATGATAAATCAGACTTTATGAATATATATATATATACACACATAGATATAGAGATATATTACATTGAAAATCATAAAATGTTTTAGGAATCTTTTATATTAAATTTTAATTTTTTTCTGATTACTAAGACCTGACAGCAGTGGCTATTTTTTTACTTCTCTGCCTGGCCAGCAGTAAGAAAAAGGGATAAAGTAATAATATTTCTGGACGATTAACAAGGGAAATTGTCATAATGTTAAAAAAGGCGACTTGAAATTTCTGGAGACCAGCATGAGCATCACCTGGGAGCTTCTCAGAAATGCAGAATCCTGGGCTCTACCCCTACCTACTGCATCAGAATCTGCATCTTAGCAAGTGTTTCATATTCACGTTGAAGCTTGAGAAGCATGCATGTAGAGAACCAGGAAGGAGTTAATGAGAGGATGGTCCTAGAAAAGAAAAGGAAACTATCTGGCAAGTGTGTGGATGTGGAAAACATTGGTAATCAATCAGCCATCTTCTGCTGAACCCAGATGTGGCTCAAAAAATCTTTCTTAACACAGATCACTAGAAGATTTCTATCCCTATCTATAATGACATGATTAAAAATGGCTTCTTGTTAATTTGACATTTCAGATACTTAAACAGACCTTGCTTGGGGTATGCTGATGGCATATTTTATTCTATTGTACCAGTAGAATATCCATTGAACTATACATTATGTCTTTGAAGTCCTGTGTTTCCATTCATCTTGGCTGTTCCTTCAATATCTTCACTACAGAAATGTCTAGTCCTGGAGTGGGTGCGTTGTATATAATACCATAACGTATTTCTCTCTGACACAAGTTCTCCTTTTCCTTTCTTTTTCTTCTTGTTCTTGTTATTACTTCTTCATCTGCGTTTTGTTCTTTTTCTCTGTGCCATTTCTTGCCTGTTATAAAAACCTCTAAGACAGTGTAAAGAGGCTTACTGGCTACCCATACCAGGTAGATATGGTAAGATAGGGAGAATGAGGGTTACATACCTGGCTTAGAGCTGGCTCCCAAGAAGAAGCACCCCTAATTACAGCATCCAGGACTAGGGTGAATACTTTGACTCTCATCTGGGCTAGAGATATAGCCAAGGATTCTGATTTGGTGACCCCTGGCCCAAGCTCTATAGTCTTGCTGATGCTTACATTGGACAGGTGGCTGATTCTTGGCTCAAAGTCTTGGGGTAAGGCGAATTTAGCCAACTATTCTTTTTTTCGTGACTCCTCCATGTAGAGAGGAATCTGATGTGCTGAAATTGCACTGTGGGCTTTAGTTTACAGGCACCTGGGGTGCAATGCAGAGGTTCATAATTGGATTCCAGCTTCATCAGGGAGTTTTTTTAAAGACAGGAAACATATGGCTTTAGGGAAATTCATGATAAGAGTGTTGACTTGGGTACATGTGGATGCTAAAGCAGGAACTCATCTTTTAGCAACCCAGACACCAGCCATATTCCAAGTTGATTCTAGACGCCAATTGGTCATCCAGAACTAGCATCTTAACATATGAGGACTAGAACAGGTTTGGCATAAGGACAGGAGTGAGGGTGGGGAGGTGGGTAGGATGAAATCTGAAGATCCTTAATACCTGTGTCTGAGAGGAGCTGGGACTCAGAGATGGTAGATCAGTGAGGGAATAGAAATTCAATCTCTAGTCTTGCCAATAAGTCTGGTGCGTGTTTACCCTGTTCTTCTGCCAACTCTATTATAATATAGAGTTCTCATAGGAAGAGACTGCTTTAACATTTTGCATACATTAAAAAAAAAACCCGTTTCCAACTTAAAATATGGTGTGATTAAGCTTCCTACCATTAGGTGGCAATGTAGGTCTACAATTATAACCTTGAAAGCCCGAAGCTGTTTAGAGATTACAAGCGGTGTAATCAGTGCTCTTTGGCAATAAAGAGTAATATTTCTCTGACACAAATATTTCCAGAAGATTTTAGTATACAAACTATATACTAGTTTGAACTGAAAACATAATCAAATAAAATTTAAAATTTAAATTTAATTGATAAAGTAATAAGACACATTGAAGCATTTGAATATTTCTTAATTTCAGGAAGTTCACCAAGGGAATAATAATAATTACATTACAAAAAGCTTACTGATGTTTAAGACATGTACTAGAGATAAACAAAAGGGGACAAAATGGAGCAAACGGTGTTTATATTAAAATTAAGTTTACATTTTTATTTTTAAAAAGTCCATTGCTTTAAAAAGTCTTAAAACTACTGATTTAACAGTATTGGAAATAAACCTACTTAGGACACTGTAAATTTAGGTAATGTTCTTCCTCGTGTTAACTGAAACTGTGTTATTGGATGCCCAGGTTTATAGACTGTTCAGAATACAAAATATGAATCAACAGGTGTGTAGACTCAAAAGAAATAGTTTGATATCCCCTAAACTAGTTTATCTCTAGGTGAAGAAGAAAGAAAGTGGGGAATTCAAGGAAAGGGAAAGGAGAATGTAGAAAGGCCTCAGAGATCATCTAGTCCATCCCTACTCATTTTACAAATACAAAAATCATGGCCAGGCAATAGTAAGGTTGTTGAGAATGTAGAGTATTAGAAACTGAGTGAGAGTGGGAATCTTTTTTTTTTAAACTGAGTCTCACTGAGGGAGGCAGGAGGCAGCCACATGCCTAGGCAGATAGGGGCAGGTCCCTGGTGAAACACCACCTCCAAGCTGAAGACAGTTTAAAGCCTGAAAGCCAAGCTACAAGTTAAATTCTCAGACCAGATTGAGAACTTGTCTTTCCGTTTGGCATGCTTTCCTCTGATTGATCCCCACCCTTCACCTACTTTACATATACCTACCCTTTTCTGTTGGTTTTCTACACTGTTGTGCCCACCTTTGAGTGATGTCTTCACTTTAATCTTTTTTGCATACTCACAAACCAATCAGCATGCACTTCCTATTCTGAGCCCATAAAAGGCCCCAAGCTCAGCCATACTGGGGGACTTTTTCCCACCTTTGGGTAGGGGAACCACCCCCACTACCCCACGTCCCCGCTTTGCTGAGAGCTTTCCTTTCGCTTAATAAATTCTACTCCACTCACTCTCCAGTGTCCATGTGCCTAATTCTTCCTGGTCATGAGACAAGAACTTGGACCAACTTGGACCTACTTGGACCTACTTGGACCTACACACACGTGCCACCACACCTGGCTAATTTTTGTATTTTTAGTGGAGATGGAGTTTCACCACGTTGGCCAGGCTGGTCTCAATCGCCTGACCTCGTGGTCCGCCCACCTCATCCTCCCAATGTGCTGGGATTACAGGGGTGAGCCACTGCACCCAGATTTTTTTTTTTTTTTTAGTTAGGGTTTACTCCCCTCTCCCAGGCTGTAGTGTAGCGGCTACAATCTTGGCTCATTGCAACCTCTGCCTCCTGGGTTAAAACGATCCTCCTGCCTCAGCCTCCTGAGTAGCTGGGCCTACAGACAGGCATGTGCCACCAGGCCTAGCTACATTTTTTTTTTTTTGAGAGGGAGTCATGCTCTGTCACCCAGGCTGGAGTGCAGTGGCATGATCTCAGCTCACTGCAACCTCTGCCTCCCAGGTTCAAGCAATTCTCCTGCCTCAGCCTCCCAAGTAGCTGGGATTACAGGCATCTGCCACCACGCTGGGTTAATTTTTGTATTTTTTGTAGAGTTGGGGTTTCACCATGTTGCCCAGGCTGGTCTTACTTAACTCCTGAGCTCAAGCGATCTGCCAGCCTCGGCCTCCTAAAGTGCTGGGATTACAGGCATGAGCCACCACACCTGGTCAGTGCTGACTTTTATGTGTACACACAATATCACCTATACAAAGTTTACAAAAAAACACAAAGCATTAAATCGTGTTTATGAATCTGCACATATGATATAGACGTTTAATATCAGCCAGGAGAATGGCAGATGACAGAAATCAGAGTAGTGCTTACTTCTGTGGGGGATGAAGGACAATGAGATGGGAGGGAGGGTGAGAAATACCTAGCACCTCAGCTGTCTGTGCTCTTTCATATCTTTTAAAACAAATGGATCCAAATGTTAAGCAAATGGATCCAAATGTTAAGATTTGATAAAGCTAGCTACAGATATCTGTATATTGCTCTCTATAATTTTTGATATGTTTGAACTATTCCAAAAAAATAAAAAGAGAAGAGTTCAGTATAAATTCACACAGCTAGTTCAGTGGCAAAGCCTGGACTTTTGACCCTGGGTTCAGTGCTTACTTCACTATGACATTGGACTTGATTGCTTTCTACACAGACCAAGTTGAATGCCTTATGGGGTTCTACTTGGTGATAACATGCCTGTTATCCATATGTTTCTACTTTAAGCTGGCCAGAGTGCATGTTGAGTGAATTTGGGACAATGCTTCATAGAATTACATTTTAAGTCTGTCTCTTGATTTCCTGACTGGTTAGAGATGAACGAATGCATTTTTCATCAATGTATCCCTTTGGGATTCTGAAAATAGCAATTTACCACAAAATTACTCACCAGCCTGACAATGTTCGTTCTTAAAAGAGTTGATATTGGATTTCTTGTCAGATTGCCAATTTCTCCTCTTTCCAATTAGATTCATTTTTGTTTTATCTGGGCTGAGCTTCAGCCAGTCTTGGACTTGGTCCAATGAGCTACTTGGGTTATTTCTTCAGAGAGCAGGGAGCCTGTTTACCTGGGTTTCTCACAAAGATTCCAACTTCTCCTCTTTCCAATCAGGTTCATTTTTGTTTTATCTGGGCTGAGCTTCAGACAACCTTGGACTTGGTCCAAAGAGCTGCTTGAGTTATTTCTTCAGAGAGCAGGGAGCCTGTTTCCTGGATTTGTCACAAAGACTCATGATGCCAAGGAGTGCAGGTACTTTGGTGGCACCAAAGTCCATGGTGTTCCATGATCTCCCCCAGTGGTATCATTGCTTACTCTCCTCAGAAAGAATGACAGATGAGCCACCCAGTGGCACTCAAGGGATGAACATTTGCCCACTGTTATCAGGGGGTCTCTAGGATAGGAATATAATTTTCCCCACTCATTTTAAAATTTAATAAATCACTTCCAGCTCCTCACTTTACAAAAAAACAAAACAAAACAAAACAAAAAAACCCTGATAATTAATTGATCTACATTACCAGTATTTCCATTGTTCCATTCACATGTAATTTCACAATGCCTAAAGAGGACAAATACCGGTGGATGGGCTTTACTCAGTATGGATAAACTCCACTGGATAAATTCAGTGTGAATAAATTCCACTGGAGTACACTTAGGGTAGAATAATTCAAATTATACTTTAAAAATGATTGGCTCTAAGAAATCAAATGCAATTGAGACCTACATAAGGAGTTTTGTAGCCAGTAAGAAATTGCAAAAATATGCCAAAGAGGTTTGGTTTCATTAGAAATAACTTTTAAGAAATATTTTCTTGCATTTGTAGAAAATGACGAGGCTTCTGAGCATAGATAGTTGAACGAATTTCTGCTTCGTGAACCCTGAATATATTTTATCAGAAGGTCTAGAGAATAGTTGCCATATGTGAATAAATAGTGATGGGGAGGGGACATGGGACTCTAGTCCAGAAACACAAAGGCTAAGAGAAATATGGACCCCAGACCTGAAGTTTCCAGTTTCCAAAAGAGTCTCATGCTCAAAACACAGCCCTGAACAAAGAGCCACTGCACCTGAAGGATCCATACCATATGGACATGTGGGCTCTGCACTCTGATGACAATAACTAGAAGCATTCTCCAGTGCAGTGGCGATCACATTAGATCTTAGTGACTTTCCACTACAGTATCCAGGATGGGGGCCGGGCTGAAGAATGTCTGAGATAAGTATGTCACGATGGACAAACACTACAAGTTCCTATGGAAAGTTTACAACTTTCACTTGTGCACAAGTTTCTAGATCCTCTTTTCTACTATCTTCCACTCCACCTCCCACGTGTTATCACTTTTTCCTTCTCTATGGGATAGTCCCCATAGTGCACAATGCCTCAAATATTAATACCTGATGCTTGACCCCATTTCTGTTTCCTGTTAACACCCTTTTTCTTTGTTCTCCTTTCTTGTAAAACTATTTTGTAGCATTTGTTCTTGTAGAATTTTTTTCTTATTGTTCTTTCTTGAATCTGACAGAATTAAGACTTGCTACTACCACTCCACTGAAACCTCTCATCAAGGTCACCAGTGACCCCTATATGGCTAAATCTAATGGTCAGTTCTCAGTCCAAGACTTATTAGACCACTTGGTAACACTTGACAGAAATGATCACTCCCTCTTTCTTGAAACACTTTCTTCACTTGGCTTTTGGTCAGTTCTCTGCCTGAACTTCCATCTCCCTTGCTTTCTCCTAATCGTCAGGTCTTTAAATATCAAAGTATTGTGTAGCCATGATATTCACTCCATAAGTGAGCTCATATATCTTATGACACTTTATAATGTCTATGTGTTGAAGACTGCCAAATTTGTATCTCCACCCTCTCCTCTGAACTCCAGACTTGCATATTCAACTACATACTTGATATATCCTTTGGTGAGAACTTGATGTGCCCTAAACAGAACTCATGATATTGTCCTCAAATCCGTTCCTTCCCTAATATTCTCCATCTTAGTAAATGGCACCTACCACTTCTTCAGGTGAAAAACTTTGGGTCATCTTTTCTTGCCTCTTAGTCTCATACCTAATATCTAATCTGTCAGTAAATGTTGTCAACTCAATCTTCAAAATATAACCTGAATCTGACCATAACTCACCTTTTCTACTCCTAGTCCAAACCACCACCTTTCACCTAAACAAGTACAGTAGCCTCTTAACAGGTCTCTTTAATTTCACTCTTGCTTCCCTTCCAGCAATGGTCCATTTCCCTGTAGTAACCACTGTGATCATTTAAAAACATTATTAGATCATGTAACTCCCTTGCCTCAGCTTGCTAAAAATTAAATAAAAAATTCCCACCATAGTCCTACCTATTAAAGGACTTTTGATTACCTCTCCAGTTTAATTGCCTACAACTCTTCTGCCTGCTCATTCTCTTTCAGTGAGATCAGCCTGCCTGCTGTTCCTGAAATACACCAAATATATTACTTTTTCTTGGTCCTTATACTTTCCATTTCCTCATCTGGGGAAATTCTTCCCCCAGTGTCCAGTGGCTTATGCTGTCCCTTTATTCAGGTCTCTGTTCAAATGTCACCCTATTACAGTGGTTTCTGGAACTACCTGATTTAAATTCAAACCGTCTTCACCTTATCTGCCTGCACAGATCATAATTTGACATTATATGTTTATTATCTGTCTTCTCTACTAAAACGAAAGTTCCATGAGTACAGGTCCTTTATTTTATGTATTGCTCATTTCCAGTGCCTGGAAAGTGCCTGGGATATAATAGGGGATCAATAAACGTTTCTTGATTTAATTAATAAACAGGTAAATTTTCCAACCCATCCTGGAAAGATAAAACTCAAGAGCTCAAATTAAGTTGATTGAAAGACTAGAATTACTGAAGCATTACTATTTGCACATCTGAATTTGTAAACCGGGGGTCAGACCTACTACAATTTTAATTCTAGTTGGCCATTCTACCACAAGGCCCTCCCCATCTCAAAGCATCCTATCTCTATATTAGTTTTCCTGAAAAATATTGCTTTTATGATGTTACCTCCCTTTTCTTAAACCTCATAATGGTTATCTACCATCAACATTGAGACCAAACTTTTCTACTTCTGTTTTCAAGGTCTTTGCTAACCCTATTTATCACCTTGGCTGTGGGATTCAACAGAATTTTCTCCATTCTGATCCCAAGCACGGGCTATGCTTATTTTCATATTTAAACTTTGACTCATGACATCCCTACCACTCAGAATGCCTCCTTCCATTCAAATCTCACCTTTCCCTTAATCATTTTCTTAGTTCTCAGCAACTTCATGACCTCTTTATCCTTACCTTTGTACTTTACATACAGTGAACCCTTCCCATCTCTGAGTATGTCTGTCCAGTGCCTGACAATACTGAATATCTGTTAGACTCCATTACTTATTGATTGACAAATTATTTAGCTGAGTATTTGAAAAAATGTATATTAAATATGGTGAGTGCTTAGTTTATTTTCTCTGTTATGAAGGTTATTCTAAAAAAGTAAAATGATAGTCCAGTTTTGTTCAAATTACTTTATTTTAATGAAATTCATATTATACAGTACTTTTTTAATCATTAGAGTATTACTAAGTAGTGCAAAAAAGGATTCAGTCCCCTAAAGTTAGGGCTGGCTAGGAAAGTCAATGTGATAATTTAATTTTTCTAATTTTCCTCTGCCCTACCCATGGCAGAACAGCTTTCTTATTTTGCCTGGTAAATTTGCACTTCATGATATTTTTTCTTTTTCCTTTTTCTTTTCATTCCTGAAGTTTGGTTGGGTCATATTAGTATTTCAAGTAAAATTGATATAAAACGTATACAGTGCCTGTGTCAGTCAGGGTCCAATTAACAACAAAAGCACACATTGGGTTAAATTTAATACAAAGATTTATTAAACTTCGATAAAAGAACAACTACAAGGAAACTATGGTATTCTAGACCTGGGGGGGCAGGTACATAAGGAAGGACAATAAGAGTTCAGATCTTATTGGAGAAGGTGTAGTTCAGCACACTGGATAGCAAAGACGCTTGCTGGTCTGTTCTAGTCAGAGCTGGTCTGCAGTCCTGGGCAAGTAGGAAGTAACTCTTTGGAATGCATGTAGAACACAGTAATCAGTGATCAGGGTGCACTTGCACATAGAGATTAGGGGCTGGGATACAGGTGAGCTGTGCCTGGATCTGCAATGGGTGGGAGTGGAGGCAGGTGCTGGGACTTGCGGGAGGAAATGTCAGTAGCAAAATGAGTGGTGGTTTAGGGCACCTGGGGTGAGCCGGAGGGCTTTGGGGCCCGTTTCCCCGTACGAAAACTGCTCAGGAATGTTATCGCCAGTCCAGACCGAGGCTGCAAGATCGCAGACATTCTGTGTAGCAGTCAGAAACACTGGGAGACCACGGTCCTTCTCACAGTGCCTCTTCGGCGCCCTCTACTGCAAAAACAGAACATCGTGCTCTGTGGAGATGCTGAAAGGAGTGTCAACTGTTACACGGCATATACGTAAACATGAATTGGAGCAGAGAGGCAATACATTGGTAACTGGCACAATGTTTACCTAAGTATAGATGTACTTATCAAGTATAAGTGTATTTGAGAAGTTGCGTATGAATACTTTGGCAAAAACAATCCATATTAAGAGAACATGTCAGTAATGAATAAATACAATGACAGTCGTCCCTTGGTATACTCTGGGGAATGGTTCCAGGATCCCCATGTATACCCAAATCCAAGCATACTCAACTCCTCCAGTTGGCCCTGTGGAACCCGCATCTTTTTGCATAGCATTTTATTAATGTATCACAATTTACTTTTCTATTCTCCTGTTGATGACATTACAGTTGCTTCTGGGTTTTGGCTATCTTGAATATACCTGCTATAAACATGAGTTTCTGTGAAGCTATGCACTCATTTCGTGTGTGTGCATAAAAAGAAGTGGAATTGCTTGGTCATAGTGCTTTAGTAGTGGGCCATGTTTAGCTTTAGTAGATGCTGCTAAACATTTTTTGAGTGTTTGAACCAATATCCATTCCTACCAGAAAGTATGAGAGTTCTAGTTTCTCCATATTCTTGCAAACAGTTGGTATTGTCAGTCTTTTTGTTTTTAGCTATTCTTGTGGATACTTTTTTAAAAAATTAAATTAAATATAAATGTACAATTGTAGTTCTCAATATTTAACCCGTCTGTTCTGATAAATACAAAAACCTGTTTCTCTCAAATGCTATCTGAAATTTCAAAGTAAAAATAACAGCAATGATATTTAAAAAATTTTTTATTTCCAAAGCTTTCGGGGTACAAGTGGTTTTTTTGTTACATGGATGAATTATATAGTGGTGAATTCTGAGATTTTAGCCCACCCATGGCCAGAGTAGTGTACATTGTTACCTAATGTGTAGTTTTTTTTTATCCTCAGCCCCCTCCTATCCTCCCCCATCTGATTCTCTAAAGTCGATTGTATCACTCTGTATGTTTTTGCCTACTTGTAACTTAGCTTCCACTTATAAGTGTGAACATACAGTTTTTGGTTTTCCGTTCCTGTGTTACTTAGACTAATGGCCTCTATCTCCATCCAAGTTTCGGCAAAAGGTATTATTTCATTCCTTTAATGGCTGAGTAGTATTCCATGGTGTATATACACCACATTTTCTTTGTCCACTCGTTAGTTGATGGGCACTTACGTTGGTTCCACATCTTTGCAATTGTGTATTGTGCTGCTGTCAACATACGTGTACAAGGGTCTTTTTCATATGATGACGTCTTTTCCTTTGGGTAGATATCTAGTAGTGGGATTGCTTGATCAAATGGTAGATCTACTTTTAGCTCTTTAAGGAATCTCCTCCATACTGTTTCCCATAAAGGTTGTACTAATTTAAATTCCTACCAGCAGTGTGTAAGCATTCCCTTTCCCCACATCCACATAAACATCTATTGTTTTTTGATGTTTTAATAATGGCCATTCTTGCAGGAGTAGGGTGGTATCTCATTGCAGTTTTAATTTGCTTTTCCATCATGAGTGATGTTGAGCACTTTCTCATGTTTTTTGGCCATTGTAGATCATCTTTTGAGAAATGTCTATTCATGTCCTTTGCCCATTTTGTCCACTTGTTTTGTTTTTTTTTTCAGAGGGAGCCTCACTTTGTTGCCCAGGCTGCAGTGCAGTGGCGCAATCTCGGCTCACTGCAACCTCTGCCTCCTGGTTTCAAGTGATGCTTAAGCCTCAGTCTCTCAGTTGTAGCTGAGACTACAGGTGTGCACCACTATGCCTGGCTAATTTTTGTATTTTTAGTGGAGATGGGGGGTCTTACTATGTTGTCCAGGCTGGTCTCGAACTCCTGAGCTCAAGCGATTCGCCCACCTCAGCCTCCCAAAGTGCTGGGATTACAGATGTGAGCCACCAGGCCCGGTCTTTGCCAGCTTTTTAATGGGATTATTTGTTTTCTTTTTCTTGCTGATTTGTTTGAGTTCCTTGTAGATTCTGGAAACTAGTCCTTTGTTGGATGCATCTTGCAAATATTTTCTCCCCTTCTGTGGGTTGTCTGTTTACTTTGCTGATTATTTCTTTTGCTGTGCAGTAACTTTTAAATTAGGTTCCATTTACTTATCTTTGTTTTTGTTGCATTTGCTTTTGGGGTCTTAGTCATGAATTATTTCCCTAGGGCAATGTCTAGAAGAGTTTTTCCAACATCGTCTTCTAGAATTTTTAGTTTCAGGTCTTATATTTTAGTCCTCGGTCCATCTCGAGTTGATTTTTGGATAGGATGAGAGATAGGGATCCAGTTTCATTCTTCTACATGTGGCTTTCCAGTTTTCTCAGCATCATTTATTAAATAGGGTGTCCATTCCCCAATTTATGTTTTTGTATGCTTTGTTGTAGATCAGTTGGCTGTATGTATTTGGCTTTATATCTGAATTCTCTATTCTGTTCCATTGGTCTATGCATCTACTTTTTTTTTTCCCAGTACCATGTTGTTTTGATATCTATAGCCTTGTAGCATACTTTGAAGTCCAGTAATAGGATGTCTCCAGATTTGTTCTTTTTGCTTAGGATTGCTTTGGCTGTTCAGGCTCTTTTTGGTTCCACATGAATTTTAGGATTGTTTTTTCTACTTCTGAGAAAAAGTGATGCTGGTAGTTTGATGGGAATTGCATTGAATCTGTAGATTGCTTTGGGCAGTATGTTCCTTTTCACAATGTTGATTATTCCAATCTATGAACATGGAATGTGTTTCCATTTGTTTATGTTGTCTATGATGGCTTTCAGCAATGTTTCGTAGCTCTCCTTGTAGAAGCAATGGTAATTTTTGAAAATGTGTTCTCAACTTACATATGCTTCCACTTTATGATCTATACTAGCTCTCCACTGCAAAAATTTACAATGATAATACAACAAATGTTTGTTTTCTCACTCAGCGAGCACAAAAGATTATTTCTGATTCCAAAGTGATTATTGTGTTTATCACTTTTAATTGTATAATATGGCAGGGGAAAAATCCTGATTATATGAGCCCTTTCCCTGTTTAGGTACTTTAAAAATAACTGGAATTTCTAGGTAAACATTAAATGCATATACACAGTCATCATTTGCCTGGTGGTTAAGAGTATAGGCCAGGAGTCACACTACCCATTTGCAATCCTAGCTCTGCTAGTATGTTGAATAAGAAATTGTTTTGATGGGGGAGTTGCTGAATAGGAACAGCTCTGGTCTACAGCTCCCAGCGAGATCAACACAGAAGACAGGTGATTTCTGCATTTCTGCAGAAACGTGACTTCTGCATTTCTGCAGATACGTGACTTCTGCATTTCTGCAGAAACGTGACTTCTGCATTTCTGCAGAAACGTGACTTCTGCATTTCTGCAGAAACGTGACTTCTGCATTTCTGCAGAAACGTGACTTCTGCATTTCTGCAGAAACGTGACTTCTGCATTTCTGCAGATATGTGACTTCTGCATTTCTGCAGAAACGTGACTTCTGCATTTCTGCAGATATGTGACTTCTGCATTTCTGCAGATATGTGACTTCTGCATTTCTGCAGATATGTGACTTCTGCATTTCTGCAGATATGTGACTTCTGCATTTCTGCAGATATGTGATTTCTGCAGGTGATTTCTGCATTTCCAAGTGAGGTACCTGGTTCATCTCGTTGGGACTGGTTGGAAAGTGGGTACAGCTGAAGCAGGGCGGGGCATCATCTCACCTGGGAAGCACAAGGGGTCGGGGGATTTCCCTTTCCTAGCCAAGGGAAGCCGTGAGTGACTGTACCTGGAGGAATGGTACACTGCTGCCCAAATATTGTGCTTTTCCCACAGTCTTCGCAACCGGCAGACCAGGAGATTCCCTCCTGTGCCTGGCTCAAAGGGTCCCATGCCCACGGAGCCTCACTCGCTACTAGTGCAGCAGTCTGAGATCAACCTGGGATGCTGGAGCTTGGTGGGGGAAGGGGCATCCACCATTGCTGAGGCTTGAGTAGGCAGTTCTATGCTCACAGTGTAAACAAAGTGGCAGGGAAGCTCGAACTGGGTGGAGCCCACCGCAGCACAGCAAGGCCTACTGCCTACCGAGATTCCACCTCTGGGGGCAGGGCATATCTGAACAAAAGGCAGCAGATAGCTCCTGCAGACTTAAACGTGACTGCCTGATAGCTCTGAAGAGAGCAGTCGCTCTCCCAGCATGGCGTTCGAGATCCGATAATGGACAGAGTGCCTCCTAAAGTGGGTCCCTGACCCCATGTAGCCTGACTGAGAGACACCTCCCAGTAGGGGCCACAGACACCTCATTCAGGCAGGTGCCCCTCTGGGATGAAGCTTCCAAAGGAAGGATCAGGGAGCAATATTGGCTGTTCTGCAGCCTCCGCTGGTGAAACCCAGGCAAACAGGGTCTGGAGTGGACTTCCAGCAAACTCCAATAGACCTGTAGCTGAGGGTCCTGTCTGTTAGAAGGAAAACTAACAAACAGAAAGGAATAGCATCAACATCAACAAAAAGGACATCCACACCAAAACCCCATCCGTAGGTCACCAACATCGAAGACCAAAGGTAGATTAGACCACAAAGATGGGGAGAAACCAGAGCAGAAAGGCTGAAAATTCCAAAAACCAGAATGCCTCTTCTCCTCCAAAGGAACACAACTCCTCGCCAGCAAGGAAACAAAACTGGATGGAGAATGAGTTTGACGAGTTGACAGAAGTAGGCTTCAGAAGATCAGTAATAACAAACTTCTCCGCGCTAAAGGAGCATGTTCTAACCCATCGCAAGGAAGCTAAAAACCTTGAAAAAAGATTAGAGGAATGGCTAACTAGCATAACCAGTGTAGAGAAAAGCTTAAATGACCTGATGGAGCTGAAAGCCACAGTACGAGAACTGCGTGAAGCATACACAAGCTTCATGAGTCAATTCGATCAAGCGGAAGAAAGGATATCAGTGATTGAAGACCAAATTAATGAAATAAAGTGAGAAGACAAGATTAGAGAAAAAAGAGTGAAAAGAAACAAAGCCTCCCAGAAATATGGGACTATCTGAAAAGACCAAATCTACATTTAATTGGCATACCTGAAGGTGATGGGGAAAATGGAAAGAAGTTAGAAAACATTCTTCAGGATATTATCCAGGAGAACTTCCCCAACCTAGCAAGGCAGGCCAACATTCAAATTCAGGAAATACAGAGAACACTACAAAGATACTCCTCGAGAAGAGCAACCCCAAGACACATAATTGTCAGATGCACTGAGGTTGAAATGAAGGAAAAAATGTTAAGGGCAGCCAGAGAGAAAGGTCGGATTACCCACAAAGGGAAGCCCATCAGACTAACAGTGGATCTCTTGGCAGAAACCCTACAAGCCAGAAGAGAGTGGGGGCCAATATTCAACATTCTTAAACAAAAGAATTTTCAATGCAGAATTTCATATCCAGCCAAACTAAGCTTCATAAGTGAAGGAGAAATAAAATCCTTTAGAGACAAGCAAATGCTGAGAGATTTTGTCACCACCAGGCCTGCCTTACAACAGCTCCTGAAGGAAGCACTAAACGTGGAAAGGAACAACCAGTACCAGCCACTGCAAAAACATGCCAAATTGTAAAGACCATCAATGCTATGAAGAAACTGCATCAATTAATGGGCAAAATAACCAGCTAACATCATAACGACAGGATCAAATTCACACATAACAATATTAACCTTAAATGTAAATGGACTAAATGACCCAATTAAAAGACACAGACTGGCAAGTTGGATAAAGAGTCAAGACCCATCGGGGTGCGGTATTCAGGAGACCCATCTCATGCACAAAAACACACATAGGCTCAAAATAAAGGGATGGAGGAAGATCTAACAAGCAAATGGAAAGCAAAAAAAAAGCAAAGGTTGCAATCCTGGTCTCTGATAAAACAGACTTTAAACCAACAAAGATCAAAAGAGACAAAGAACGCCACTACATAATGGTAAAGGGATCAATTCAACAAGAAGAACTAACTATCCTAAATATATATGCACCCAATACAGGAGCACCCAGATTCATAAAGCAAGTTCTTAGAGACCTACAAACAGACTTAGACTCCCACACAATAATAATGGGAGACTTTAACACTCCACTGTCAATATTAGACAGATCAACAAGACAGAAAATTAACAAGGATATCCAGGACTTGAACTCAGCTCTGGACCAAGTGGACCTAATAGACATCTACAGAACTCTCCACCCCAAATCAACAGAATATACATTCGTCTCAGCACCACCTCACACTTATTCTAAAATTGACCACATAATTGGAAGTAAAACACCCTCAGCAATTGTAAAGAACAGAAATCACAACAAACTGTCTCTCAGACCACAGTGCAATCAAATTAGAACTCAGGATTAAGAAATTCACTCAAAACCACACAACTACATGAAAACTGAACAACCTGCTCCTGAATGACTACTGGGTAAATAACGAAATGAAGACAGAAATAAAGATGTTCTTTGAAACCAATGAGAACAAAGACACAACATACCAGAATCTCTGGGACACATTTAAAGCAGTGTGTAGAGGGAAATTTATAGGAGTAAATGCCCACAAGAGAAAGCAGGAAAGATCTAAAATCGACACCCTAACATCACAATTAAAAGAACTAGAGAAGCAAGAGCAAACACATTCAAAAGCTAGCAGAAGACAAGAAATAACTAAGATCAGAGCAGAACTGAAGGAGATAGAGACACAAAAAACCCTTCAAAAAATCAATGAATCCAGGAGCTGGTTTTTTGAAAAGTTCAACAAAATAGACAGACTGCTAGCAAGACTAATAAAGAAGAAAAAGAGAAGAATCAAGTAGACACAATAAAAAATGATAAAGGGGATATCACCACTAATCCCACAGAAATACAAACTACCATCAGAGAATACTATAAACACCTCTATGCAAATAAACGAGAAAATCTAGAAGAAATGGATAAATTCCTGGACACATACACCCTCAAAACTGAACCAGGAGGAAGTTGAATCTCGGAATAGACCAATAACAGGTTCTGAAATTGAGGCAATAATTAATAGCCTACCAACCAAAAAATGTCCAGGATCAGATGAATTCACAGCTGAATTCTACCAAGGTACAAAAAGTTGCTGGTACCATTCCTTCTGAAACTATTTCAATCAATAGAAAAAGAGGGAATCCTCCCTAACTCATTTTATCAGGCCAGCATCATCCTGATACCAAAGCCTGGCAAAAACACAACAACAAAAAAAGAGAATTTTAGGCCAATATCCCTGATGAACATCCATGTGAAAATCCTCAATAAAATACTGGCAAACCGAGTCCAGCAGCACATCAAAAAGCTTATCCACCACCATCAAGTTGGCTTCATCCCTGGAATGCAAGACTGGTTCAACATACGCAAATCAATAAACATATTTCATCACATAAATAGAACCAACGACAAAAACCACATGATTAACTCAATAGATGCAGAAAAGGCCTTCAACAAAATTCTACAGTCTTTCATTCTAAAAGCTTTCAATGAATTAGTTATTGATGGAACGCGTATCAAAATAATAAGAGCTATTTACGACAAACCCACAGCCTATATCATACTGAATGGCAAAAACTGGAAGCATTCCCTTTGAAAACTGGCACAAGAAAAGGATGCCCTCTCTCACCACTCCTGTTCAATATAGTATTGGAAGTTCTGGCTAGGGCAATCAGGCAAGAGAAAGAAATAAAGGTGGGTATTCAATTAGGAAAAGAGGAAGTCAAATTGTCTCTGTTTGCAGATGGCATGATTGTATATTTACGAAACCCCATTGTCTCAGCCCAAAATTTCCTTAAGCTGATAAGCAACTTCAGGATACAAAGTCAATGTCCAAAAATCAAAAGCATTCCTATACACCAAGAACAGACAAACAGAGAGCCAAATCATGAGTGAATTCTCATTCACAATTACTACAAAGAGAATAAAATACCTAGGAATACAACTTACAAGGGATGTGAAGGACCTCTTCAAGGACAACTACAAACCACTGCTCAGCGAAATAAAAGAGGACGCAAACAAATGGAAGAACCTTCTATGCTCATGGATAGGAAGACTCAATATCGTGAAAATGGCCATACAGCCTAAGGTAATTTATAGATTCAATGCTATCCCCATCAAGCTACCACTGACTTTCCTCACAGAATTGGAAAAAACTACTTTAAAGTTCATATGGAACCAAAAAAGAGCCCACATAGCCAAGACAATCCTAAGCAAAAAGAACAAAGCTGGAGGCATCAGGCTACCAGACTTCAAACTATACTACAAGGCTACAGTAATCAAAACAGCATGGCATTGGTACCAAAACAGAGAGATAGACCAATAGAACAGAACAGAGGCCTCAGAAACAACACCACACATCTACAACCATCTGATCTTTGACAAACCTGACAAAAACAAGAAATGGGGAAAGGATTCCCTATTTAATAAATGGTGCTGGGAAAACTGGCTAGCCATATATAGAAAATTGAAACTGGATTCCTTCCTTACACCTTACACAAAGATTAACTCAAGATGGATTAAAGACTTAAATGTAAGACCTAAAACCATAAAAACCCTAAAAGAATACCTAGACAATGCAATTCAGGACACAGGCACGGGCAAAGACTTCATAACTAAAACACCAAAAGCAATGGCAACAAAGGCCAAAATAGACACATGGGATCTAATTAAACTAAAGAGCTTCTGCACAGCAAAATAAACTATCATCAGAGTGAACAGGCAACCTACAGAATGGGTGAAAATTTTTGCAATCTATCCATCTGACAAAGGGCTAATATCCAGAATCTACAAAGAACTTAAACAAAAGTACAAGAAAAAACAACCCCATCAAAAAGTGGGCAAAATATATGGATAGACGCTTCTCAAAAGAAGACATTTATGCAGCCAGCAGACATATGAAAAAATGCTCATCATCACTGGTTATCAGAGAAATGCAAATCAAAACCACAATGAGATACCATCTCACGCCAGTTAGAATGGCAATCATTAAAAAGTCAGGAAACAACAGATGCTGGAGAAGATGTGGAGAAATAGGAATGCTTTCACACTGTTCTTGGGAGTGTAAATGATTTCAACCATTGTGGAAGACAGTGTGGCGATTCCTCAAGGATCTAGAACTAGAAATACCATTTGACCCAGCAATCCCATTACTGGGTATATACCCAAAGGATTATAAATCATGCTACTATAAAGATACATGCACAGGCATGTTTACTGAGGCACTATTCACAATAGCAAAGACTTAGAACCAACCCAAATGTCCATCAATAATAGACTGGATAAAGAAAATGTGCCATATATACACCATGGAATACTATGCAGCCATAAAAAAGGATGAGTTCATGTCCTTTGCAGGGACATGGATGAAGCTGGAAACCATCATTCTCAGCAAAATATCACAAGGACAGAAGACCAAACACCACATGTTCTCACTCATAAGTGGGAGTTGAACACTGAGAACACATGGACACATGGAGGGGAACATCGCACACAAGGGCCTGTTGCAGGGTGGGGGGCTGGTGGAGGGATAGCTTTAGGAGAAATACCTAATGTAAATGACAAGTTGATGTGTGCAGCCAACCAACATTGCACATGTATACCTATGTAAGAAACTTGCACATTGTGCACACGTACCCTAGAACTTAAAGTATAATAAAAAAAAATTGTTTTGACGATAACAATACCTACTTCATGGTTATTGTGAAGATTAGATGAGTAAAAGAAAAAAGGACCTAGAAGAATGCTGGCACATAGAAAGCACTCAAGGATTGCTGGTCACTGTTATTAGCTATTGAATATTTGAGGGAACAGAAAAAATTTCTCAATAAAGTTTGACATGGAAATTTAGATAATATGCTAGTCCAGCTCTCTGGCATATAACATAATTCTAAGAAGGATCTCTCTTTTTAGTAGCCACTCAATACTTCTTGGACATTACTCAGTGATAATTACTATATTCTCTCTCAGAGTATAACAGCTCCTTTCCTGTATGTGAAAACCCCACTGAAGAAAAGTCTCACTTTAGGGTTTTCAAACTTTGAAAGCTGGTTGCAGCTTTAAACTTACAGTTCTTATACAAGTGCAGCATTAAGAGAGTTGCTGTGCACCTGTTAGTTTCTAGCCAATGAAGTTATATCATTCTCAGAGATGTTATTTCTTTTCTTCTTTTCATTTTTCTGAGACGGAGTTTTGCTCTTTTGCCCAGGCTGGAGTGAAGTGGCGCGATCTTGGCTCATTACAACCTCCGCCCCCTGGGTTCAAACAATTCTCCTGCCTCAGCCTCCCTAGTAGCTGTGATTATAGGCACCCACCACCATGCCCAGCTAATTTTTGTATGTTTAATAGAGACAGGGTTTCGCCATGTTGGCCAGGCTTGCCTCAAACTCCTGACCTAAGGTGATCCACCCGCCTTGGCATCCCAAAGTACTAGGATTACAGGCGTGAGCCACCATGCCTGGCCATGGGATGTCATTTTTGAGTTTGGTTAATGTACAGGCAATTCTGCAATATCTATGTTTAAGACATTAAAAGCATGGTTTCTAATACTAGACTACTTAGGATTGAATCTTGGCTTCACTACTTCCTAGCTGTATGATCAAGGGCAAATTGCTTAATCTCTCTGTGCCTCAGTGTTCTCAGTTGTAAAACGGGGATAATAAACACGGTTACTGTGAGTACCAAATTAGTTAATACATAACGTAAAACACTTTAAACAGTGCCTGACATCTAATAAATGCTATCTAAATATTATAATAGAAATTTATGGTTAAAATAGAAGAATTAACTAAGTTGAAGGACTGTACAATAAGCCATCAATATGTTTCTCAATCCCAGACAGACCCCAGAATGAATTTTTGCAATCTACCTGTCAGTATATATGCACATGTATCTTATTGGAAAACTCAGCAAAATCATAAGATTTAGGTCCTGGCCCTCAACTATTTTCCTTAACAAAATCTACTTTAGGGAGATGCTGTGAAGGTAAAAATTAGCATGTCCCAGGGAAAGCTCATTGCACACTACAAAGGACTATGACAATAACAGGCTTTAGATTTATTTTCTACATTGGCTCTAGCATTTTAGAAGGGTACTTTTACTACTCAAGCCACTTTCCTGCAACTCTCCCCCGAATTTCCCTCCTTCACAGTGGCCAACCTCAAAGCGTTTTCAATGTAAGTGCCTTTCCTGTTAGTGAGACTTCCCTATGAAAATAAATAGTTTAAAGGTTGTTGGAGCCTAAAACTCACTAAGCCTGGAGAGAGATGTGACTGTCATCTGAGTTACACGTGGTTACAACTTCTGTTTCTCAGATTATAGATTAACTTGCTTTCTTATTTTTCTTGTTCTATACAATGGCTAGAGAGAATTAAACGAAGTTAAGGACAAAAACTTCCTGCCTTCTTAATGATCCTTATAGATTAACTTCTGCTTTGTTGCCCCGGTTTGCTTAGACCAGATGACAGAAAATCCTTTATGAAAAATGTTAAATGTACACTTCCCAAAAAGAAACACTGTCTATAATCAAATTGTTGTAACTATTCTCTAACCTTGTATGAGAAAATGCTGTAATCCTGCTAAAAAACCTCTCAGTTTCTGCCTATATAAGTGAAATCTTAAATCTCTACTTCGGAACGCTGACTCCTTCCTTGGAGTCGGTGTTTCTAGGTAGGCTATCCTCAAACTTCGCGCTTTTGATTATTTTACATTGACACCTCCTGTCATCCGCAAGCTCAAAGGCAAGGCTAATAAAAGATGGCAGAGAGCCAATTAGGGACAGAGCCATGTAATCCTCATACCCAGGTGAGTTTAGGGCAGTCTTGCAGAAGCAGAAGCAAATTGTGGGGTCACGAAACCCTCCGGACCCGCCCGCCTCCACCACCACGCGCCCCTATGACCTTCGACCCCTCCCTAGCCCCAGAGCACGCCGGGAGTTGTAGTTCCCAAAGGCCTGTTCGGGCCAGCGCAGGCGCTTGGGGTTTCCCTCCCACCCAACCCCCGCACTTTACCGGATAAGGAAGCGGCCCGTGCTGCCACGCAGTCGCCGGAACGCGGGCGGGGGCTTCTGGGAGTTGTAGTCTGTTGGGGGCGTGCGCAGTCGGTAAGGAGACGTAGCTTTCCGTGGGGTGTACCACTGCAGTTGGTTCCCGGCGGGAGACGCAGGGTCAGTCTGTGACTCTTCCCCTACCACGCTCCCGCAGAGGCTGAGGAGGCGGTTTCGACTTCTCCTCCGGCTTTCTGTCTTCGGCACTGTGTGCTTCTTGCTCCGCGGTTTATTTCTGTACCTAGTCCTCCCTCCCCTCTTCGGTCCATCTCCAAAGCCCGGGCTTGGCGGGGACTCGCCCTCCGGTAAAGGCAGGGCCGCGACCTCCTAAAACCCGGTCGCCGCCCTGCAGGAACCTTCCTCACTCGGCCCCTCACACCGGGTTTCCGCACTGACCCTCCTTCGCCTCGGTCCTCGCTGCGCTCACCTCCTTCCACTCTTTTTTTTTTTTTTCTCCTTTGCAGGGATGGAAGCTTCCTGGCGCCAGGTGGCCGGTGGCCGAGGCCGATCCCGGGGACGGGCCACTGCCGCCCCCTCAGGAAATGGAGTCCATCTCCGCGGCGCCGGAGGAGGGCGAGAGAAGGGGTCGGTGGGCGCAGTTCCTTCTGGCACCAGTCCCGGAGGAGTCGCGACCACGGCGGCTGCAGGGAGCAGGCACAGCCCCGCAGGATCCCAAGCCCTGCAGACTACCGCAGCCAGCGGTGAGAATGGCTCCCGCCCGCGTGCTCACCTGGATGCCTCCTAAGGCAGTTACTAGTCAGGACCGCCTCCGCCCTCGCCTTCTTTCTTTCACTGCTTTTCCCCTCGTTCGGGAGTTTGTTATCGGGCCCACTTCTCCAGCCTTTCGGGTGGCTGCTCTTTTCGGCACTCTAGGTAGATTTCCATCGCACCTCTTTCATCTTAATTTTAGGTGGTATTACCTTTGTTACTTCCCTCCACTCTTGCCTACTTGAATCTCCAGACCATCAGTTGTAAATTGTGGCCCGGTGTTCTGATTTGGTCTATAATGTTGTTTGGTTAACACAGAGTTTTAAATGTGGATTGATTGTCAGCGGTTGTTTGTCGTTTTTAAAAATCTGGTTAACAACCTTGTGGCTTTAGTTATCTTTGTGCATGGCAACAGTCAGCTCGGCTGAGTCACAGAAATCCCATTTAGATTGGACTTGGGCATTCCATCTCACATTCTCTCTCATTTCTGGAGCCAGGTGTCATTTGTCATCTTTACCTTTGCCTTTGTTTCTTGACTTGTCTTATTCCTTGTAAGCACTTGAGCTTTTGATACCTTCCTTGACTGTAGTTCCTATTTACAAATTCCATGTCCTTCTGTGGACATATCTGGTGTTGCCTCCGATATATCAATACTTTTCATCCAAGACCATGTTTTCGTGGAGCCAGGGAGGACTTACACACAATTGTGCATGGGGCCGAGGGAATAATCCCTGAAATCATTTTATTTTTGTGTTTGGAATGCATTTCAGGATACATTTTTTTGGGGGGTGTGGAGCAGAATTGAGTATCTTGAATGATTTTTCTCCTAGGCTAATTTGAAAGGTAGGTGGTATTCTCTTAGCATGCAGTTAATGGCCGTGATGATAAGGTATACAATATGGAGACGTGTGAACAGGTTTGGTAAACTTTTTTTTTTTTTTTTTTTTTTTGAGACAGAGTCTCGCTGGTCGCCCAGGCTGGAGTGCAGTGGCGCAATCTCGGCTCACTGCAAGCTCTGCCTCCTGGGTTCAGGCCGTTCTCCGGCCTCAGCCTCCCGAGTAGCTGGGACTACAGGCGCCTGCCACCACGCCTGGCTAATGTTTTGTTTTTTGTTCTTTGGTTTTTTTTTTTTAGTAGAGACGGGGTTTCACCGTGTTAGCCAGGATGGTCTCCATCTCGTGGGTAGAAGGAAAACAAGCATTCTGTCCGGGCGCGGTGGCTCAAGCCTGTAATCCCAGCACTTTGGGAGGCCGAGGCGGGCAGATCATGAGGTCAGGAGATGGAGACCATCCTGGCTAACAGGGTGAAACCCCGTCTCTACTAAAAATACAAAAAATTAGCCGGGCGGGGTGGCAGGCGCCTGTAGTCCCAGCTACTCGGGAGGCTGAGGAAGGAGAATGGCGTGAGCCCGGGAGGCGGAGCTTGCAGTAGCCGAGATTGCCCCACTGCACTCCAGCCTGGGCGACAGAGCAAGACTCCGTCTCAAAAAAAAAAAAAAAAGAAAGAAAAGAAAAAGAAAACAAGCATTCTCTACCTGGACAGTTGAGATTTGGCTGTAAGAAATAATACGTGAGAAGGTTGTCTTGTCAGCTTCTCTTTACTTTGAGATGATGTTAGGTGAATACATTTATCAGGTTATGAATGTTCTCATTATCTCTGTCCAGTTCAGCCTGTTTTCTTATGTATCTTTTAAGTGCTAATTTCCCGTATATTAATGACATTTATCATCTCTTTTGTGACAAGTTTTGAGTTATATATCTCATAGCCAGTTCTTTTTTCCCAGTACTCAAAGCTTGCTAGGTAAGCATGATACACATTTTCGTCGAGGTTTACTTGAAATACTCAATTTGTTTTGTTAATAACCCCTAACCAAACTGGCTGCAATAAGAAAAGGAAAATGTTTCATGAGGGAACATAATCAAGTACGAATATACCACCCAAGATAAGAGAGCTTATCTTGGTAGTGGCTTATCAGTTTTAAGTATAATGTTAATTTTAAAATAGTCAATCAGTAAATTTAAAATCCTCTCAAGATGGGAATTCATGAACTCAGATCAGTTCTGCAGGTTTGTGGCTCCTTTCTTAAACTATGTTTGCTGTCCGTAAGAGCTTATTAACACTTAGTGCTTGAAGAAAATCCCTGTGGTCCTTGCTCTCAAGAAGTTTGAAGTTTCTTTGGGAGTATGTGCAGTGAAGTAATCTGGTTTTGTTTTGCATGATTAATCAAGTAACAAAATGAGAAGTACAGGTAGTGCTGAATAGTGGAAGAACGAATCCAAAATTAACATTCTTTTTGGAATGAAGTTGGAAGAAACATGTTTTCCATGTTAATACTTTGTGTGGATTAATGTAAAATATGTTTTTTTGTGTGACCACAAGAAGTCCATAATAAAGGCAAAAAGTTCTTGACCTAAGAAGCCGATTGTAAATATAGTGGGTGCATAGTGAGTACTGTTGGTACAAACTCTTTGGTAGGGCTGGACTGGACTGGGCTGGGCCGTCGTGTCCTATCCTACCTGTTGTTCAGAAGACGGTAGTTTGAAATACCTACCTTCCCTGATTCTTTATGTGCTCACTGTGGACATGTTCCCTCACTTCTTAAAAATTACTGTGCACAATGTACTTTAAAACATCTTAATTTTTGTTAGTCCTTATTTTGAAGTTGATCACCAGTATTTTGATAGTTTTATTGTATTTTCATATTTTTTTTCTTGATTTGTTAATCACCGTTATCATAAAAATTTGCTGCATTTTAGCAGGATACTTAGAAAAGTGAAAGTTTTTGTTGTGGTATTCTCTTTAGTTGTGTGTCAAGGAATTTGAAAATACTTTTCTCGTGGATTACAGGAAGGTAGAATGCTCCAAAGGTGACTTTCAAATGTGTGTTGTAAAATGATATATTAGCACATTATGCTTTTCTTTTTGAGAGATTGTTTTGCAGAAATGAAACTTTTTTCTTTTAAACAGAGCTAATGTCTCAGAAAAAATTTGAAGAAATCAAGAAAGCTAACCAAGCTGCAGCCAGAAAACTTGTTGAAGAACAGTTTAGCTCTTCATCTGAAGAAGGAGATGAAGATTTTGAAGGAAAACAGGGAAAAATACTTGCAAATACGTTTATAACATACACTACTCAGACAGGTACTGATCTTTTAAATTTTGACTTTTGACGTCAATGAAACTGTATTCCTGACATTTTTTTGGTAATGCCTTTGTTCTATATGGAATAGATTTTATATCTTAAGATGAGCACTGTATGTTATAGAGTTGAATTTTTGTACACTTTGGTATTTGAGTTATATATTGTGTAACACTAATTTTTCTATAAAGCAAATAGAATGGCAGTGGCTCTTTTATAGCCTTAGGAGGCCTTTGTGTGTATTTAATTGGCATTTCAGTAGAATGCTTGGATGGGGCTGCTAAAGCTCCTGAGCGGTGGACTGGGGCAAGTTTTTTCTGGTTGTGATGATTTGATTGAACTAGAGTACTTTGTGTACTCCTTTCAATCTATTCATTTTTTTTCATCATGTTAAATGCGTCTTGAAGTCTTTTTAATTCTTTATTTCCTTATTTTATATCTTATTTACAACATCTGATTTTCATGTATTTATTTTTAGAGTTGGGGTCTTGTTCTGTTGCCCAGGCTGGAGCGCAGTGGTACGTAGTGGTGCGTAGTTCACTGCAGTCTTCAACTCCTGGGCTTAAGTGATCCTCCTGCCTCAGCTTCCTGAGTAGCTGAGACTACAGGCATGTGCACTGCACCTAGCCGTACTTTTTTTAAAAAACCTAAATTTCCTCAGGTTTGACATGTACATTCGTGTTATCTGTGGTTTATATCTGATTGCTCTTAAAGCCACGTTTGTTTATGTGAGAGAGGGCCAAAGTGATGTTGCTGTGTACCACTTTAGTATTAAGTGTAAAAATAGATTATTTTAAATGTAAATATTATTAAACTTTCTGCCTTTTATACTTTAAAATTATTATTAGAAATATTCTTGTATGTAGGCCAGGCATAGTGGCTCACGCCTATAACCCCAGCACTTTGGGAGGCCGAGGCCGGGGGATCACTTGAGGTCAGGAGTTTGAGACCAGCCTGGCCAACATGGTGAAACCCCGTCTCTACTAAAAATACAAAAAAATTAGCTGGGCATGGTGGCACACACCTGTAATCCCAGCTACTCAGGAGGCTGAGGCAGGAGAATTGCTTGAACTTGGGAGGTGAAGGTTGCCGTGAGCTGAGATTGCGCCACTGCACTCCAGCCTGGGAGACAGAGCAAGACTCCGTCTCAATTAAAAAAAAAAAAAGAAAGAAAGAAATATTTTTGCATGTAATGTCAACATTTATTAATATATTTGTAGATATGTCATATTGTTTATATACCTTTTATTAGTAATATATATTTATGCCCTTGCTTGGTTCTTTTTCTTACTTTAGTATACTGTTAAAACCAGGAAAAACCTTACAAATATTTTGGGAAACAATTCTACAGAGGAGAGGTGACTTTCCTAGAGTTAGACAATTAGTAATTGGCAGAGCTGGGTTTAAACCTAGTTGACTTAGCTTTAGAGCCATTACTGGGCTGATTTCATTTTCTCTGTAAAAGCAGGAAAATTCTGAGGAGACTAGACGGTTACTTTTGTACCTGTTTATGGGGAAAAAGCAGCATTGTACAGCAGTTAAGAACATTGACACTTGAATCAGATTGCTACGGTTTGATTCTTGGCTTTGTTACTTGGCTGTAGGATGTTTGACATATTGCTTAGCATCTTAGGGGCTTAGTTTCTTTTGTAAAATGGGTATAATGATACTAAATACTGTAGAGTTGTTAGGATGAAATGAATCAGTATGTGTAAGTACTGTAGTGCTTACAGTAGTGCCTGTTGTGTAGTCTGTGCTGTATATCTGTTTGCTGGAATGTTTAATGTATTTTGTGGCTTGATTATTAGAGATTTTCTATCGTAACTGCTGCTTTCTTTTAAAAAATTTGTTTCTTTTTTTTTTTTTTTTTTGCGACGGAGTCTCACTCTGTCGCCCAGGCTGGAGTGCAGTGGCGCAATCTCAGCTCACTGCAAGCTCCACCACCCGGGTTCATGCCAATCTCCTGCCTCAGCCTCCCGAGTAGCTGGGACTACAGGTGCCCGCCACCATGCCCGGGTAATTTTTTGTGTTTTTAGTAGAGACGGGGTTTTACTGTGTTAGCCAGGATGGTCTTGATCTCCTGACCTCGTGATCCGCCCGCCTCGGCCTCCCAAAGTGCTGGGATTACAGGCGTGAGCCATTGCGCCAGGCCAAAAATTTGTTTCTTTTTTCAGTCATGTCTTCCCTTGATCATAAGGCCCCACATCCTAAGCTCTCTCCATCTACACTATACTAATGTGTTCCTTAGTTATTATCTTGTGCTTTCATGAGAAGTATAAGGCCAGTGATGCCAGGATTCAGGCCTGTTAGTTAGTATGACAGAATCAGAAGCATAGCAGAGTTTGAGCATTAGTTAGCATAAACGCAAATAAAGAGCATGAGAGTTAGTCTTTTTTTTTTTTTGGAGACAGTCTTCTTCTATTGCCCAGGCTGGAGTGCAGTGATGTGATCATAGCTCCCTACAATCTTGAACTACTGAGCTCAAGTGACCCTCCTGCTTTAGCCTCCCAAGTAGCTGGTACTGCAAGCACACACCACCATGCCTGGTTAATTTTTTTAGAATTTTTTTGTAGAGACAGTGTTTTCCTGTGTTGTCAAGGCTGGTCTTGAATTCCTGGCTACAGAGAATTCTCCCACCTCAGCTTCCCAAAGTGGCAGGCGTGAGCCACTGTGCCTGGCTGAGAGTTAATCAAGTCTTCAGACAGAAGGATCGATGTATTTCACCTTTCCCTTCCCAACACATAACCTTGGTGATTAGATAGTTGCCTGAGTATATTGATAGGATCATGAAGATAGTTGTACATCATCAAGTAGGTTTCTAAGGAATTTACCATATCTGCTAAGGAATTAAGATTAGGAAGTTTGGCTGAGAAGTCTAGGTTGGCAAGGTAAGAATTGATAAAAAGTAACTCTAAGGTTAGAGGGTTTCTTGTTTCTGAAGGACCTTATAGAAAATAATCTTAAGAAGTTTTCTGCTTTGAGAGGAACTCACTTAAACCATTCTAGATAGAGTCATTTTATTTTAAAATAGAAAATGCAATAATGTCTTTCAGTCTAGTATGTAGAAAACATTTGTCATTTGTAAGTTTTATTAATTTTTAATCTGGTTTTAATCTTAAAAGTGTTATGGTAATTTTTTTATGCTGTGTTTTGTATAAAATCCATTAGTATATGATTCCCATTCCTTTGCCTCTACCAATGTAAGAAAATCTGATCACTTGATTTAAGAACATACATTCCAGAGTAATGGGATGGTTCCCACCTTAACATTAGTGAATTGAAGACCAGGACTTTACCAAAGGAGTTCATTTTTATTTGAGCACAGCCTTTGCATTTTTGTGATTCTTCTCTCAAATTTCAAACTTGCATGGCCAACTTCCTGATGAGTATCTCTATCTTGCTGGCACGTGGACCCATCAAACTGCTGTTGAAAGAGAACTTATTTATTCTTTTGTTTTCTTAATCTTAATAGCACTACAGTTTTCTCAGTCACCCTCCCAAGCCAGACATCTGGGAGCAGAGATGGCATATGCATGTCATTTACTGCAATTCTCCCTCTGCCCATGTTAGCTCAGCAGACACAGCCCTCTTTCCTTCTGAATCTTGACATGAACATCAGCTTTTAAAACAGACACAATCTCATTGTCACCAAGTCCTCCTAAGTTTTACTTCCTAAATTTCTTAAATCTACCCTTACTCTGCCTGTGTACTGTCATTGCCTACTTCAAGCCTTTACAGCTGCTTAACATGTGGATTAAATCCATATGATAATTGTGAGGTAGATAACTGTTACTACTAGTTTTACAGATGACAAAACTGAGACACATTAGGTAACTTGCTCAAAGTCATTTTTTGCTTAATCTGCTGTAACTGTCTCTTAACTGGTACTTCCAGCTTTCAGTCTTGGCCTCCACATACTCATTTTTCTTTAGTTGCCAGAGTCATCTTTTTAAAATGCATGACTTCAAATAGCATGCTATCCGCTGTGATGTGCTGGGCAGTACATTTTATTGATGCAGCCAAACTTTAATACATGTTTCAAAGAAATCTTACATAAATTTTTAAAATATAAGGTTGGTTTTTATTTTGTAAAAGCCTGTTCTATCTTCTTCTTAAATTCTGTTTTTTGAGTTAGCTGTTAAATTAGATGAAATTTAAAATGTTTTGTATCTGTTAATGCCAGCTTTGTTGAAAAGCAAAATAGGCGCCCCATACTATTCTGCTTTTAAGGATTTTTTTAAAAACTTCAATGTTTGTTTAAAATAAAGCAACTGTCTTTAATAATTTTATAATAATTTATAGTTTTGAGAGTATGTTTGCGTTTATTTTGCTTAATGTTCTAAATCATATTTATTTTATGGTAGGGCAAGCTTTTGTAAGTGCCGTGTTTACTCAGATGATTTTAGAAAGTAAAGAATTAGCCACATGTCCTATTTATTTAATTTTTCTTTTTGGCAACTTAAATTTTGGCTTGAACCACGTTATTGCCATGGTAAGTTCTGTACTTATGGTAGTTTACGTTTTAATCTACTTTTTTTGAAGACTCAGTTAACCACTATTGAACAATCTTTATTGTTTTAAAGGCATGTAGGCTTATTTCTCTCATACTAAAGTGACTCAGATTATTGTCCTTTTGGTGTCATTTGTGCTTTAGAGGACTCATTCTGTTTTTCATTTTGCTGTTGCTTGTTATTTGTTGGACCTTCCTGCAGTAACTGCTCACTGCAGTGCAGCATAGAGGTTAAGAGGGTTCACTTTGTAGGCAAACTGAAGTTAATTCTTTTGTGCCTCAGTTTTCTCATCTGTAAAATGAAGATAATAGCTCATTTAATCCTATTGAAGTACTAATAGTACGGTGTCTAGCAAATAAGCACTCAATAATTACTGAAAGAAAATAATGTCAGGTACTGTTTTTTCTAAAAAGCTTATGCTACCTTCTTAAGCAGAAATAGTGAACATGATTTCATGAGATGTGGCTATTGTACTGTAAAAACCTCAGGGTCTTTTCATTCAACAACTTTTTATTAAGAATACACCTGCTAAATTCATACACACACACCCACCCCCACCCCCACTCACTCACATCTATGCTTATATTTATGCTCAGTGGCTCTACTAATTAGTTTAGGCTTTTCCTTTCACACTTTGCTTTTCCTTAAGACTTTACATCTTGCTGCTGTTGCTTATGGCTCTGCTTCTGCCAAATTTGTTGAGAATTCTAACAGCCAAAAAAGCAAGTATAACTGAGAGAGAGAGCTGAGGTACTGATTTTGAACAAAGTACACAAGATTTAATACACAGACTTCGTTACCTCTTGACAGCTCATTGGTTACTTTTTTAAAAAAAACTTCTTGTTTTACAGCTATATTTTGAGCAATTGATATTGCTAGACAGTTCTTACATAATATGGTGCTATTAGTGAGTTTGTGTTATTTTCAGATGTTGTTTAGGGTGAGATTTTCAATCTTTAAATTTCCAGATGGAGATACACGTGAATTAGAGCGAACAAAACAATATGTAAATGAAGCTTTTCAAGCAGGGGCTATGACATGCCTAATTTGTATTGCTTCGGTGAAGAGAAACCAAGCAGTAAGTTTTTCTCCTTATTTATATTAATGTATCTCCCCAAAATACCTTAGTTTGCCTTACAATACTTAACGATTTATTATTCTTTTGTTTACTTATGTTTAAAAATGCTTCATTTGAGAATTTTGTATATGAATTGATCTTCATTTTAAAATCTGTAATTAAAAAAAAATTACCACTAAATGAGTATCCAGTATTTTTAGCACTATTGATATAACTTAGTTGTCTTCAGTTTTAATGCAAATGTTGATTTGATAGAACATTTTTAGCATCTGTACTTTAGAGATTCCCACAAAAGTGAAATGTTAAATGTACTATATTTTATTACTTTTGGAAAAAGATACGGTCCCTATCTTCAAGAAAGTAGAACTTGGCAGTAACACTTATGGCTTAATTAGTTAGCGTATCCTGTGTTAAAGGCATTTTGGGAAGTGGTGAGGGTCAGTCGGGAGAGAGATTCAGACAAAACTCATGTCCTTGGAGGAGATATGGCGTAGTGATAAAGATATATATGTGTAAATTTAAAAGGGCATTAATGAAGCAATTAAGAAGTGATTACTGAATGTGAAAGACTCAACATTTAGACCTTAGATTAATTCACTGCTATTATAGCAGCATTGCCTAGAGAAAGCAAATCAAGTCAGATGAAATAGTTTGGTCATGTAGAGTGAATCAGAAATTTAACATGCTCTGGTTGGGTAGAAGAGTATAGCAGATACAGATGCCTTTTGTGCCTAGAGTCACATCTAGTTGGTTTACTCTGATTTCAGCTGCAGGGAATGCATAGTCTCTGCATGCAGATAGAAACCCACTTTAAACATTTGCTGTGTGTGTGCGTTTTTTCCGCCTCTCAATTTTGTTCTTGGAAATTGACTTAGCTAGTACATGGGTATAGTGCAGAAGCACTGGGGAGTTAAAGCCCCTTGCAGCAACATTGCACCACAGGGAGTTGGTAGGTGAATGCCCCAACCTCCTTTCCATTAGCGAGTGGGGCTGGGCAGTCCAAGGCGTGTTTTACATGGTTTTACAGAGGGTCCCCTGGAGGATTGAGCTTCTGTGGCCCTTAGTGGTAATCAGCTCAACCATATGCCATTCATTGGTTATTTCTTTTTCCCTGTCTAGTCCCCTTACTCCTGCATCCAAGTTCTTAGATACCGCTTTGGGGGTAACCCAAACTAAGAAGTCGGCTGTTTAATGCTGTTGTTAGCTCATGCGATATGCTACATGTCTGATTTTATCAAACAGTTGTAAAATGTTATAAGGAAAGGGGAACTGATTTTTATCAGTTTTATCAAAGTGTTTGGCAGGTTTTAAAAATTAATTTAGTATTATTTCTTAAGCTTTTAAATTATGTATATTCTTGTTTTTTGATTACCTAATTTTTAGAATTTAGCATTAGTTAGGTGTTAGACTAATAGGTTTTATATAACAAAAGGGCTGTGTAGAGATATATGTACATATTTATGTTTAAAGATTCTTTTGTAGTGTTATTTATACTTGGAAATAATCATCCAACAAGAAATTTAAGTACGTAAGTCTACATGGTGTAATGTATAGCTATAAATATGCTTATAGAAAAGACTATAAAGTTACATTTCAGTTATTATAGTATGACCTCATTTTTTAAAAGTATGAAAAAAATATATATATATAAATTTGGAGATTGTCCAGAATGTTAGCAGTAATTATTTCTAGCTGAATGAATCTGTTTGACTAATAATAATTTTCTTCGAAGTATCCTACATTTAAATGCATTTCCCATGAAACAGTTCTTCTGTTATACTGGAAGGAAAGACCTTTTTTCTTTAATCCTTAGGTAGCTCTTGAAAATAGTTTAGTGTGATACTCATTTTAAATTATTTTACAATTAACAAAGAAAAATTAACATATATTAACTTCTGATACATTTGTCTTAGGTTTGGAGCTGTTCGGGATGTTTCTGTATATTTCACATGCCCTGTATCCAGAAGTGGGCTAAAGACAGCCAGTTTCTTGTATCTTCTGTGACTGATGATGATTTTGGAAAGAAAGATTGTCCCTGGCCTTGGTAACTTTTTCTAATTAGTTGGATTATTATTATTATTTTCAGATGGAGTTTTGCTCTTGTCACGCAGGCTGGAGTGCAGTGGCGATCTTGGCTCACTGCAACCTCCACCTCCTGGGTTCAAGAGATTCTCCTGTCTCAGCCTCCTGAGTAGCTGGGATTATAGGCACCTGTCACTATGCCTGGCTAATTTTTTGTATTTTTAGTAGACACAGGGTTTCACCATGTCTGCCAGGCTGGTCTTGAACTCCTGACCTCAGGTGACCCACCCCAAAAAATCCCAAAGTGCCAACTAGGCTGGCACGCCACCACGCCTGGCCTAATTGGATTATTAAATTGTAGAATAAATGAAGATTGTAGATTCTAAGTTGCTTTATTGGTGGTTTCAATATCCATGTTGGGCTTTTAATTAGTCATTTGGTGTGTGAAGATGTGGAATCTTGATAAAGTCTTGTTTTTTTCAATTTGAATTTCTATAACTACTAGTTCCTTTTGATAACTAATAAATCATCCAGACTTAATTTTTCCTGTGCAAAACAATTCCTTAATTATCCTTTGAAAGGACTTTCAATTTTCTTTAGGACTGAGAATCATTCATAATTGTGATCTTCTTGTCCAGAATTCTATGAGTATGCATTATTATTACATTGTACAAGACTATCATTTAATGTATTTTGATTATAAGATTCCCAGTTTTATCCTCCCAAATCTCAAAACTGCAGGTGTATATTATACAATATCATTTTTTTACATTTATTAGTTTTGCTTATTATTGATGATTATTTGATCTGGAGAACTTTTGTTATATTTCCAGAAAGAGTTGGAGAGTAGAATTTTATATCTCTGCTAAGTAAAGACAATAAGAAATTTATTCATATTGGCTGCCCAGAGAGGTAGATTGACTGTCAAAGTAATGAAGCATAAGCTTCATGGGCTCTGTGTGGTCACATTTTGTAACTTTAGTAACTAATTTTATGTTTAAATTTTTTTTTTATTTTAATTTTAATTTTTTTTGAGACAGAGTTTTGCTGTATTGCCCAGGCTGGAGTGCAGTGGTGCGCTCTTGGCTCGCTGTAGCCACTGCTTGTCGGGTTCAAGCGATTCTCCCGTCTCAGCCTCCAGAGTAGGTGGGATTACAGGTGCCTGCCACCATGCCTGGCTAAGTTTTGTATTTTTAGTAGAGATGGGGTTTCACCATGTTGGCCAGGCTGGTCTTGAACTTCTGGCCTCAAGTGATCCACCCACCTTGGCCCCTCAAAGTGCTGAGATTACAGGCATGAGCCACTGCGTCTGGCCAGTGGTGTAGTTTTTAAAAACATTTAGATGTGCTAGTTACTTTTAGAAGAGTATGTAAAAATAATTCTCAGCAATCTGTGAGAGATTTTATTCTCCTGTTACCAGTGGGGATATTGAAGTTAATTGAAGGGAAATGACTTCTGACTCCTCACTCTTAAGTAGTGGAGCCAAAATTTGAAACCTAGGATTTCTTACTTTTAAATTCAGTGCTTTTTCTATTCTTCCACCTGAGTTATCTCTTATGACCTGGCTTTTAGAAATATTATTTTTCTTTTCATTGAATACACACTTTTTGGAAACTGTTTAACATTTCAAAGTATATTTGTTTTGCTCCTGCATATTATTTACTGGTGGTGGAGGAATTTTAGTGTCTAATAGGTACGGAATTAAGCCAGGTTTTAGTTTAGAGATTTAAACCTTATGTATATATTTTTTTACCCTCGCTCTTCTCACTTCTGTTTTAAGTAGTCGTTTTGCCACAGAGGAGGAAAGGATCAGTTAAAAAAAATGTACTGTTAACTTCTAATTTAAAAGGAACAACAGTTTAATCAGCTGTGCCATATACTTTGCATTCCATATTTCATATTTTTTTAAGAAAATAAATGACCATTCTGGTTAAGAACCCATTTTGTTTAATCCTCATCAAGATGGAGCTAGAACTTGGTAAAATGTTAATAATTTTAAGTTATTTTATGGAAATAAAAAATTTAAAATATAGGTTTCTACTAAGATACTGCTTTTTAATGAAGAAGATCTAGCATAATTACATTTCATTGTTGGCATCCCATTATTTAAAATAAAACTCATGCGTTTGCACATATTACCCTCACTGGGCCAGTTCAGTTTCAATGCTGATGGGCAGTGTTAAGGTATGTTGAGTTGCCTATTAGTCATCCATACCCACGCTTATTAAAAATACATATCCCCCTCCACACTAGCTTTTTCTTTTAATAAAAAAAAATTGAACTCTTCCAACAAAGCGCCAGTTACTTATTCCACAGACAGATGAACTTAGTATTTTGTTTTTGATTTTTCATTACAAGAACAAATATCTTTTGGTTATTTTGAGTATTTATGTGGCATTTATTTGGAAACAGAACATGTTCTCGTGACAATGAAAATATTTTGTATATGATACAAAAGAAATTTAAATGTTAATATGAAACTTGTTCTAGCATAATATACTAACTATACTCATTTGGGAGTTAAGGTTAGAGCATCTTTTGAGAATGAACTGATCTATGATGATCTACAAGTATATTTTTGATAGAGCTGAAGGTTAACACTTCTACTGCCAACACTTATGTATTTTAATGATGGAAGTTTAAAGTCTTTCATGGTATTTGAACTTTTCTTTGACTTAGGCACATTCGAATTATATCTTTTTTTGGGCTGGGCACAGTGGCTCACGCCTGTAATCCCAGCACTTTGGGAGGCCAAGGCTGGTGAATCACTTGAGGTCAGGAGTTAAGACCAGCCTGGCCAACATGGCAAAACCCCGGATCTACTAAAAATACAAAAAATTAGCTGGACGTGGTG
Source organism: Homo sapiens (assembly GCF_000001405.40). Classification (NCBI taxonomy): domain Eukaryota; kingdom Metazoa; phylum Chordata; class Mammalia; order Primates; family Hominidae; genus Homo; species Homo sapiens. The sequence goes on along the minus strand of NC_000004.12, from coordinate 47,900,360 downwards.
GCGTGCACCTGTATTCGCAGCTACTTGGGACACTGAGGCACGAGAATTTCTTGTACCTAGGAGGCAGAGGTTGCAGTGAGCCGAGATTGCGCCACTATACTCCAGCCTGGGTGACAGAGTGAGACTTTTTCTCAAAAAAGAAAAAAAAAAGAATTATATGTCTTTTTGTGCTAGATGTTGAGAATTATGAAATTCTTTATTTTCAAGTTTATTCCCCCTTAATTCTAAATTGTAGTCATGTTTCTTGCGGTATTGCATGTCTATACCCTGACTTCTCTCTTCTGTTTGTTGTTGCTAATATATTTTGTTTATTTGTAAACCACAAAACAAAACTTAAAAAGTTGAGCTTTGTGAAAAGCAGAGTGAATTCCTCAATAAAGTTCAGGTGGTTAGTAGAAAACTAATGTTACTTTCTTTTTGTAGCTGTATTCTAGATATGTGCTGTTTAATTCATGGTAACTAGCCACATGTAGCTGTTTCAGTATTTAGAAATTATAAGAAATTTGATTCCTTCCTCAGTTGTAAGCACTAGCCACGTTTCAAGTGCTCACAGTATGTGGCTAATTGCTACTGTATTGGACAATCCCAGTATAAAACTGTTCCATCATCTCAGCACATTGTATTGTGCAGTGCTGTTTTATATGGTTGAAATAGATTTTAATAAGATCTTGTTTTTTCACTAACACAAAGATGGAGCAGAGTTCCTTAACATAAAACTAATTTAACAGAATATACTCTGTTAAGTATATTTCTGTCTCTCATGTTGCTTTTAAAGGTGAAGTTAGCTTTAATAATTTTCTTCTTCTTTGTAGTCCAAAATGTAGGTTTGAATACAAACGATCTGAAACACCTAGTAGGTACTATTGCTATTGTGGAAAAGTAGAAGATCCACCTTTAGATCCGTGGCTTGTGCCTCATTCATGTGGCCAAGTATGTGAGCGTGAATTTAAACCTCCTTGTGGCCATAAATGTTTACTCCTCTGTCATCCAGGTGAGTTATATATTGCATTTTAAATTGTTTGTGGGTGATTATTTCTTCTTATATTGAGGCAAAAAAAAAAATTGTAAAAGTTGAATTCACAGTTTAGTTTGCCATGAGAAAATATTGAAAGTTATTGCCTTTTGTAAAGTGTCAGTAAAGAAAGTTCTAGAAATTATTGATAGGTGTAGAAATTGAAAGTTTTAGTTTCTGACTTTAGATTTTTTTTTTTTTTTTTTTTTTGCTTTTACTGAATTCTAGGTCCCTGCCCTCCTTGTCCAAAGATGGTCACAACTACTTGTTACTGTAAGAAAGCAAAACCTATCCCTCGTAGGTGCAGTGCCAAGGAATGGTCTTGTCAGCTGCCATGTGGACAGAAGTTGCTTTGTGGGCAACATAAGTGTGAAAATCCTTGTCATGCAGGTAAAAGGCCATACCCATTAGATTTTTCTGACTTTAAGCAAAAGTCAAAGCAATCTTTATTGCTTTTATGTTTCTGTGCTAATTTATCATTCTGGTTTTAGGAAGCTGTCAGCCTTGTCCAAGAGTTAGTAGACAAAAGTGTGTCTGTGGCAAAAAAGTAGCTGAAAGAAGTTGTGCAAGTCCACTATGGCACTGTGATCAAGTAAGTTTATATGCATTTTGAGGGGTGGGTATTAAAGAGTACAGAAAGCATAGACAACCTAGAAAGCAGCAAGGCTAATCAGGTTTAGTTGGATAAAAGGCAAGGAAGAATAGCAACTCAGATGAATTATATCATGTTTTAAGAAACTACTTTTAAATTTAATATCATTTTTAATTATTAGAGGAAAAATTTTTTTCAAAGTAACAGCTATTTGTTGAGTTTTGGATTCACTACATTTGTACTCTTTCTTGCTAGCTCTTGTCCCCTTCTTCTCTTTCCCCTCTCTTCAACCAGCACGCCTCCCTGCTTCTTGAATTAATCCAATTGAGGAAGTAAGATTGATTTTATAGGTTGCTTGTCCTAGAATTGGCATGGTTTTAATGCCACTTAGAACTCCTTGGTGAATGGCCATATGGAGCTGCATGTAGTTTTTTTCTGTATTGTACTTTTAAAATATACTTTTTGGTGCATAGGAAATATATGTGTGTGTATACATATGTATATATGTATCTATATATACATATGTATGACACCTGTATAAAATATAAAGTAAAATAATATGAGGGACGTAAAGCAGTTGTTTATTTGTGATTGAAAAATGGATTGTGTCTTGTATGAAGTCTTTTTTTGTTAACTTTTAAATCCTTCATTAGTGTTTATTGCATTTTATTTTAGGTATGTGGAAAAACACTGCCATGTGGTAATCACACATGTGAGCAAGTTTGCCATGTTGGTGCTTGTGGAGAATGTCCTCGATCTGGGAAAAGGTTCTGTCCATGTCAGAAATCAAGTAAGACTTGTTTTTTTTTATATTTATATAGGAAATGATCTGTCAAGCCATGAAAAGACATTCAAAAGACGTCCTCCAGGAAACTTAAGTGCATATTACTAAATGAAAGAAGCCAGTCTGAAAAAGCTACAAAATTTAAGCCCCCAACTATATGACATTCTGGAAAGGTCCAAACTGTGGTGATCAATGGCATCCAGGGGTTGGGGAGAGAGAGAGAGATGAATAGGAGAGACATAGAAGATTTTCAGGGCAGGGAAACTCCTCCGTGTGATACTATAATGGTGGATATATGTCATTATACATTTGTCCAAACCTATAAAATATACAACACCATGAGTGAACCTTTATATAAACTATGACCTTTGGGTGATTATGATGTGTCAATGTAAGTACATCAGTTATAACAAATGTACCAGTCTGGTGGGGTTTGACAATAGGGGAGGCTGTGCTATTGTCATTATTATGTAATAGGTTATAGGTGAGTTTATTTTAGGCTGCTTTGAGATAAAGGCATAGTAGGATGGCACTTTGAGTAAGCTTTTTTGACTCTCCACAAATAACAGCATCATATGTATAAGACTACTTCTAATACTTGTCACAATATGTTTATGTTACAGGTGAATTTTATAATTTTGTAGTTGTTACAGTTTTTTAAGAGAGGTGGTTTTATCCTGTCGCCCAGGCTGGAGTGCAGTGGTGTGATCCTAGCTCACTGCAGCCTCAGACTCCTGGGCTCAAGTGATCCTCCTGCCTCAGCCGTCTCAGTAGCTGGGAATACAGGCACCTGTCACCATGCCTGGCTCATTTAAAAAAATTTTTTGTAGAGATGGGCTCTCCCTATGTTTCCCAGGCTGGCCTCGAACTCCTGGCCTCAAGTAATCCTCCTGTCTCGGCCTCCCAAAGTGCTGAGATTATAAGTGTCAGCCAGGTGGTGTTTTAAAGACTAAACCTTTCTTTTTGTCTTTGTGGGGTAGTTCAGAGCAAGTTTTTTAAAACAAATTTTTACATTAGGAAAATTCATGAATGGTTTATGTAGTCTTTACTCATTTCTTTAGATAACTATTTCTGAAGTAGATAGCCCATAAAAATGTGTTTCTTGAGGATAGTAACTTGTGTCAAATTTCTTTTTAAAAACCATAAACTTCACAAATATTAGGGATTATTTTCATTAAAGTTAATTTTTCCCAATGATTATGTGGATACAAAAATTTATAGTCTGAAAGTGCTAGCATTCCTTAGGGAGCCTGAAGAACATGGCACTTTGTTGATGTTTAATAATAATGTCTCATTATTAACATTGACTTTTTGTATGTTTTTAGAGTTTTCTTTGCCTTGTACAGAAGATGTACCAACTTGTGGAGACAGTTGTGACAAAGTACTTGAATGCGGAATCCATAGATGTTCACAGCGTTGTCACCGAGGTCCCTGTGAAACATGTAGACAAGTTAGTCATCTCCTGTAATAATTACTTTTAAGAGCTACCTATCATAATGTATCAAATGAGATTGTCCTGTGGTTGTTTTCTATTACTTATTTTCATATACATCTGTGTCATGATGTATATGAATTTAGTGACCTAATATTAGGATAAGAAGCAGGAGAATACAGGCATACCACGTTTTATTGCATTTCACTTTATTGTGCTTTGCCAATACTGCGTTTTTAATAAATTGAAGGTTTATGGTAAGCCTTTGTAAAACAAGTCTTTCAGCTCCATTTTTCCAACAGTATGTGCTCATGTATCTGTCACATTTGGTAATTCTTGCACTATTTCAGACTTTTTCATTATCATTATATCTGTTTTGATAACCTGTGATCAGTGATCTTTGATGTTACTATTGTGATTGTTTGGGGGTGCCACAAACCATGCCTCTATTAGACAGTGACTTTAATGGTTAAATGTTGTGCGTGTGTTCTGACTGCTCTACTGACCAGTCGTTCCCCATTCTCTTTCCCTCTCCTTGGGCCTTCCTATTCCCTGAGAGACAACAATATTGAAATTAGGCCAATTGATAACTCTACAATGGCTTTTGTAAATGTTCAAGTGAAAGGAAGAGTCACACATTTCTCATTTAAATCAAAAGCTAGAGATGATTAAGCTAGTGAGGAAGGCAAGTTGAAAGCTGAAATAGGCTGAAAGTTCTCTTGCATCAATTAGCCATGTTGTGAATGCAAAGGAAAAGTTCCTGAAGGAAATTAAAATTGCTACTGCAGTGAATACAGGAATGTTAAGAAAGTGAAACAGCCTTATTGATGATAAGGAGGAAGATTTAGAGGTCTGCAAACAAGATCAAAGTAACTATAATATTACCTTAAACCAAATACTCCAAAGCAAGGCCCTAACTTCAATTCTGTGAAGGCTGAGAGAGGTGAGGAAGCTGCACAAGAAAAGTTTGAAACTAGCAGAGGTTGGTTCATGAAGTTTAAGGAAGGAAGCCCTCTTCATAATATAAAGGTGCGAGGTGAAACAGCAAGTGTTGATGTAGAAGCTGTCGGGTTATCCAGATGATCTAGCTAAGGTAATTGATGAAGGTGGCTATATTGAACAAAAGATTTTCAACTGAGATGAAATAGCCTTCTACTGGAAGAAGATACAATATAGGACTTTCACAGTTAAAGCTTCAAACCGTCAAAGAATAGGCTGACTTTCTTCTTAAGGGCTAATGTAGCTGATGACTTTAAATCGAAGCCAGTGCTCATTTACCATTTCAAAAATCCTAGGGATCTTTTGAATTTTGCTAAATCTAGTCTGCCTATGCTCTGCAAATGGAACAACAAAGCCTAGATGACAGCACATCTATGGACAGCACATCTTTATGGCATGGTTATAAGCCCACTCTTGAGACTGACTGATCAGGAAATATTCCTTTCAAAATATTACTGCTCATTGACAATGCACGTGGTCACCCAAGAGCTCTGATTGAGGTGTACAAAAGATGAATGTTTTTATGCCATGTCTGCCAACACAATATCCATTCTGCAGCCCATGGATCAAGGAATAATTTTGACTTTCAAGTTCTATTTTTTAAGAAATACATTTCCTAAGGCTGTAGCTGCCGTAGATAGTGATTCCTCTGATGAATCTTGGCAATGTAAATTGAAAACCTTCTGGAAAGGATTCCTCATTTTAGATGCCATTCAGAACATTCATTATAACGAGAGTAGGTCAAAATATCAACATTAACTGGAGTTCATAAGAAGTTGATCCCAGCCCTCATGGGTGACTTCGAGTGTTCAAGACTTCAGTAGAGGCCTAGACTTGAGACTTTAAAGTTGTATGTGTCATTCTGGTTTTGACCACAGTACCAAGTCCACAAGTTAGCTTACTAGATAATCTAGTTTTTTTGGCTTTACTGAGACAAGAGTTGCAGATGTTATGGTTGTAATGAAATGTAAGTGGTTTTATTATGTGATTTTTTTTTTTTTTAACTATTCAATATCAGTTTTCTGAATTTAATAACAAATTTATATGAAGTCCTTTTTGGAACAAAGTAAGATATAAGCAAATGTTTTAGGAAATTCAAATTGGTTTTTGGTAAAGTTTGTTATACAAATTTAGTGTTAAAATTTTTGTTCATTATGTTTTAATAATTGTAGAAGTTGCAATGTGAGGAAAAAATATTAACAAAAATCAATTTTAATAGCATTTCTTTTATTCTTCCAGGAAGTGGAAAAGCATTGTCGCTGTGGAAAGCATACAAAACGAATGCCTTGTCATAAACCTTATCTGTGTGAAACTAAGTGTGTTAAGATGCGTGACTGTCAGAAGCATCAATGTAGAAGAAAGGTTTGTGTATTAACCTTGGAAACCTCTGATTTAAAGACTATATTGAATTTCTCCATTTTGGGCCCAAATAAGTGCTGTCTTGAATTGTTTCTCAAATGTTCAGGCATATGCTTTCCTTTAATATATTAATAAATATTCTAGATTAAGCTTAATCTAGGTAATTTTTGTACTAGTGGGAATTGTACCAATTTTTTCAAATGAGAATAGTTTCTTGTCCTGTGCATTGTCCTCTCAGCTTGATATTTCTGATCACTATTTCTGATCACTGAAATGTATGATTTTCATACATTTTATATTTGTGTATTTTATAAACCCCAAATACATTGTCTTTACTTTTGCTTTAAATAATCAGTTATCTTTTAAAGAGCTTGAAAAAATAAGAAAAAGTAATTTTTGATATTTATCATCATACTTACTTAGGTGCTTTTCATCTTTTTGTATAGATTCACATTTCCATCACATTTCATTTTTTTTTTTCTATTCTGAAGGATTTCCTTTAACATTCCTAGTAGTGCTGGCCATGAATTCTTTCAACTTTGTATGTCTGAATATACCTTGCTTTAGTCTTTGTGAAAAATATTTTTACTTTAGAGTTCTAGTTTGGCAGTTTTTAACCCCCATACTTAAAAGGTATTGCTCTACTATCTTTTAGCTTGCATTTTTTCCAATAAGTAGTATGCTGTGATTGTTGTATCTGTTCCTCTGTACTGATTGTTTCTCTTTTTTTCTGTCTGGTTATTAAGATCTTTCTCTTTATCACCAGTTTACAGCAGTTTGTTTCTGGTGTTCCTTGGTATGGTGTTCTTTATGTTTCTTAACCTAGTTTTCATCGAGCTGCTTAGATCTGTAGGTTTATAGTTTTTATTATATTTGTGAAATTTTTGTTTTTTATTTCTTCAGATTTTTTTTTCTGTTTTCCCCTACCCGTCACCTTCTGAGACTTTAAGGACATGTATGTTATATGCTGCTTGAATTTCCAAGTTCACTGATACTATTTATTTTTCAGTCTGTTTCTGTTTTAGTTTATATAGTTTTGTCTTCAACATTGCTAATTTTCTTCTGCATTGTCTAATCTGCTTTTTATCCCATCCTGTGTTTTTCATCTGAGAAGTTGTGTATTTTCATCTCTAGAAGTTGGATTTGGGTCTTTTTTATATCTTCCGTGTTTCTCCTTAGCATGTTCATGCTTCCTCTATCTACTTGAATGTGAGATAGGCTATATTTGTAATGTCTGTTTTAATATCCCTGTGTACTAATTCTGTCATCTCTCATTTCTGAGTCTGTTTCTGTTTATTGACTTTTCTGCTTTTTTGGGGTTATGTTTTCCTGCTTCTTTGTCTGCTAGATGATTTTTGATTGTTACTAGACATGAACTTTACATTTTTGGGTGCTGGTTCTTTTTGTTTGTTTATTTGTATTTCTTTAAATATTTTTAAGCCTTATTCTGGGGCAAAGTTAAGTTACTCAAAAACTGTTTGTTCTTTCAGAGGCTTGATATTTTTAAGTGTGACCGGAACACTCTTTTGTTTAGGGCTAATTTGGCCCCATTACTGAGGCAGTAAGTCTTCTAAGTACTCTACTTGATGCCCAGGTATTAGAAGGTCCTTCTATTCTGGCTGTAAGGAACACAGACTTTTTCCCAGCCTTGTGTGATCTCTTGAAATTATTCTGCCTTCTCCTTCCAGTGGTTCTTTCTCAGCTTTTGGATTGTTTCCTCTCACACACATACAGACCAGTACTCAGCCAAAGACCCAAGAAGTTCTTTCTGGAGTTCTTCAGAGCTTTTTCTGTACTGCTGCCTTCTCTGCACAAATTCTAGCCACACTGGCCTCTCTGAACTACGAATTTTGCCTACTCAACTTTATGAGACAGCCAGATTCTGCTTATGATCTTCCTCCTTGTGCTATAGCCAGAAGTCTTCATGTGTAAGCTGATAGCATTGCAAGACTTACCTAGTTTGTTTCCCTTCTGTTAGGGACTGCCATCTGTGCTGCCTCATTATCTAATACCTGAAAACTGTAGCTTCATATCTTTTATGTGGTTTTCTAGTGGTTTGAGACAGGAGTGTAAATCTGGTTGTTGTTACTCCATCATAACTCAAAACAGAAGTGTCTATTGGCTTATTCAAGTCATGGACCACATAATCTTTTCCCCCACTGGCAAAGTGATAGGATAGGCACATAGTATTACTCAATAAACACTTGTCTAATTGAATAAACTATATTGCCTCTTTTTTTTTTTTTGAGACGGAGTCTTACTCTATCGTCCAGGCTGGAGTGCAGTGGTGTGATCTCGGCTCACTGCAACCTCTGCCTCCCATGTTCAAGCAATTCTCCTGCCTCAGCCTCCGCAAGTAGCTGGGACTACAGGCACGCACTACCATGCCTGGCTAATTTTTGAGAATAAACTGTATTGACTTAATTGCTTTTTAATAATGTACATTTTGTTTTTAGCTATTTTTATATAATGAAACTTACTCTTATATACAACCCTAAGTTTCTTTAAGACAATTGTAGTCTGTATTTCCTTTCCAAAGTTAGGTAAGTAAGAAGTTAAGGAAAGAGTTAAGATGGCAATATAGACTTGAAGTAGTTGACTGGTGTCCATGATTGAAAAATTAGGACAGGTCATAGATAGCTATATTTCTCACAGACACGGAAGTGTCTGTGAAACCAGGGAAGTGACAAAGAAAGCTGGATGCAAGTAGCCTATCTCTGCTTCTCTTCTTTAATCTCTTAATCTATGGTTTGAAAATAACTGCCAAACGAAGCCAGGAGCAGTGGCTTATGTCTATAATCCAAGTACTTTGGGAGGCCAAGGCAGGCAGATCGCTTGAGCTCAGGAGTTTGAGAGCAGCCTGGGCAACATGGCAAAACTCCATCTCTACCAAAAATACACAAACTACTGAGGTGTGGTGGGGAGAGCATGTAGAACTAGGTACTCAGAAGGCTGAGGTGTGAGGATGGCTTGAGCCTGGGAGGTGGAGGTTGCAGTCAGTCAAGACTGTGCCATTACACTCTAACCTGAGACAGAGCCAGACTCTGTCTCAAGAAAAAAAAAAAAAAGAAAAAAAGAAAAAGAAAATAAATAACTGCCAAATGAATCTATACGTTGAATTTGATTTTAATTAAATTTTTTTTAAAAACCAGACTAATTGTTTTCCTGAATTGACATTCCTTTGGTTAATGTTGTTAGTCTCTGCATAGATAAAGGAATGAAATTATCTGATGGAAATGTTTTGAATCATAGAATAATTAACTGAAAGTCAGGAAAATTTAGCTTGATTTGTTAAATTAGGTCATCATAAGTTCTTAGTGAAGTATGTTTACTTACCAGAAGAATGTTGATATTCTTGAATACTTCTTTTAGTGAAAAGTGTATCTTTTGCTTTCCATAAGTTCTGTAACTAGTAATGACATGCCTATTATTCATGGGTTTTTGAATTACCTGTTCTTTATATATTGCTTTCTCTTCAGTGTTGCCCTGGAAACTGTCCACCTTGTGATCAAAACTGTGGACGGACTTTAGGATGTAGAAACCATAAGTGTCCATCTGTCTGTCACAGAGGTAAACTTTAATAATAGCTATGATTTTATGTTTGTAGTGATGTAGTGGTTTTTTTTTTCATTGTCAATATTCAATATAATGTATTGAAATAGCGTTTTATAGTCATTATCTCACTTGACTCTCTTAACCTGGAGAAGAAGGTAAGGCAGTTTGCCAGTGTCTCTATTTTATAGGCAAAGAGGTTGAAGCTTAAGAGGGTTCAGTAACTTACTCAGGGAAATGTCTAGTACATTTGAACCCAGGATTTCTGTATATAAAAGTATTGTCCTTTCTATAACACCATATTGTTTTCCCACTTCCTGACTTTCCCCACATAATTTTTTAATCAATGAAGGTGTTCATAGCATTTTGAACACCTTATTTATTCTGAATTTTATATACTTATTTGTAGTTAAATCTAGTAAAGGATTAGATATGTCCGAAGCTGGTGATTTTTAAACATTTTGATGTCATGACCCCTTTACAATCCTTTGGTCCCCAAAGGGCTTTTGTTAATGTGAGTTTTATTCATTGACATTTATTGTATTTGAAATTAAAATAAAATGTAATAATATTTATTATTTTTTAAAAATAGCAGTAATAAACCCATTATATCTTAATACAAATAATGTTTTATGAAAAATAACTATTTTCTGAAAAAAGTAGAAAATTTTACATTTTTACAAATGTCTTTAATGTCTAGCTTAACAGAAAATAGCCGGATTCACATATATGCTTCTGTATTCAGTCTGCTATGGACATCACTTTTCACTAGCTTCTGGAAAACTATGCATGTGAGACCTTGCAGACCTCCTGAAAGGGTCTCAAGAACCACTAGGGTTCCTGGACTATACTTTGAGAATTATGTTATAAGTTATTACTAGACATTAAAAACTGAGTTAACTTCACTCATTTGGATTATGTTGATATGAAATGGAATCTACTGAGATATGGTATACAGTATTGGAAAGATCGTGGACTTAGAGTAAGAAATCCTGGATTTAAGCCTAGACTCTGCCATTTAGTAGTTTAATACCTAGAACAAACTACTGAACTGTTTCTCAGTTGATCTCCCTATCCTTTCAGAAATCCTGCAGCATATAGGGATATGTGGAACAGGCCGGGAGACTATTGGCCCAAGGTTAATAGAACTAGTCGCAGAGTCAGGATGTGAACCCAGTGTTTATGTTATTTCCATTATACTACATTCCTTCCCCATTAGGAAAAGTGTCAGATTCTATTTACCCTGTAGACATTTCCTGTAGGTGTTCTTTGATTTGTCAGTGAAGTTTAGAAATAGTTTTTCAGGTATGCTCTCACCAACACTAGAAAGATTTTATTTTCTTTTATAGTCATTACATCACTGACCCATTGAGTTTTTGCAGATTTTTGCAAACTACATCTCTGTGATATAACTGGTTTAACAGTAGTAAATCTAATATTATGTAATTTACCACATTAAAAGACCAAAGGAGGAATGAGATCATCTTGATAAATGTCTAACATCTATATAAGATAAAAATTTAATTGGAAATAGACATATCCTTAACCTGATAAAGAGTATCTGCAAAAAGTTTAGAGCAAATATCATACTTACTGGAGAAGTGTTGGAAGCATTTCCCTGTCTCATATTTTTGTGAAGCAAAGCCCATAAATATTTCAGTATTTGTCTCTAAAAGATGGATTCTTAACCTAAATGTAGTTAACATATTTCTTCATATCAGCAAACATCTGGTTTTCAAATTTCTTGTTGTCTCATAAGTAACTTCATTTTTTACATCAGTTTATAGACTCAAAAACCTAATAAAATTGACATGTTGTAATTGGTTTTGTCTCTAAAGTCTTTTAATTTATAATTTCCATCCTCTATCTCCTTTTTTCCCCTTATGACTTATTTGTTGAAGAAACTAGGTTGCTTTATTTAGTTTCTCAGAGTCTGAGTTTTGCAGATTGCATCTCTGTGGTATTATTTAACATGTTCCTCTGTCCTCTATATTTTTGATAACCTGTTAATTGGATCTAGAGGTTTGATCAGATTCAGGTTTTGATATTTTTTGGTAGAGTGGTGTTTTTTTGTTTGTTTTGTTTTTATAGATTTCTATTAATCCTTAGAAAAGCTTATTAGTCACAACAAAATTTTCCTTGATGTAAAGTATGTGGAAGATGCTGTTGTGCAACTGTCAATATTTGTTTCATCTACAGTTATAAAAGAATGTGGAATCATAATTTCATACCATTTTTCCATCATTCTAGAATCCTTCATAATCAGAATTATACAGTAATTTATAGGGGGAATATACTAACTGCATGTTTGTGTTGTGGGTATGTGAAAATTTGATTTATAGTTTTGTTTTGTTCTTTGAGACGGAGTCTCTCTCTGTCACCAGGCTGGAGTGCAGTGGCGCAATCCCGGCTCACTGCAACCTCTGACTCCCCATTTCAGGTGATTCTCCTGCCTCAGCCTCCCGAGCAGCTGGCATCACAGGCATATGCCACCATGTCCAGCTAATTTTTGTATTTTTAGTAGAGCCGGGGTTTCACCATGTTGGCTAGGATGGTCTCGATCTCCTGACCTCGTGATCTGCCTGCTTCGGCCTCCCAAAGTGCTGGGATTACAGGCATGAGCCACAGCGCCCAGCCGATTTATAGTTTTTTTTTTTAAATTCAGGATCATCTGTGTTTATAGTTTTAGAACTACCCGAATCATGCCTATTTTGGCTATTAACTGGTATTGGTCAGTATAGTTATAGTCTCCCTATGCTATTTCTTCATTTTGAAAGTATTATGGAAGCTCTTTTAATTATAATAAATTCTGTTGGTCAGTAGGGAGACTGTTTAGAGAAATTGTCCCTTATTTTCAAGATGTAATTTAAATGTGATACTGTTGTTTAGAATAACAAAAAGGTTACGTTTGATAACAAAAAGGTTCCTCTGCTGAAGATGAATGAAAAATTGTCATTGTTAAGTATAGAAACAGATATAATATGCCGAATGAGAACCGACTTAAATATCACTATCAACTTTAAAAATACAACTTGTAGTCATTCTTTAGGTAAAATAAAAATAAAACTTGATATGTGGGTTAGGATAACTTGACTTGCATTAACATCAAGAATATATGTGTCAAAACACATTTGGTGTTTTGTATAATAAATGTTATGTTTGACCCTACGATGTTTTACCTCTAATCTTCTCTTTTTCTGTGTTCATTATTTGAATTATAATTCTTAATTTGTGTTTGTTTTAGGGAACTATTTTGAACTTCTAGAGGCACTTAAGCCAGGATATTGTCCATCTTTAATCTTTTTTTTATCAGGTTAACTCCCGGTCCATGTTTTGCTTGGTCCTGACACCTAGGCAACAGTCTCTTTAAGATATTCATTTCTTCATTGAAAACTCTTCTTCCTTTATTATTTCATTTCTGATAGAGTTCCTTACTGGGAAAACTAGAGTGGAAGAAAGCCCTTAAGATGATGACAGAACCTCTTGGAGCGAACTTTATAGCCTGCTTTAAAGATTTCTTTGATTTTGTTTTTTTATATTTTTGCCAACCCATAACAAAAGAGCGTAAAAAGCTGAAACCAAAATAACATTTTTTTTTATGTTTAGAAGAGAAATATTTGGGATTATATCCTAAAATGGTGGCTTAGTACTTAGTCTTTCACAAAGCACAATTAATGGAAAATTGACTGTGCTTGCTACTAACCAATATCAGGTCATGAGAAAGAAGTTATTGGGAATTCATCTAAAAATTGTGTACTTGGATAGATGTATGAAAGTAGGCCAACGATATTATTGTTAATGTTAAATTTTCCAAAGACTTAAATCCATTTTTGCTTGTTTTAGTTTTGAATGAGTAATGTGTTAAATTTGTTATTTAGAACAGAAGTTTTAGCACATTTTAGAGAAATGTCTAAAACTTTATGAGGTACCAGTGTACAGAGAAAAAAGTGTTATAAATCAGAGGCTGGGTGCAGTGGCTCACGCCTGTACACCCAGCATTTGGGAAGCTGAGGTGGGAAGATTGCTTGAGTCCAGGAGTTTGAGACCAGCCTGGATGACATAGTGAGACCCCTCCATCTCTATAAATAATCAAAAATTAGCTGGGCATGGTGGTGTGTGTCTGTAGTCCCAGCTACTTGGAAGGCTGACGTGGGAGGATTGCTTGAGCCCAGAAAGTTGAGGCTGCACTGAGCTGTGATCATGCAACAGCACTCAGCTTGAGCAACAGGTTGAGACCCTGTTACAAAAAAAAAAAGAGAAAAGTATTACAAATAAAAAGTATACAGCTTGTTGAATTTTTACAAACTGAACATAGCCAGGTAACCAAAACTTACATCATTAAACAGAACATGACCAAAATTTTCAACACCTTCCTTGCATCCTTCATAGCTATCACTCTGATTTTGAACAGTACATTTTTTCTTGTTTACTTTATATAAATGGAATCATGCACTATGTACTCCTTGTGTCTGGCTCAATGTTTTGTGGTAAGATTCATTCATGTTGTTGTAGTTTCTTCATTCTTGTTGTAGAGTATCCCATTGTGTGAATATACTAAATTTATGTATTTTACCATTAATAGGCATTTGGGTAGTTAAGGAAACTTTTTAATTGTCAGACTTTTTTTTCAGGCAGTTGCTATCCCTGCCCAGAAACCGTAGATGTGAAGTGTAATTGTGGCAATACAAAGGTGACAGTGCCCTGTGGCCGAGAACGTACCACAAGACCACCCAAGTGCAAGGAGCAATGCAGGTGAGTTTGAAGCTTTGCACAAGCTTCCATCTGATGTTGTACAAATTTAAATTCATATTGGCTTTTAATAATTTAATTTTGCTTTAGTGTTTTAAAATATTAATATTCACAGTATACTCATTCTATATGGAATCAGAAGATATGTAAATAGATAATTGTCCTTTAGATGTAATTATTCAATGACTAAAAGTAATTTTTGAAAATTGTACTTTATGATTTAGTCGACCACCAACTTGTCATCATACAAGTCAAGAAAAACATCGCTGTCACTTTGGTTCTTGTCCACCATGTCATCAACCTTGCCAAAAAGTTTTGGAGAAATGTGGTCACTTGTGTCCTGCTCCGTGTCATGATCAAGCATTAATAAAGCAGACTGGCAGGGTAAGGGAATAATACTATTAGAGAAATAGTGCATTGCTGTGGGTTGTACTTTCTTGCTTTTACTTAGTTTTTCAATGAGCAATGATTAAGCACTTATTGGGAAGCACTGTGCTTGGAGCAGGGTACAAGGTAATCAAGACTTGATTTTGTTTTAAGCAACTCACAGTGTAGGAAAGGAGTGAAACCATTGTTTGCAAATACAGTGTGATAGTTACATTATGATCATGATACAGGTGAATTTGGCAGTCCTCCTTCATATATTGTGGTTTAGGGTTATAGATATCTCCTATAATCTTATTTTAAAGATTTATTCACTTTTTAATATTTTATTTAATATTTATTTATTTTTAGTTATTTAATTTTTTTTTTTTTTGAGACGGAGTCTCACTCTGTTGCCCAGGCTGGAGTGCAGTGGTGTGATCTGGGTCACTGCAACCTCCACCTCCCGGGTTCAGTGACTCTCGTGCCTTAGCCTCCTGAGTAGCTGGGATTATAGGTGCCTGCTACCATGCCCAGCTAATTTTTGTAGTTTTAGTAGAGATGGGGTTTCAGCTTGTTGATCAGGCTGGTCTCGAACTCCTGACCTCAAGTGATCTGCCCGCCTCCGCCTCCCAAAGTGCTGGGATTACAGGTGTGAGGCACCACGTCCAGCCCAGCCTCATGAACATTTATTGAGCCCTTACTAAATATCAAGCTTTTTTTTAGGTGCTGAGGAACAACAGTGAGTAAAATGATGGAGATTATATTCAATTGCTAGATGTTGGAGTTTCCAATTGTTTTTCTCATTTCCTTATTGGAAGTAAAGGAGGCTACACTGCCTTTGTTCTACCATTTATAAACTGGATTCTGTCTCAGTTATTAATATCAAATGTCTGTGGAGAGGAACAATTTCATTTAATACAGATAAAATGAAATATTTCAGTAAGCACAATTTATTGATTATTTGAAAAAATTTCAACCTGCTTGAGCAGAGGATACATGGAACTATTTTCTTAGATTCTTAAAATGGCCATATGATTTAATCCCTCTGACTTAAAATTCTTATGTATTTTATTTGTAGCACCAGCCTACAGGCCCTTGGGAACAGCCTTCTGAGCCAGCATTTATTCAGACTGCATTACCGTGTCCTCCATGTCAAGTTCCTATTCCTATGTAAGTATTAGAATTTCAATTAAAAAAAAAAAACAAAAAACTTTTGACATAGCTTAAAGGGTATCTGAAGTCAATCTCCCTTTTTTCTTAGTTCAGTTCATTATTATTTCAGGCCTAGCCTATCAACTAGTGTGTCTGTCTTAACCTTCATTCTTTTCAAACATGTTTGTCATACTTGCATATAAACCTACTATAGATATCTTTTTTTGAGTCTTTACCCCCAGTTGGAGTTTGATGCCCTTCTTAGCTTTCCATAGCGAGTGCATGCAATTACAAAAACAAATCCAAGGAACATCATTTGTTACTTTTCCCGATGATTCCCATACTGGATTGTAAGCTCCCTGAAGACAGAAGAAAGCCAGGTTTTAGATAAGGCAAACTTGGGGAATATTTAAAGGAAGCCTTGGAAATGAGAGGAAGTAGTTTCCTGGATGGGCCAGTGAATGACTGGGACTGAGCTCTAAGGAGCTGAACCTACAGTAATACGGAATCCTGGAATTTTTTATACTTCCAGCAGAGGTTATGGAGTATAGGGGAAAAAGCACAGAATGCTGAGAAGCAACATAAAGTTAGAAAAGGGGCTGTTGTCTACAACTGAGGTGCCAAATTAAACATTGGTATTTCTGGTGTATTGGTCTTTTAAAGAGAGGATTGTTTTTGTTTTTTAATTCTAAAAGCTTTCATTTCCACAACATTCCTCCCAGTTGAAATAGCATGTATATTTTTGTGTATTGGTCACACAGTCAAGTTGGGAGGCAAAGTGTTGTTAGGAGATATATGCACAAATAGGGTAATTTTAGTCTGTAGATTTAATGGAGGTGGGCTGTGTAGTTAGCAGAGAGGTTTTTCATGTAGGTATTCAGTTATTTGAGACTATTCTTTTACTGAGGACTTAAGTTATAATCATGAGGAACCAAGTTGTTGCTAATATCTCTAAGTTAGAATTATTAGTGGCCTAAAATTTTTCCTTGAGAGAAACAGAAGAGACATTGATATTATAATTCATAGGCACGAAAATGTTGTCATAATTACCTGAGTAATTAGGTCATAAGTACCTAATTACCATTGAGTTCCTTAGTCTGTTTTTTTTTGTTTTTTTTTCTTTGAGACGGAGTCTCCGTCACCCAGGCTAGAGTGCAGTGGTTCAATGTCGGCTCACTGCAACCTTCTCTTTCCAGGTTCAAGATGTAGCACAGCATTTGACAGAATCTGACACACTTTCTTGATAAAAACACTCAAAAAACGTGGAAGAAAAGATAATTTTCTTAACCTGATAAAGGGCATCTGTGAAAAGCCCACACAGTTCACTAATACATCGTGGTGAAAGATTAAAAGTTTTCTCCCTAATAACAGGAACAAGACTAGGATGCCTGCTCCTGCCACTTCTTTCAAGATTGTACTAGAATTTTTAGCCAGAACAATTAGGCTAGAAAAAGAAATTAAAAATGTCTTTTTACTTGGAGTAAAGAAGAACTATTTGTATTTTCAGATGACATGATCTTGTGTGTGAAAAGTCTTAAGGAGTCCTCAAAAATGCTATTAGAGTTACTTAATGAGTTCATTACTGTTGTAGAAAACATCACTATACAAAGCCAGTGGAATTTCTGTACACTGGAAACAAACAATCTGAAAATGAAATTAAGAAAACAATTCCACTTATATAGTCTGAAAAGAACATTTTGTTTAAGAAATTCAATAAAAGAATATAAGATTTGTACCGTAGAAACTACAAAATCTAAATGAAAACCTAAAGAAAAAGCGCATTAACATTTATCCCTCACATAATTAGATTGGAAGTAGAACAGCTCTATAGTTGTTTAATTTGGCTCATTCAGTCACACATCATCAAGAGCTCAGATTGTCTTTCCATTTTGTTATCCTCAGTGTGTCATCTTTGACCTCAGGCTGTTTGCCTTTCTGTTAACTTCTCAACCCAGACATGAAAGTTTCCAAAGGGAGAAATGGAAATGTGTATGCCTTCTGTGTGTCATCATCATCACCTTTTCCTTTTCTTCTTTTCTTTTTTTAAAGGGTAAGGAAACTTCTCCGAAGCTCCACAGGAGAACTCTTTTGACATTTCATTAGACCATTTTTAAGCCAGTCCCTGGAAAGGGAAATGATGTGTTTATTTTCTTAAATAGGTTTTATTTTTTAAGAATGTGTTCACATTTACAGAGAAAATTGCACAGAAAGTATAGAGAGTTCCTATGTGTGCCCCCATACCACAGTTTTCTCTATTACCAACTTTCATTAGTGATACAATTTACAGTTGAGAAACCAATATTGGTACTTTATCATTAGCTAAAGTCCACAGATTACATTAGGATTTACTTTCTGTGTTGTATGGTTCTGTGGGTTTTAACAAATGTGTAATGTCATGTATTTACTATTATAGTTTCATACAGAATAGTTTCACTGCCCTAAAAATGCCCTGTGCTATACCTGTTCAACCTTCTTTTCCCCTCCCCGTCTCAAACTCCTAGCAACCATGTATCTTTTTACTATCTCTGTAGTTTTGCCTTTTCCAGAATGTCAATAGTTGGACTTTTACAGTGTATAGCATTTTCAGACTGGCTTCTTCACTTAGCAATATGGTTTTATGGTTCCTCTGTGTCTTCTCATGGATTGGTAGCTCATTTATTTTTATCATTGAATAATAATACATTGCATAAAGGTACCATAGTTTGTTTATCCATTTACCATAGAAGAACATTTTGGTTGCTTCCAAGTTTGGCAATTAAGAATAAAGCTGCTATAAACATTTATGTTATGTGCAGATTTTTGTGTAGACATAAGTTTTCAGCTCATTTGGGTAAATACTTAGGAGTGTAATTGCTGGATCACATGGTAAGACTTTGTTTAGCTTTGTAAGAAGCTGTCAAACAGTTTACTAAAGTGTCTGAATCATTTTGCATTCTCACAACAGTGAGTGAGAATTGTTGTTGCTCTTTATTCTCACCAACATGTGGTATTGTCAGTGTTTTGGATTTTAGCCATTCTATTTTTAATTGATACATAATAATTATACATATTTATAGGAAATGTAATGCTGTTTCAGTACATACAGTGTGATATACAGTGATCAGATCAGGGCAATTAGCGTATCCATTATCTCAGACACCATTTCTTTGTTTTGGGAACATTCAGTATCCTCTTTTCTAGCTATTTGAAAATATATATTATTGTTAACTATCGTTATCTGTAACTATAGTTATAGATATCTATATCTATAGATATCCATTGTTATAGGTAACTATTGTTATCTATAGTTAACAATAGATAACAGTAGTTTTATAGCACTGTAAGATAACTATAAAACCCCAGAACTTGTTCTTCCTATCTAGCTGTAATTTTGTTTTTTAACAAATCTCTCTTATCCCCTCCTCCCTCTACCTTTTCCATCCTGTAACTATTCTGCTTTTTATTTCTATAAGATCAACTTTTTAGCTTCTACATGTGAGAACATGCAGTGTTTAATTTAACATGCAGTGTTTAATTTCCTGTTCCTTTTTGCGTTTTTTTTTTTTTTTTTTTTTTTACTCATTAATTAGGTTTACTGTTTACTATGGGCACAGTTTGTGGCACCCCAAAAGAATCCAATAGTAACATCAAAGATCGCTGATTACGGATCACAATAACAGATATAATAAAAAAGAAAAACTTTGAAATAATGCAAGAATTATATGAAAATTGTCATAGAGACATGAAGTGAGCACATGCTATAGGAAATATGGCACTGATACATGTGTTCCACATAGAGTTTCCACAAATTCTTTTTTTTTTCATTTTTATATTGCGTTATTTGCTTTCTTATTGAGTATATTTTGAAGACAAGTCCTTTACCAGCTGTGCATTTTCCAAGTATTTTCTGCCAGTCTGTGGCTTATCTTTTTAACCTTTTTTTTTTTTTTTTTTTTTTGAGACTGGATCTCAGTTCTGTCACCCAGGCTTTTCATGGAGAAGGAGTGCAGTTGCTTCATCACAGCCCACTGCAGCCTGCACCTCCTGGGCTCAAATGATCCTTCAACCTCAGCTCTACCCCCAACCCCCTAGTACCTGGGACTAGGCGTGCACTATTATGTTCAGCTAATTTTTTTTAATTTTAATTTTTTGTAGAGACAGGGATTCATTATGTTGCTCAGGCTGGGCTTGAAACTCCTGTGCTCAGGTGATCCTCCTGTCTCAGCCTCCTAAAGTGTAGGGATTACAGGTGTGAGCCACTGCACCCAGCCTTTGTGGCTTTTCATTCTCTAAATGTTCTTTTCAGAGCTGTAATTTTTAGTATAATGACGTCTATCATCCATTTTTATTTCATGGATTGTGCTTTTGGTGTTGTATCTAAAAGTCATAATTAAACCCAAATTACCCAGATTGTCTGTGTTTTATAGTTTTGCATTTTACATTTAGAGCTGTGATTCATTTTGAGTTAACTGTTGTGAAAGGCTTAGGGTCTGCCTAGGTTTTTTTTGCAAGCAGGTGTCTATTTGTTCCAGCATGAATCATTTATTGAAAAGAATTTCCTTTCTTCATTCAATTACCTTTGCTCTTTTGCCAAAGATCAGTAGACTATGATTTGTGTGGTTCCATTTCTGGTCTCTCTGTTCTCTTCCATTCATTTATTTGCCTATTCTTTAATCAGTACCATTCTGTCTTGATCACTGTAGCTTTATAGTAATTCTTGAAGTTGGGTGGTGTCAGTCTTTGGACTTTGCTTTCTTTTGTATTGTGTTGGCTGTTCTGGGTCTGTTATCTTTCTATATAGACTTTAGAATCAGTTTGTTGATATATACAAAATAACTTGCTGGGATTTTGATTGGAATCATGTTGAATCTGGATCAAATTGGAAATAAACTACATCTTAATAATTTTGAGCCTTCATAACTGTGAACATGGAATATTGCTTCATTTATTTAAATCTTTGATTTCTTTCATCAGTATTTTGTAGTTGTCCCATAGAGATCTTGTATATATTTTGTTAAATTCATACCCAAGTATTTCATTTTTTGTGCTAATGTAGTGTTATGTTTTTAACTTCAAATTCTAATTGCTCATTGCTACTATATAGGAAATCAGTTGACCTTTGTATATTAACTTCGTGTCCTGTAACTTTACTATAATTGCTTATTCCATATGTATTTATTTTTTTAATGCTAGTAGAGTTAGCATCTTTAGGTATTATTTTTGAATAATTTGTAATGTTTTCATTTTATTTTATTTTTTCCTTGTAGGGAATGTCTTGGGAAACATGAGGTAAGTTACAGGCACAATTTTTAAGTAAAGCTTATAATCTATACTGTTACATACTAGTATAACTTTACTAGAGTTGTTAGAAATAACAAAGTCAAAGTATTGTTATTTTACTGTTATAAAGAGTACAAGAGTTTATCTACTAATTTAAAAAATATGTAGTGCCTTTATTTGAGAATTAGCCTGTGGATATGCATTCACTACAGAATCATATTGAATTTTCCTTTTAGGAGGAGAACATTTTGCTTCTTGGCATTCATTACTTTGAAATATTTTGACAGGTTACTTTGATTTTGATATTATTATTATTCGTGCAAACTTATACCTTTCTGAAACTTGTTCTCAAATGATAGCAGAGTAATTTTGGAAACATATAATATGTCCAGAAACGTTTGAGTAATGTGTGCTGTGCTGATTTCCTTTATTTTTTAAGGTGAGTCCACTACCATGCCATGCTGTAGGACCCTACTCTTGTAAAAGAGTTTGTGGAAGAATCTTGGATTGTCAGAATCACACATGTATGAAAGAATGCCACAAAGTAACCAAAACTGATGGCTGCACTGGAAAAAACAAGGTAATGTTCTTAGATTGAATGTATATCTGCCCATAGTATTCTTGAAACGTTTTTTCAACAGTTATACCATAAATATTTTTCTGTTTTGCTTTAGCTTCCTGTCTCTTTTTTTGCCCTCATCCCTTCTCCTTCTTTTCCTTTCCTAAGACAGCTGGCCTTAGACAGCTTGGTGTGTATAGTTCTGTGTCTTTATTCCAGCTCATAATAATGTGCCTTTTAATGTGGAACCCTTTACATACTGTACCTGTGTTAATACATAGGATATGGTTTTATGATAAAAATACATAGGTTATGTATCTTCTTAGATAGTAAGTAAGAGTATCACCTCCATTTCTCTCTGTTCATATCTGAGTTTAGAGCATTTACTCTAAGTTAGTTTTCAAACCTGACACACAGGATGGATGATGTTCATAATTTTAATAAATTTAAATAAATTCCCAATCTTTTGTTAAAAGTAAAATAAATGGCATCACAGATGAGCAGTGTTTCTGTGTGTATAATTAACTAAAAGCATTTTACAAGTGTATGAGAACTCAGCTTTTCAAAGATCTCTGAAAATTGTCATCTTACAAGGAAAAACAAATGTAGCTAGTGTTAAACTTTAGTTTTAAAATAATTTTTTTCTAGACTTCCGTTCTGTAGGGAGTTGTAATACTAGTGTCTAAATGAGAAATAGGCCAGAAAATTTTAAGTGTCACTTTATTATTAACATTAAATTTACAACTATTTAAATTATTAATATGACTTATGTTATTGAAAATTTTAGTTGCGTCGTTAGGTTATTTTTTTGGTCTTTAATTTATAATACATGACAACATAGGTATTCTTCTTTTTCATGTGCAAACATGTGTAAATGTATTGCTTTTAATTTCTTCATTGATCCATGCCTTGACCCTCAAAAATGTACTCATGATAAAACAAAAAAGATGCTAGAATTATAAAATCAAACTAACAAATAATGATACAAAATCATTTTAACTAGTTAGGGTGTAGCTGCTGTATGGCTTCCCTCTTCCAGATTTCCAGAATACGGAGTGAGTCAGAAAAAGCTTATTTTCAAAGCTGATATGACTATTAGAGATTTATTGTGGATTATCCCCAAATTGCTTCCTGGGTTAAAGCTTCTGTTTTTCTTTTTAAATGAGAACTGCGTATGATATTTGACAGATGGACTTGCTGTATTTCTTAACTAAGATAGTCTTTCCTAGAAGATAGAACTTGATATTGGAAGTGATCCAGGAAGATAATTTAGTAAGTGTAGATTCAGTGATTTTTTTTGTTTCTGCCATAGCTGGAAGGAGCTCATATTCTAAGTATACTCTTTGTTTTGCAGATAGGGAAACTGAAGCTCTGTGATTTGTCCATGATTCTGCAACAGGAGAGTAGCAAATCAGAAAGTACTGTGCCTGATCTTTTAACTCCCAGCCCAATGTGCTCTTCTACTCATGTTATTTAAATAGAAGATTTTTGTAGGTGTACCACATAGGAAGAGCAAATGAAATAAACTCTTTAGGTGAACTTTGGTTCTTTTTGCATATTTTGTTACTCACTGCCTAATATTTGCTCAGTCTTTCCCATCTCAGAAAGTCATTTTACCGTTTTTACCCAGTTGTGCAGATCAAAGACATAGGAATCATGCTTGATTTCTTTCTTGTCTTTGTTGTCCTTTTCCCACAGAAAATCCTGTTAGGTTTGTCATCAATAGATCCTGAATCTGACAGTTTCTCATAACCTGTACCACTACCACCCTCATCTAAGCCACCATTACCTTTGACTTAGATTTCTGCAGTAATTTCCTAACCAACATTTCTACTCACTTTGTTTTACTGCATCAGCCAGATTAATCTTCTAAAAAATTTAAATCAAGTATCATCTTTCTGCTCCATATCCTTTGGTAGTTTTCAGTCACTCTCAGACCAAAATTTAAATCCTTTTCAATGGCCTGTAAAGGCTCAGTAATGATCTAACTCCTGACTATCTTTCCCAACTTTCATCTGACTTCTCATCACTCTCTTGCTTACTCACTTCTGCCTCTGTTCATCCTGTTACTTGAACATTCCACATTTGTTTTTTCTTAGACCCTTTGTACTTGTTCCTTTCCTCTGGAGCTCTCCTTTCTGGTTGTTCTCTCCTTCATTTAACTCAATTTCTATTCACATGTGATCTTTATCAGTCAGGCTTCCTTCTTGTTGCTGCCATCACTCTTTCTTATCCTGCTTTATCTTTCTTCAGAGTAGTTACGAAGACATTATATTCATGTTCTTTACCTCCTCACATAAATGTAAGTTCCAGGAGCCTATCTCATGTCTTCCCAGTGCCAAGAACAATGCCTGGCACATGTTTTTAAAAAATAATTTATAAAATAATATTTTTATAATTTGAAGCACTGTTTCTTTTTAATCCTATATGTCAAAAAATAGCTTAGAATTTTATAATAACTGTTGTAATCATGGCTTCTCTTTGGAATGATAATAAAAATGTTTGACCTTTAAGATTTAGTATCCATGTCTATAGCTCTCTTATTTTACCTCAAGTATGACGTGAGAAAACAATATCCTGAAATAAGTATTTTTAACCTTCTTTAGTAGATTATAATGCTAGTTAACATTATTAAATCACTAGAGAAAAGGGAGGTGCCTTGTTAAGTTACGTTGAGGTACATTTATTTGTAAAATGTAATTTAACTTTAATTCATTGATGTGCATTAAAATATAAACTACTGGTCATTCTTTTTTCATTGTATATGTGTTTCTCTTTGGCAAGATGAGATAATTACCTCCAGACTGTTTAGTGCTTTGGAATTTTTATTTATGTGTTAACAGTGTATTGATTTCTTTAGTTCAGTGTTGATTATCGTATAGAAATGAATGAACATTCTTACTCTGTATATTTTATTTCTGTCTTTGACGATTCTTTAGGAAGTAATTTACATTTTTAGTGGGATACTTTATATAGTCCATTTTAAGGTTCCTTTAAAAATGAGGCAGTTTGACTTAATGAGGCTCATAGGCAAAAAAATCTATATGAATAATAGTCATATTGACAATCTTGCTGTTCTTTAGTTTGAATATTTTTAAGATAAATGAGAGCATGTACCGTTTGATTAACTCTGTTTCTAAGAACTGCAGAAGTACTTTATTTTAATGGGATATATAAATTTTATAACTGTAACATATGGAAATGTTAGGCTTACCTTGTACTTAGGTGATTTATTTCCATGCTGTTTTTCAGGCTGGCCCAGAATGCCTTCATTGTGAGGAAGGGTGCTCCAAGTCACGGCCACTAGGTTGTCTTCACCCATGTATTTTGCGATGTCACCCTGGAGAATGTCCACCTTGTGTTCAGATGCTTAGAATAAAATGTCACTGTAAGATCACAAGCCTGTATGTGGAATGTAGGTAAGTAGACTGAAAAAAAAGTCTTATTTTATTACAATTAGTTGAATTGGTATCTTTTTATAATTAAGAACCCTTTATAGTGTACTTTGCTTAAACTCTAGATGCCTAGATTTTCCAGTAGAGACCTGGAAGGAAGACATGTAGAATACTACACTTTCTGGGTACTTCATCCTGAATTCAAACAGGGAAATTGTGCTTTTTTTCCATTTCGGGATTCTGTATAAGATTTTGTTATGAAAAAAATGGTTTCACTGCTTTTAAAAAAAATTTAAATACTCCTATACCTGATAGTTTGACTATGTCAAATTAGAATTTTTTTCAATCAAAATTTGACTTGTACATACAGGCACACCTTGTTTTATTGGACTTCACTTTATTGTACTTGGCAGATACTGAGTTTTTTACAAATTGGAGTTTGTCAACCTGCATTGAGCAAGTCTATTGATGCCCTTTTTCCAACAGCATATGTTCATTTTGTGTCTCTGTCACATTTCGATAATTCTCACAATATTCAAGCTTTTTCATTTCATATCTGTTATGATAACCTGTGATCAGTGATCTTTGATGTTTCCATTGTAATTGTTTTGGGGTGCCATGAACTGCACTTCTGTGAGACAGTGAATCATTGATAAATATTGTGTGTGATTGAACTGCATCACTAGCAGTTCCCCTATCTCTCTACCTCTTCTTGCGCCTACTTATTCCAAGAAACAACAGTATTGAAATTAGGCCAATTAATAACTCTACAGTGGCCTCTAAGTGTTCAAGTGAAAGGAAGAGTTACATGTCTGAGTTTAAATCAAAAGCTAGAAATGATTAAGCTTAGTTGAGTCATGTCAAAAGCTGAGATAGGCTAAAAGTTAGGTCTCTTGCACCAAACAGTTAGCCACGTTGTGAATGCAAAGGAAAAATTCTTAAAGGAAATTAAAGTTCATTCCAGCGAACACAGAATGATAAGAAAGCAAAGCAGCCTTATTGCTGATATGGAGAAAGTTTTAGTGGTTTGGATAGAAGATCAAAGCAGCCACAACATTTAGAGATGTTCCTAACTCTCTTCAATTCTGTGAAGACTGAGAGAGATGAAGAAGCTGCAGAAGAAAAATTTGAAGGCAGCATAGGTTGGTTCATAAGGTTTAGGGAAGAAGCCATCTCCATAACATAAAAGTGCAAGGTGAAGCAGCAAGTGCTGATGCAGAAGCTGCAGCAAGTTATCTAAGAAGGTTTAGATAAGATCATTGATGAAGGTGGCTACACAAAACAACAGATTTCCAATGTAGACAAAACAGCCTTCTGTTGAAAGAAAATGCTATCTAGGACTTTCATAGTTAGAGAGAAGTCAGTGCCTGGCTTTAAAGTGTCAAAGGACAGGCAAACTCTCTTGTTAGGGCCCTAATGCAGCTGGTGACTTTAAATTGAAGCCAGTACTCATTTACCATTCTCACAATTATGCTAAATCTAGTCTGTGCTCTATGAATGGAACAACAAAGCCTGGATGACAGTATATCTGTTTACAGCATGGTTTACTGAATATTTTAAGCCCACTGTTGAGACCTACTGATCAGAAAGATTCCTTTAAAAATATTACTGCTCATTGACAATATACCTGGTTACCCAAGAGCTATAATGGAGATATACAAGGAGATGAATGTTGTGTTCGTGCCTGCTAACACAACATCCATTCTGCAGTCCATGGTTCAAGGAGTAATTTCAACTTTCAGGTCTAATTTTTTGAGAAATAAATGCCAGATGTAGGTGGTGATTTCTCTGATAGATCTGGGTAAATTGAAAACGTTCTGGAAAGGAGTCACCATTCTAGATGTCATTAAGAACATTCATGTCAACAGGAACAGGAGTTTGGAAGAAGTTGATTCCAGCCCTAATAGATGACTTTGAGGGGTTCAAGACTTCAGTGCAGAAAGTAACTGCAGATGTGGTGGAAATAGCAAGAGGACTATAATTAAAAGTGGAGCCTATAGATGGGACTGAATTGTTGCAATCTCATGATAAAACTTGAACAGATGAGAAGTTGCTTCTAATGGATGAACAAAGAAAGTGGAATCTATTCCTGGTGAAGATACTGTGAACATTGCTGAAATGACAGCAAAGGATTAGGATTTAGAATATTACCCAAACTTAGTTGATAAAGCAGCAGCAGGTTTGATAGGAATTTTGAAAGAAGTTCTACTGTGGGTAAAATGCTATGAAACACAGCATCACATGCTACAGAGAAATCTTCCTGAAAGGAAGAGTCAATTGATGCAGCAAACTCTATTGTCTTATTTTTTTTAATTGCCATAGCCACCTCAATCTTCAGCAGCCACCACCCTGATCAGTCAGCAGCCATAAACATCTAGGCAAGATGCTCCATCTGTGAAAACATTAAGACTGACTGAAGGCTCAGATGAGTGTTAGCAGGTTTTAGTAATAAAGTATTGTTAAGGTATACACATTGTTTTTTATGATGTAATGCTATTGCATACTTAGTATATTGCAGTATTGTGTAAACATAACTTTTATATGCACTGGGAAGCCAAAAAATGTGTGTGACTTGCTTTAGTATGATATTCGCTATATTAAGGTGGTCTGGAACTGAACCTGCAATATCTCTGAGCTATGCCAGTAGTTGACTTAGGCATAATTTTTTTTTTCTTTTTTTTTTTTTTTTGAGACAGAGTCTCGCTCTGTTGCCCAGGCTGGAGTGCAGTGGCACGATCTTGGCTCACTGCAATCTCTGCCTCCTGGGTTCAAGCAATTCTCCTGCCTTGGCCTCCTGAGTAGCTGGGATTACAGGCACGTGCCACCACACCCATCTAATTTTTGTATTTTTAGTAGAGATGGGGTTTCACCATGTTGGTCAGGCTGGTCTCAAACTCCTGACCTCGTGATCCACCCACCTTGGCCTCCCAAAGTGTTGGGATTACAGGGGTGAGCCACCATGCCCAGCCTACTTAAGCATAATTTTTAAGTTATAGATTTAAAAGGTAGGCCTTTATTACAAGCGTTGCTGTTATAGCACCTATCACACTAGGATATGACCAAACCAGTATGTTTTCTTCATTTAAAAAAATGCCAGTTTTTGCTTATGGATTATTTAGATAGAAGAAAAAAATTTCCCTTTTATTTAATAATGATATAACATAATTTACCACTTAACTCTCCTGGCTGTTTCACTCCAGTCCGTAAAGTGAGCTTTTTGTAAATATATTTTCCTCAAGTTTCATTTGGGAATATTACTTTATTTCATATTTTTTAGCATAATTACATTTTGAAAAATTCCTGTTCATATTAGCTAACATTTTTGTTCCCTAAACTCTAGACTCATGCTTTGTTAAATTATAGAAGACAAATTTTATTCTTTTCTTATATTAAAGTTATTTTGTTGAAATCTCAAAAATAAAGTATTATAATTTTTAGTCTTAGAAGTTTTGTAGGGGGAATTTAGAGGGCAATTTTACATTATTAATGGATAGTAATGAACTTGGGCAGTGTCACACCTGCATTCTGTTTATTTATATAGCTTGTTCCTCATCAAACTTTCACCCACGAATTTTAGCATCCATTGATGATTCTGTTGTAAATGAGTTGTTACTACGATAACATTTGAGAAAATAGAAAAAGCTCTCAAGAACAACACACGTGCATGTGTGCCCAGATGCTTCATTAATGAAACCCTTGACCATTTAATCCCAGTGATACTACATAAAGTATTCTAGAGCATAGAAACCCATGGAAATAACCAAGTGTTTTTTTGTTTTGTTTTTGTTTTTTTTTTTTTTGAGACGGAGTCTCGCTCTGTCACCCAGGCTGGAGTGCAGTGGCATAATCTGCTCACTGCAAGCTCCGCCTCCCAGGTTCACGCCATTCTCCTGCCTCAGCCTCCCGCGTAGCTGGGACTACAGGCGCCTGCCACCACGCCCAGCTAATTTTTTGTATTTTTTTTAGTAGAGACAGGGTTTCACCATGTTAGCCAGGATGGTCTTGATCTCCTGACCTCGTGATCTGCCCGCCTCGGCCTCCCAAAGAACCAAGTGTATTTTACAAAACAAATAAAAACTTGCCAAGTGGGAATTTTCTAACTCCATCTTCTACATTTATTAATTGACATTTTACTGTAAGAGCTCTCCCAACCTCGTATGTTAATACTGGCATGAACCAGTGGATTCTTTATTTGGTCCTTCGCCATCATTTTGATGTTTAATTTATTGAACATCAAAGGCCCATGGGAGTGTCTTTAAACTGGTTCTCATGTCCCTTTGATGTGTTTCCATCTTTGTTTTAGTATTTTCTTTTTTTTTCTGGCTAATAAAAATGGCCCAGGCTCATCTTGTACTTTACATATCCTAGCCCAGGACTTAGACATTTCTCTAAGGGCCTTTTTAATGGGCAGTGATATTTAAAAGCCACTTGGTGTGCTTTTTGCTCCTTGTGTTTCATTGCTTCTAGGCTCTCTGTTTTAATGAGGACCATTTTAAAATTTATTTTAGTGAATTGGCTGTTGACGTCCTTTGCATATTTTTTTTTTCCTTGGGGTTTTGGTCTCTTTCTTTACAATACTTTTGCCTCATAATGGATTTCTGTCATCTCCTATCATTGGTTAACATCTCCAGTCCAGTGTTAAATAGTATTGGCCCTGCCTTGTTTCTTTCTTTAGAGGAATTACTTCCTGTATTTCTACATTATGTAAGATGTTGGCTTTGTCACCATGTTGGAGTATCCAACAATTTCTGTTTTCTTGAGTGTGTGTGTATATTTAAATAAGATTGGATGCTGAATTTGCCAAATGATATTTTAGCATCTGTGGAGATAATCATTAGATCTGTTGATTTGGATTTGCTAATGTTTAGGATTTTAAAAATGTTCATTAATTGTATTAGTCTATAATTTTTAAATTTTGTATTGTCTTTGTCAGATTTGGGTATCAACGTTACGTTTGTTTTATAAAATAAACTTGGCTATTTCCTTGGTTTTCTATGCTTTAGAATATGTAGTATCATTGGGATTAACTGGTCATTGAGGGTTTTATGGAATTCCTCTATGAAACCATCTGGGCCTGATGTGTGTGTGTTGTTTTTGATAACTTTCTCTATTTTTTCTAATGAAAATTTCTCTCTCTTATGGGGTCATTTTTGGAAAACTATTATTTTCCTTAGAAATTATCTATTTCATCTAGATTTTTCAAATTTATTTGTATTTAAAAGTTTGTAAAGTAGTTGCTTACCGTGATTAAAATTTTGTTGTTGTTTTATGATTTCCCCTTGTCATTCTTATTTTGAATATTTTTGCTTTCTCCTTCTTTCTTGAGTGTTAGGTAGTAAATTTTTTTATTTTAAAAAACTTAGGATTTTGATTAACTGGATTGACTGTTCTTTTATGGTTTACCACATTTTTTCTGCTCTTATTTTATTATTTCCTTTAAAAAGAAATTTCTAAATTTCTTTAAGAAGAATTGAGAATTTAATTCATTTATTTTCATGCTTTCATTTTTATCATAGATGTGCTTAAAGCTTATGGATTATTTATTGCTTTAGGTATATTCCATATATTCATGTATATACTACTTTCTTTGTATTTGAGAGTTTCTATGTCTTTACATTATACTTCCTCCTATAGTCAAGATTTTTAAAATAGAAGATCTAGTTTTATTGCATTGTGATCAGAGCATGTGTTTGTAATATTTTTCTAATTTATGGAACTTAACAGTGCTTCCTTTGTAAAATAAGGTGATCAATTTTTGTGAATGTTCCATGTGCTTGAGAAGATGTAATATCGTAAAATCAGGATATAAGATTTGGGTTGTGTGTGTGGATCATGTTTTAATACAGTAGCTTTGTCTTATATTGAAAATGCTGTATTACAATTTCATATTATTAGTGTGTTTCTTTTTGTTTGGTTTTTGTGTTTTGAGACACAGTCTTACTCTATTGGCCAAGCTGAAGTACAGTGGTGTGGTCATGGCTCACTGCAGCCTTGAACTCCTGGGCTCAAGTGATCCTCCCGCCTCAGCCTCTCAAGTAGCTGGGGCTACAGGCACATACCACCACGCCTGGATAATTTTTAAGAAACTTTTTGTAGAGTTGTGGTCTCATTGTATTGCCCAGGTTGGTCTCAAAACACCTGGGCTCAAGAGACCCTCCTGCCTCAGCTTCCTAAAATGTTGAGATTACAGGCATGAGCCATCATGCCTAGCCTGTTAGTGTGTTTCTGTATCTCTTTGCAGCTGCTGTAGTTTTTGCTTATAAAGATGATTAAGCTGTTATATGTCATACAGAATTTTTAATAATTACGGCTTTTAGCATTGAAAGGTATCCTTTGTTACATTTAATACTTTTGGCTTGAATTCTTATGCATCCCCTTTTTCATTTTAGTAGGCAAGTTAAGTAAGTCCTTTAACAATTTTTAATATCACTAATATCTTTGGTTTAGCTCTGAATTATTACTTTATGATTACTGTTTGTATTATGTCACTTTTTCTTTATGTGATACGTTTTCTTTGCTCTTACAATTTTCTCCTATTAAGGTTTGTTTTCGTTTAGTGGTTGATTACTTTTTTTTTTTGTACGTTTTTAATGTCTTTAGACCCTTGTTTCTTCCATCTTTTACTAACTGGTTTGTCAGCTTTTAATTTTATCACCTGGTTCTCATTTAAGACTGTATGACAATCAGTGAGTTTGTTTGCCTTTTTTTCTCTCCTTCTCTTCTCATTGTTTAGTTGCATGTTTTATTCTTTTTCAGAACATATGACATTTATATATTATTCTACCCCCATTCCGACCTTTTTTTCTTTTTCTTTTCTATTTTTTTTTTTTTTGAGACGGAGTCTCGCTCTGTCACCCAGGCTGGAGTGCAATGGTGCGATCTCGGCTCACTGCAAGCTCCGCTTCCCGAGTTCACGCCATTTTCCTGCCTAAGCCTCCCGCGTAGCTGGGACTACAGGTGCCCGCCGCCACGCCTGGCTAATTTTGTTTTTGTATTTTTAGTAGAGATAGGGTTTCACCGTGTTAGCCAGGATGGTCTCTATCTCCTGACCTCGTGATCCACCCGCCTCGGCCTCCCAAAGTGCTGAGATTACAGGCGTGAGCCACTGCGCCCAGCCCTTTTTTTCTTAGATTTTCAATTTTGAATTTCAACCATCAGTCTTTTTGCTGAAATTTCCCAATCTTCTCTTGGTTGAATGAAGTGCATCCTCTAGTAGTTTCTCCAAGAGAGCTTGTGAGTATAGTATTCCCTGAATGCTTAATTCTTAAACATTCCCTTGCATGTTTTAAGAATGTTTTGCTATAGCATTTACAGTTGTATAAAAAGTCTTTTATTGATGCGTTCTTTCCTAGAGTTTCTTGGAAATGTGGCTCTATGCTGCTTTCGTTTATATTTTACTTTTGAGAAATTTGATGCCAGTCTCTTCTCCTTATGAGTTAATTGATCTTTTTTACCTGGGACCCCTAAAGTTGTTTCTTTCTCCTTCACTTCCCTCCTCCTCCTCCTCCATCTTTAAAATCTAATGTTTTTATTAAGGTACGACTCAGGGTTAATAATTTTTGATAAATTTTTTCAGGTACCTGATTAGCCCTTTCAACATATAAGTTCAATATTTTTATTTTCCTGGATTATAGTTTTAAATACCAGATCTGTTTCATTTATTTTGTTTTTTAGTGATATCAATTGTATATATGTTGGGTTTTCTTTTTCTGTCTCCCATTTCACTCAATTACTTCTTTGATACTTTTTTCTATATCTCATTTTTATCATCTAGGATGTTTTGCTGCCTCGTTTCAGGGAGCCTTATTAAATTTTGATTCAAGTATGTTCTTCTGTAAATATGTTCTTTCATGAGCACCTTGTAATTTAGTTTTTATTTCTGATGTAATTTTATCTTAATTTTTTTTTTCCTGAATTCAATCAACCTTTGTTCATTTCTTCTCCATTATGTTCTTAGGTTTTGCTTTTCTGACTTAAGGTGGTAGTGTATTGAAGAGCCCTATACCATGCTCATATTGGGTAATTTGCCAGGACTCACAGGACTCAGCATATAGTTATACCTACTGCTATGAGTTATTACAGCAAAAGGGTAGGAGGCACAGTCAGCAAAGGGAAAAGGCACATGAGGTGAAGTGTAGGGCAAACCAGTCACAAGCGCCCAGAGTCTGCTCCCAGTGGAGCCACATAGTTTGTACTTAATTCTCCCAGCACTGAGTTGTGACAACACTTGTAAAATGTTTCCAACCAGAGAAGTTCATTAGAGCACCTAGAGTTTTTACTGGGGGAAGGCTACATAGGCAGCCTCACCTGGTACATACCAGAGTTCAGGGCTCTCAAGAGGGAAAGCAACTGTTCAGCATAAACCATTTGATTTATACAGTTTAGACATAGTCAGCTGTTCTTACCAGTTCTGGGAATGGTGGGAACCTTCCTGAAATCCAGATTCCCAAGCACCAGCCAAGGGCTAGTCTTACAAGGAGGCCTTTCAAAAGATAGTGGTCAGGTCTGCTAGGTTAACACTTCTGTATAAGCAGTGTTTCATATAGTTAATTCAGTTTGGAATATTATGTTCCAGTTTTCTTCTTCTTTGTACTTCTTTTTTTGGGTGGGAGATACAGGAGGGGATTTTCATCAGCAAAAAGGCTTTGGATGTCATTTTCTGTTTATTTTCTATAGTAGTTTTTTATAGTTGTAAATTACATATCTTTATGTTTTTGGACAGAGCTTAGTATAAGATTTCTAGTTGATGACCACTCTCTTGCCAGTGTGGGAAAATACAATTTTTTAAATGGTTGGCGTTTGAGGGTGGTACTGAGAAGAGGAGAGGAGTTATGTGTCCTTATTTTACTTTTGTTTTCTTTGGTCTTGCAAAATCCTAAATTTCCCTTCTTTTGCCGGGTCTAAAGAAGTCTGCCTAAAGTCTGCCTTTCCCTTTTTACCTTCTTCCCAGAGTGTTGCCTTTCCAAGATTGGCTACTTGAATCTTGTGTACTTATTTTATTTTATTTTATTTTGAAACAAGTCTGAAGTCTAAAGTCTGCCTTTCCCTTTTTACCTTCTTCCCGGAGTGTTGCCTTTCCAAGATTGGCTACTTGAATCTCGTATACTTTTTAAATTTTTTTTTATTTTTATTTTTTGAGACAAGGTGTCTCTCTGTCTCCCAGACTGGATGCAGTGGCGCACTCACGGCTCACTGCAGCCTTGACCTCCCAGGCTCAGGTGATCTTCCCACCTCAGCTTTCCTAGTAGCTGGGACTACAGGTGCACACCATCGCACCAGGCTAATTTTGGTGTTTTTTTGTAGAGACGGGGTTTTGCCATGTTGCCAAGGCTGGTCTCGAACTCCTGGGCTCTGGCAGTTCACCTTCCTCGGCCTCCGGCAGTTCACCTTCCTCGGCCTCCGAAAGTGCTGGGATTAGAGGCATGAGCCACTGCACCCAGCCTGGTGTACTTGTTAAAATCCATTCCCTTTAGTTAGTGCTGTGGTCTACCAGGGTATTTTCAGTATTTTCATATTTAGGGGGACCTTTTTCTGTTGTGATTTTAGCTCAGCCTCCTCTTCTGTTTTTCATTTAGTTTTTTTCAGAACTCCACTAGCTCTATGAAAATACTTGCATTGGGAGCTTGAAAAATAGCTCTCTCAGGAGTTGTTTTTTTTTTTTTCCTAGTTATAGGTAATTTGAAGTTTGTAGAAATTTGTGTCTTCTAGTTGTGCTGTGGTCGTGGGATTCAGTGATTTTGTTATTAATGAGCTATATGTTTTTTGAGGGGGACATGTGGATATATTTGGATTAAGGTGGCTTCCATTACCTCAGCACTACAGATTTTTTTTCTTAAATACATATTAAAGTATATGTTTTAATATAGAATTCTATCGCTTCAGTTCTAATAATTTCGTTTGCTTTCAATTCAGTGAATTATTTAAGTCATCTTTTCCTTTTAGTCCTGTGTGGAAAAAAACACAAACTGTTTTTCCTCTGCTCTTAAAACACAACAATCAACACAAAAGACTTTTGTGACCAAATGTGTGGGAGTTTCTTTCAACCAAGAAGAAAACAATCACTTCTGTAGCAGGCACCAGCTGGGTGTCCTCTAATTCATTTCTGAGACTACCTGGAGAAAGTGTCAGATCCTGTAGGTTGAGGGCTTAGTCCCACAAGACTGCCTTCCCTTCAGACACTGGTCTGAAGTTCAGGCCTCTGGAATCTCTGACTGACCGGCTTCAAGTTTAGGTTCACACAGCCCCCTCTTTGGGTTTGATTAATTTGCTAGAGTGCCTCATAAATCTCAGAGAAAAACTTAACTTATGTTTACTGGTTTATTATAAAGGATATTGCAAAGTATACAGATGAAGAGATACATAGAGTGAGGTATGAAAGAAGGGGTATGGTGATTCCATTCCTACCCCTGCCCCACCATTTGCATGCCACCCTCCAGGAACCTCTGTGTTCAGCTATTCATAAGCTTTTCGTACCCTATCTTCTTGGGCCTTTATGGAGAATTCATTGGATAGGCATGATTGAAGTATGGACACTCATGTAGAAGTGTGACTGGACAGAGGGTGTGATCTAGTAATTATAGACCGAGTAGGGAAACCCAACAAGGCCTGTTTCAGTTCTTTTTGGCCTGTGTGTACAGCATTCCTTCTTCCAGAGTATGGGACAGGACCCCTTCTGAAATGGGGTCTTATGACCTACAATCAGACAAGGTAGGTCAGAGAATTTCTTTACGGCCTGCTCAAGACAGAAAGGCGGAGGAAGGTTATATTTTTAGTTTTAATGGCATGCCTTGGGGAAAAATAACAGGGGCTGTGGGAGTGATGAGCCAAGAACCGTGGACGAAAACCAATATGTATATATTATTATACCATAGTCTTTTTCTGCTTCATGTTAATTTCTTCTGTAGAATTTGGATGTAAAAGATATAGAACTTGAAAAGTTAATTTATTCCTAAGTATAGAGTAACAGGAATAAAATAATATTAACTCTTTAAGTTCAGAGGTGAACATTATACTTGTAAGAATCTTAAAAATGCAAGTGTTTAATAGAGCCAGCATAAAAACTTTGTGGTATTAAGGGGAACTTTGCCAAGAAATATCTTAGAGTATATTTATAGCTAATTTAGTATGAATATTTAGATAATAGTTTTAATTAACATTAAGGAGACTGAACTTACGGTATATTTTGGCAGTTATGTCTGGTGAAAGCAAGAATAGGAAAAGTAAGAAAATACAGAAAAAAGGAAAGGAGAAAAAAGGTATGGGAAACAGAAAAGTGAGACGCAAGTGATAGGGAGTTTTAGATTGTCACTAGTTACTGACTTAGGCAGTGTCTGTTGGAAAGTAGGTTTATTCCTTGGTGTTTGTGACTTTTTTCTGAATTACTCACTGAGATATAAAAGCATTTTAAAGTGCAGACTGTTCAAAAATGATCAGATCTAAAGTGAATTACTATTTTATTTTATTTTTTTTGAGACAGAGTCTTGCTCAGTCACCCAGACTGGAGTGCAGTGTCATGATCTTGACTCACTGCAACCTCCGCCTCCTGAGTTCGAGCGATTCTTATGCCTCAGTCTCCTGAGTAGCCAGGATTACAGGCATGCACCATCACACCTGGCTAATTTTTGTATTTTTAGTGGAAATGGGCTTTCACCATGTTGGCTAGGCTGGTCTCGAACTCCCAGCCTCAAGTGATCCACCTGCCTTAGTCTCCCAAAGTGCTGGGATTACAGGTTAGAGCGACTGTACCTGGCCTAAAGTGAATTAATTTCTAATATTAATAGCTTACCCAAGCTTTTTAAATAAGTTAATTTTATTTCTCACCAAATAGCCTAAATTCCTCAATTTGAACATATTAAATAATTAGTTTTAAATTTTTTTATGTAGGGGCATTAACAATTGTAATTATGAATTATAATGATAAATCTATAGGGAAAGATAGTTACAGGAACTATTAAAGAGAGGCCAGGCCCAGATGATATTTTGTGTGTGTTTTGTACTTCTTGCAGCGATTACACTTTTGGCATTTGACTTGTTAGTAGTAAAGGGCTGGATGGTTTGAGTTATCAGAACAGTTGAGTAATTTGAAGATAATTGTTACAGATAGAGAAATAATTAAAGTATTTCTTGAGGAAAAAAGATAATTTTATGGATATGTTTGAAATTATGAGTTATTTTTAGAAAAATTATGCTATAAAATGGATTTTTGTTTGAATGTCATCAACTTTCTTATTTTTAGAAAAATAACCACAGCTGATGTAAATGAAAAGAACCTCCTCAGTTGTTGCAAAAATCAGTGCCCTAAAGAGGTAAGCTTTAGTAGAACCTTTTAAATTGTATTCCTTGGGCATTGTTTCTCTTGGATTTTCTTTTTTCTTGTTTGGTCAAATTATTTCAGGTCTTCTCTGTTGTATCTTTTTAAATAAACACGTAAGACATATAGTTAGGGTAGATGCATCTCATTTTATAAATTTGGTGATATTAGGACCTGAAATGACCCTTTGAAGATTTTTTTTAAGAAAGCAATTTTAAAGATAGCTTACATACTTTATACAATAAAGTATTGACCTAGTGCTTATCCCTCAAAATGTGATTCATACTTAAAGTAGGTCAGGAATGATGTGGGTCATAGCAGTTAGACAGTAAATCCATAATAGGTTATTTTTAAAAATAGGGGTGCGTGTGTGTATGCATGTGCATGTGTGTGCATCTGTGGTGGAATAATGTGCGAGGATGGCTATTCATATCCACAGCATTTTGAAGATGGTGACGTAGAAGATACCTCTGCATTTTCATTGTGGCCTTTTGTGTTGGTACCATTCAGATCATTGAGCCTTTCAAGTTCATTACTATATTAATATAAAACATTCATCTATAAAGTTGTGTTTTTAAAGATTCTTGTGGTTGTCTAAGCATTTTATTCAAACTAAAACTGTCAAAAAGTAGTTAGAAAAAATTGTGCAAAGTAAAAAGGTAAAGAAACTCACTAGTGATTTATCCTGGTAATAATTTGAGAAACCAAAGCAGTCCTTCTACATTTGGCCAATCTGAAAGGGAAGATGCACTTTTGGATTTGGGAGTGGGACAGTTAAAATTACTTGATTTGGGTAGACATTTAAAAAGGAATCCTTTTGACTTACAGATGTACTATATAGTATCTTTTTCCTTTAAATTGTCTTTATGCCCTTATCTAAGTGTTTATCACCTTATTTAGAGTCAGAAATAGATGACAACTAAGTGTTAAATATCATAATCAGTCTTTGATTAAGTATAAAACAGGAATCAATACATTACATACCTTTTTAATATTTTCCTTTAACTAAGGCTTTGGACCACTTTTTATGGATTTAAGATCTGTTGGAAATTGAGAGTTTTTAAATTTATGTAAGATTATAAGAAGAGAGGCCATTTGAAGTAATAAATGGTTGTTTTAATAATCCTGTCTTTATAAGTGAAACTAGGGCATGGGATATTTCAAATTTAATTTTTTGAATTATTCAAATCCTGAACTTCCCTTGTTAAAATAAATTTTATTCTATCCCAATTCAGATTCCAGGTAATAAGTAGTTGGGAATGTTTTATTTTTAATCTTAGTAACCTGGTATGATTTATTAGATAGAAATATGGTAATTTAATTCAGGTGTTGCTAATTTATAACTTAGAATTGCCTTAGCTATAAATAAGTTGTGATGCTATGACTTTTGGTGGGACTAGATGGGTCATTTTCATGATTGTGGATTCTAGGTCCTTCTGGAGCCCCTGGTATTGCTAGATCTCCTTGGGCTTTCTTGAAAAATGTATCTGTAGCCTGGGAACAATTCAAATGGCCGTTATAGTTTGGAACAATCTAAGAGTAGACAGGTGAATTTCATTGTGTCTAGTAGAACTCATTTTCGTTTATGGTCTCTTGACGTTGGTGACACCATAACAGTAATTCTGTTGCTTTAACATTCATTAGAATCACTTTAAGGGTTTGTTAAAACACAGATTGCTGGGCCGGGCATGGTGGCTCATGCCTGTAATCCCAGCACTTTGGGAGGCTGAGGCGGGTGGATGACCTGAGGTGAGGAGTTCGAGACCAGCCTGGCTAACATGGTGAAACCCCGTTTCTACTAAAAAATACAAAAAAAAAAAAATAGCCTGACGTGGTGGCATGTGCCTATAATCCCAGCTACTCGGGAGGCTGAGGCAGGAGAATCACTTGAACCCAGGAGGCGGAAGTTGCAGTGAGCCAAGATGGCGCCATTGCACTCCAGCTTGGGCAACAAGAGCAAAACTCCGTCTCAAAAAAAAAAACACAGATTGCTGGGCCCCCCTCTAGAGTTTCTGATTTTGTAGGCCTGGAGTAGGGCCTACATTTTGCATTTCTATTAAATAGTAAGCAATAGTGATACTGTTGGTCCAAGAGCACACATTGAGAACCAGTGTCAGCCAAGAAGTATATCACTTTGAATCTTTGTACTTCAAAGTTAAGGTATGGGATTCTGGTAAATTCTGATGTACTGATAAACTCTTATTTATGTTCTTGTTTCTTTCCCATACTGTAGATTGTTACAGGCAGGGGACTATGTCATATTTGTCTTTGTATCCAGTGCCTGTTACACAGGTTGTACACATTAAGCCACTGGTAAATGTTTATTGAATGTGAATAAAAGAATAAATTGTGGGAGTGGCATAAGCATATCCTTCCAGCTCCACTGTGTCTCTGATACACACTCTATGGATTATTAGGTTTGAATTTAACTAAATGAAAACATAAGGATGTCGTTAAGAACATACCTTTAAACTGTGCCCCACATATGCATTTCTGCTCTTTCTTAAAAGAGATATAAAGAGGAACAAAATGGAAGTTTTATTTTATTTTACATGGTATGGGGCTTCAGTTATTTTATTTTTTTTAAATGTTCAAAGTTTTTAATTGATAAAATTTTGTATATTTACCATAGGCAACATGTTTTGAAATATGTATACATTGTGGAATGACTAAGTTGAGTTAATATATGCATTTTTTTATGGTGAGAACACTTAAAATCTCTCTTGGCAATTTTTAAGAATACAATGTATGTTATTAACTATAGTCATCATTTTGTACAATAGATCTTTTGAGTTTATTCCTCATATCTAACTGAAATTTTGTATACTTTGACTAACATCCCCCCAATCCCCTTCTGTCCTTCAGTCACTGGCAACTACCATTCTGCTCTTTCACTTCTACGAGTTCAGTTTTTTTATATTTCACGTATGAGTGAGATCATGTGGTATTTCTACTTTTTTTGTTTGTTTGTTTTTTTTTTTTTTTTTTTTTTTTTTTTTGAGATGGAGTCTCACTCTGTTGCCTGGGTTGGAGTACGGTGGCGCAATCTTGGCTCACTACAACCTCCACCTCCCAGGTTCAAGCGATTCTCCTGCCTCAGCTGCCTGAGTAGCTGAGATTACAGGCGCCCGCCACTACGCCCAGCAAATTTTTTGTATTTTTAGTAGAAACGGGGTTTCACCATGTTGGCTAGGCTGGTCTTGAACCCCTGAACTCGTGGTTTGCCCACATTGGCCTCCCAAAGTGCTGGGATTACAGGCGTGAGACATTGCACCTGGCCGGTATTTCTGCTTTTTAAAATTATTTATGAATTTGGTTGTCTCATTCCCATGCAAGCTTTTCTACTTTTTACTTGGGAAAATTATTTAACTTCTGTGTAACTGAACTTATTCATATATAAAATGGGGCACTAATAATACCCACTTCAGAGTGCTGAGTATTATATGAGGTAATAACATGTAACGGACTTAGTTAATGGTAAGCGCTATATATGTGGTAGCTATGGTGATTATGATTATCTACAAATAATATTGTTCTACAAGTGTTTCTTAGTTCTTTTGAAAGAGGGCTTTTCCTATTATTGGAATTAAAGTGGAACGTTTTGATGCAGACAGTGTTGTTTGTAGGTAAACCATTTGGTATGACTTACTGAAGTGCTAGCAGAATGATGTTGAGGGCTGAGTAGAGTAGAAAAAACCTGTCCCACTTTGATTGGGAAGGGTAACACATCTCATCTCTAAGTGAATATTTTAGAAAGACCTCTGTTTTTTGCTATGAAATCTGTAGTAAAGATAACCATCATTTTATCTTATGCATTCAAGTCAACTTTCTTTGTAACTACTTTTCAGTTTTTTCAGAATATAACCTGGCTTTTGAGATGACATATACTTACTTACACATCTAACAGGAAAATGATCACATGATTTAATTTTTTTAAGCAATGAAATATCACATATATACCTAAAAATACATAATATAAATATGTATAGTTTAACAGTTAAAAAGTGAATACCATGTTAACTCTACCCAGGCCAAAAAATCAAGTAATGCTGGCATACCAGAAGTTTACCAAGGTCCCTGTCTGACTGTAGTTCCCATCCTCTATCCTATAGGGTGACCACCATTGCCTTTTTATAGTAATCCTTTCCTTACTTTTATTTACAGTTTTTACTACCAGTATATATATCTGCAAACAATATTGTTTGCCAATGTTAAAAGTTTAAAAGTATGCACTTTTGTGACTTGCTTATATATGTTTGTCATTTTTAATTGCATTTTAACAGCTACATGCTGTAGTCCACTGATTCCATTGTATAAGTTTGTTTTACTGTGGGTGGACATTTGAATAATTTCCAAATGTGGTTGTTATCAAAAATACTGCTGTGAACATTCTTGCTTTTGCATCCTGGTACATATGTGCACAGATTTCTGTAGGCATGCAGTAGTGTAATTGCTTGGTCATAGGGAATGTTTAATTTCAACTTTAATAATATCAAATTGATTTCCAAAATGGTTGTATCAATTTATAATCAGTAACTTTTCCAGTTACTGAAAAGTATCAGAAAGTTTTTCAACTTCCCATTGATGAAAGTTCTTCCTCTTTCGCATCCCTGCCAACATTTTGTGTGGTCAGCATTTTTTATTTTTGCCAGTCTTTTTGCATCTCATTGTGGTTTTAATTTACATTCTCTGATTACTGGTGAGTTTGAATACGTTTTCAGGATTAGAGGTGTTACTTTTGCCTGTGGGACATATGTTGGATACCAGCACAGTGTACACCTAGATGAGTTTCAGTTTTCCTAGTTGCAAATTGCAGAATCAATTTTGGCTTACTTATGGGAAAAAAAGGAGAGAGAAGACGTTGTGGGGAGTATATGGAAGACATTGGGGAGCAATTCACAGATTCTGAAGGAAATGCTATACAGTCAAGCTTTGGGAAAGGCAGGATCTCTGCATCCTAAGGGGGCTTTACAGTGAGATGACTACTTAAACCACCATCTCGCTCTTTTAAGTTTTTAGATTCCCGAGAGAGAAAACCTAATAGACTCACCATGGATCCAAGGGCTCCTTTTGGCACAGGCAGCCACAGTCAGGGAACTAGAACAGGTAGCATAGCCATGGCTGTGGCTACTGGGGGAATTATGGTGAACCAGGCAGCCATCCCAATGTATGTCTTCTACAAATTTTACCAGTATGTGGCAGGGTCAAATGAAGGGTTTAGAGAAAAAAAGATACATTTATTGAAGGCAGAAGACCTAGCCAGAGAAAAGACAGACTTTGAAGTCGTCAATGAAATTGTGAAGATGAGTATGAGGTCTTTTAGGAGGCAGAAAGATATAACATCAAGACCAGTGATTTTTAACTTTTCATCAACCCCCAGCGCAACAGAATACTGATTAAAGTGAAAGGCGACACTATAGCCATGATCCTATGTATTTTCAAAAGGTCTTCCTTTATTGAATCTGATAAGCTTCCCTATTCACTTTCTCCTATAGAATCATTGATTTAAATGATAGATATCAGAGACTGAGAAGGATTGGGGGAAGGGGATGAAGTGATGTTGATTAAGGTATATTTCCAAATAGCTGGAAGAGAGGACTTGAAATGTTTGCAAAACATAGAAGTGATCAATACTCAAGATGATAAATACCCTCAAATACCCTGACTTGATCGTTACACATTCTATGTATGTAAGAAAATTACATGTGCCCTATAAATACATACAAATATTATGTATCAATAAATATATAATAAATTTGAAGTGGAAGGGTTAGTTACTTTTTAAGAGAAAATGACTAATGTAATTACCTTAGAGATTAATTAAGGAAAGAGGATATAGAGACGTATTTTGAGAGTAAGAATAAGTGGTGAGCTAATGCCAAATGTTTATGAAGTCTGGCTAAAGGCACTGGCAGGAATGAAGGTAAGAATGAAATTAAGCAATACAAAGGCTTGAAACAACCACTGTGAGGTAAGTGTTTGAAAATGAATAAATATTGAGCTTATTAAGTAGTATTCAGTGTCCAGTATTAGATAAAGGGAAAAACAAAACTGAAATCATTCAGAAATACCTGGACTTACTCTATTAATAGCAGTTCTCTGCCCTATAGTAGGATTAGTGGAAGTGCACAGTGTGAGTGATCTGAATTTAGTTTTAGTATGAATGCCTCAGCTAAAAGTTAAAGAACAAAAAACCTAATCACACACTAGAAAGAGACTAAAGACAATGGAAAAGGATTCTAAATTTCTTTGAGTGGAGTCAGTAGTTTGAAAAATCAATCTGGTGAATCATAGAGATCAGTAATTAGAGAATTTAAATGTTTACTGAGGGTTCTACTATTTGGGAGGGATCTTTGTTAGGGATTATGACATGAGAGACACAAAGAAATGCAGATGTTCCTCAGTTTATGGTGGGCATATGTCCTGATTAAATCCATTGTAAAACTGAAAAATTGTTTTAAGTTACACCACCGTAAGTTGATGACTGTCTGACCATTGCCCTCAAGGAACTTATAATAATAACAACTTTTATTATAATAACTAAATATACTGAACTCATTTAATCCTCACAACAGCTTTATAAAGTACTAATACTCTTTTACATGTGAAATTTTACATGTGAAACACAGAGAAGTCAGGTGACTTGTCTAAGATCCTGTAGTTAGTAAACAGGTAATCTGGGACTCAGTTCCAGGTAGTCTGACTTTGACATTTAACCCCTAACAAATAGTGTATTTTATTTGTTAGGGTTGGAGAGACAGAAATATATGAAGTGCCTAAAAAAAATTGTTTTTTTGCAAAATTTCAAGACACCACAAGCAATGTTACAACAGTTTAGAAACAGATTTCTTAACTACTATTATGTATTTATGTATAGGCAGATTTATATCAGGCCATTATGGTGATTTAAGTCATGTCTTAAAGTGTGGATAAGATTTGAATAGACAGAGAGACCATGAACATTTCATCTTAATGCTTGACTAGGATAGGAAGACAGTAAACAATTAAAGACACGGAGCATAAACATCATGGCAATTACTGAGTTGTTTTGGCTACCTAAATAATATTTTTTTAATATTAGTAGAAAGGGTAAATGTTGTAGAATAAAAGGCTAAACAGTTATAACACCGTATAAGGACAGGGCATTTTCTTTTTTGTTTTTTTTCCCACAGTGCAGTACAGGGAAGGTAGGTGTGTCATTGTATTCCATGTGTTCACC
The DNA here is from genome assembly GCF_000001405.40 of Homo sapiens. Taxonomy (NCBI): domain Eukaryota; kingdom Metazoa; phylum Chordata; class Mammalia; order Primates; family Hominidae; genus Homo; species Homo sapiens. The sequence continues at coordinate 47,855,621 of NC_000004.12, read as the reverse complement.
CATGAATCCAAGTCAGCTGGCAGCTCTGCTCTCTTTGGCATATGGTTTCCATTACCGCTCCAGCTTTCATCATATCCAGGACATGGGGAAGAGAAGAACATGGAAGTATACTCTTGAAATGATCTGAAGCATGAATCACCTGTACTTGCTTACATTCCATTGACCAGAACTCAGTTATATGGCTATAACTAGCTACAAGGGTGGCTGTAAGATGTACTGTTGGAATGGAGCTGGGGAGAATAATTAAATATAATTAAATTATATATATATAATTAAATTATATAAGTGTAATTAAAATAATTTATATCTAAAAGAAAAATAGTTTACAAATTATCCCATTAGCTAGGATTGATTGACCCTTTGTGTGATGGACTCTCTTAAAATTGTTGGGGTATGGGGGAAACTAGAGTATGATCAAGATGTAAGTATGTAATTGCTTTATTTTGATTTTATTTTAGCTTCCTTGTGGTCATAGATGCAAAGAGATGTGTCATCCTGGTGAATGTCCCTTTAACTGCAACCAGAAGGTAAAACTTAGATGTCCTTGTAAAAGAATAAAAAAGGTAAATATTTTAAGTTATTGAAAATACTTTTCTATATAAGTTGTTTTTGTGTGGTTTTCTTGTTCTTGTTTTTTGATCTATGTGTTTTGGTAGTTGTTTGGCTTTTTTTTTTTTTTTTGCCTTTTAATTTTGAGGTTTTACTTCATAGAACTTTTTTATTATTGAAATGAGCCTACTAGTTCTTTAAACATTTATTTTAAACATAAGCTTTGGCGATTTAATTTTCTGCAATTTAACAGTAAAAGGAAAATTATTTTTTATGTTGGAACCAAATTCAATGCCCTGTTTTGGTCAATGTGCTTTAGATTTGAGGTCTTTGAACAAGGAACACAATGTAACGGGTAGAATGTTTCATTGCTTAAGAAATGGCTTGAGATTAACTTTGTTGCTGTTATTTATGAAATTCTTTTTACCATCAGTATTGTCCTTTGAAAATATTGCCTTAAAAAGACCTCATATGAATAGCCTTATAAAGTAAAATAACATGTAAACTTGGAAAGAACTAATTTTAAGATAAAATGATGGTAACAGAGGAGTAAATGGGCAAAAACTAATGATTACAAAGCCTGATGGAAACAAACTATATACTGCTCAACAAAACTTATGAAGGAAAATATACTGTCCTAATAGTCTTTTTCTCAATTCTCTGTTTCCTTGATCTTCCCTGTTGGCAGTGCTTACTCCTTTGAAACCAACTTTTTTGACCTCTGATTTACCCTATCTCAGTTATAGTCGTAACTCCTTTTTTTTCCTTCATATTCCTATTGTCATTCCCTAAAGCTTGTCTTTTTTGTCTCTTGAAATTCGCTTTTATTCATCCATGTGATGGATATGTATTGAGGATCTTTTATAGGTCCTTTGCCTTTCATTTATGTTCATAGTTTCTGATATGTTTTCCTAGGATAGGGAACTTCTGAATTTAAATTTATACACTTGGCCTTTTAGGGAGTGGAATCTTTAAGTTTTAGATATTTAAATTGACCCCCTGTACCTGAAAATAAATACTTGGTCAAGCCATTTTTAATGTGAGATGTCTCTTAAGTTTTCTCTGAAATCTCATGTCTTGTCCAAGTGCCATATGCCACCCACCCGTTAGTACTTTGGAACAACTCTTTTCTGGGCTTTGGCCACAACTTCGTGACCCATTTCCTTGTCTCTAGTCACACCACTTCCCTGTTCTAAATTCTTCAATGGCTCTTCATCACTTATGGAAAAAGTGCATTGTATAAAAAATGTGTATGTGTAGGTATATGCAGACTCGGCATACCAGGGAGGCTATGATAAGACATTTGCCTGCTTGTTCAGTCTCGTCATCTAGCAATCATCTCTGTGAATCTGTTACTTAAGTGCCCTAATACATATATTGTACCCTCGCTTAGCTTAGGCTGTGGCAATGTATATATATTTTTTTCCTGTGTAAAATACAATATGTTTTTCCTTTAGCTCTCTGCTTACTAGAATCCTGCTAATACTTATTGGAAGCACTTCCTTGTTTGAGAAGGTTTTCCTTCCCCAGGTTCCCTTGGGAAGGCTTAGCTGTTCCTTCCTCTTGACTTTCTTTGTACTGGGTTCATAATGTAGAGCTTTGTGATTCTAGGTATCTGTAACCTTGTTTCCTCATCTGTAAAATAGAGTTTATAGAGATTTATTGAAAGGAATAAAAGAGGTAGTGCTTACATAGCATTTAAAACAATGCTATGTTTAATAAATAGTAGCTGCCATTACTATAAAAGAGGTAGTGCTTACATAGCATTTAAAACAATGCTATGTGTAATAAATAGTAGCTGCAATTACTATTGTTATTTATTTAGCACTTAACAGATGATTATACTGTTTATTTCTTACTGTGTTCCATTTCCCTGTCATGGTGTTTAGCATGTTATAGGCACTCTGTAAGTATCCTCTGAATGAGAAAAGATAAAATCCTCTTCTAAGCTGATGGACTTAATGTCTATAAACACACGATACTTATTTTTGTCTCCAGTGTTTGTTCATGTTAATTTTCTTATGTCTGGACTGTCTTTGGAGGACAAGACTATGTTTATCACTAAATCAAGCCAAAAATGAAGAACTAAGGAATAAAAAAAAAAAAACCCTCCAAGTAATAAAATTCCATGCCATAAAATGCTTTTACTAAATGCACTTTACTCAGGATTTGGTAATCTCATGTCTAAGCTGTGGTAGATTTGAACAAAAAACTAGAGTCTGAGGGTCTGGTGAGACAGGAGAAACTGATACAAATTAAATATACTGAGAGTAAAAGTGACATTGGCAGCAATAAATGAATGAATAAAAGATAGATGTACTACAAAAGGCAGTCTAAAACTAATATAAAGACCACTCTTCAACTCAGTAGGTCATCGTTTTATTCTGTCGTAGTACAGAAATTGGTCATAGTTTTGATGTCAAGACATCAAAAACAGTAGATCAGTGTTCTTTCATTAAGGAGGTAGTGAAGTGCCAACATAAGCTTTAGAACAATTTTCATCTAAACTTAAAAAAAGTTTAACAGTCGAGAGAAAAATTTGTAGCTCCCCAGAAAACTCTCTAGAGCTGCACTATCTGAGATGGTAGCCACTAGTCACATGTGGATATTTAAATGCAAATTGTAATGAATTAGCATAAAACAGTATTAAAAATTTGGTTCCTCATTTTCACTACCCACATTTCAAGTGCTCAGTAGCCATATGTGGCTAGTGCTACTCTGTGGACTAATGCAGATTTACAACATTCCATCCCACGCACATACCAGGAAGCTCTGTTGGACAGCACATTTGTAGAACATTGTATTCCCTGGACACTTTGCAAGAATAACAAACAATAAAGAAAAGTAAAGAATAAAAACAACATGGGAGCTAAGTCCAATAGTGGCACATAGTAATTATTAAGTTGATTTTTAAAAATTTTATGGTATTCTCTTTTTTAAGTTAAGAGAAAATAAGCAAGTAATCACTATTTGAAGCAGATATTTAATGCTTGCAACTATATCATCATTAAATATTAAGACATCAAATAATACTTATAACCTTAAGCTATCAGATGAACTTTGCTTTTTTATGGCAGACAGGTCTTTGAGGGAAAAATCATTTAAAATTTGAAAATCGGGTTGTTTGTAGGAATTGCAGTGCAACAAAGTACGTGAAAATCAGGTTTCAATAGAATGTGACACAACGTGCAAGGAAATGAAGCGGAAAGCATCTGAGGTAATGTCTCGTTAAATATCATTTTAAAGACTAGTGGCCTTTCCCTTCTTATTTTGTGCATTTATGTACTTATTAAAAACAACTTGAAATCTCATTTTTTTGCTTTTATAATAAAAGCCTAGTTTTATAGGCTTATTTTGAATGGCAGATTGGGATTTTCATTGCCTAGTGTATATGAAGGCTTTTCATCTTCTATGCCCGTTATAAGATTTTGAGATTCTTTGCTGCTTGGGTTATCTCTAGTGTTACTCTTCCCCTCCATCAACCCAATCAGTGACCTCTTGATTTTGTTTGAAAGTAAGGATTCCCTTCCATGATAGCACATTTAAGATAAATTTAACTCTAGAGAAACAGCAGTATTTAATAATTAATTCTAGATTCTTAATACAGCAACTCAAGAGGAAAAAAGGCAGTTTTAAAATTTGCTGTTACAGTGTTTTAACTCTTTGAATTACGATGTAATACCGATTTTACTTGTTAAGCTGAGATGCTCATATAAGGTATAACACTCCATCCATGACCACCTTCAATTTATTAGATAGTGCCTTGGTAAAACCTTGTCTCAGTATAGCATTTACATTTCTTTAAATGATTTCAAGCTCCTAAAAGTTGATATGGGTTAATAGAACCTGGATGGGTAGATGTTAAAATTCCATATAAAATGTGATGACTAAATTGTAAATTGACTTTTGTATGTGTATAAACAGATAAAAGAAGCAGAAGCCAAAGCTGCTCTTGAAGAAGAAAAACGAAGACAACAGGTAACCAAACAAAATACCCAGATTTATGTCTCTTAGCATCATTGCTAGATTTTGTGCAAACACGGGGTATATTCCAAGGTCAAACTAAGGTCTAGTCTCTATTGTGAACTGAAAATAACAGTTCTTGTAAAACAAAAATGAGCCATCTACTAACTTGACTTTAAGTATACTGAAACTCTGAAAAGGTATGAGATCTCATATATTCCCAAATTTTTTTTTTGTATTTCCAATTTACTTTCTTGCCAATATCATCCATACTTCAGCCAGAAGAATTTTAATTCCTCCTTTGGCTGGGGAGTGAGAGTGAGCGAATCATCACCATTGTAAGGCATCTTCTGGAGACCATGACTTTACTTAACTAAAAGTATTTGAGTTCTATTTTACTGAGTTGCAGACCACCTATAACAAATAAGTGCAGTTTACTAATCAGTACATTTGTTTTAATAATATATTCCCATATTTCCCTATTAGATCTTTAAATGCGGGATTATAACCTGTTCTTTGTTGTTACCTAGAGAACAAGTACATTCCTGATACTCCCTGTTTAAGTATTTACTTTATTGATCATACACTTGAAAGAGTGGCTTGACTTTCTAATAGTGATGTATAACTTTTTATTATTATTTGTCAGTTTGTATCTTGAAATGCTTTATACTTATCAGATTGTATTGTGTGCTAAGCTACTGCCTTTATGAATGATGAGATTGAAACTTGCGTGATTTGCATGAATAAGGAAATTCAAACTTTGATGAGTTGTAGGAACAATTAGAACAATTAGGAACATTAGAAACAATTCATGTAGTAAATAATGGTTGGCCAAGGTGACCTTTGAGATTTTATGGTTCTGTAAAGTTGATTTGCCTGATATCCCCAAAATAAGTTATCAGAGCTAAATAGTAAAACATAAGTTGGCTGGAATCCTAGGAGATTAAGTTATTAAGAATAGTTTAGTATGTTTTCTCCTTATTCCCTTTGCTATCTTTTTATAAATCATCATGGATGAAAATCTTAGATACATTCCCTGTTTACTGACTCTTTAAACAGAATATAATCAGTCCTTAGTATATGTAGGTTCTGCATCTGTGAATTCAACCAACCACAGATCGAAAATTTGTTTCAAAACAAGTAAAAAAAAAAAAAAATAAATAATACGCATTTTAAAATACAGTGTAACACCTATTTACATAGCATTTACATTGTTATTAGGTGTTATAGGAAATCTAGAGTGATTTAAAGTATACAAGAAGATGTTTGTGTGTTATTTGCAAATCCTCCACTATTTATGTAGAGACTTGATCATCCTCAGGTTTTTATATCCAAGGGGATCCTAGAACCAATTTCCTACAGATACTGAGGGATCACTGTATACAGCACATAATATATACTTGGTGACTGTGAGTCACCATTTAACTGTCAGTTATTTTACTGTGTCTGTAGTCCTCAAGTTTGCCTGCTTTTAAGATATTTTGACGTTTTTTATATGTCAGAAACTAACCACTTGGGAGTAGTCTGACATTTTGGCTCATTGAAGAATGCCACTTTGTATTAAACTAAGTTTATTATTAGATCTTTTTCAAGTGTGGTTTATGACCACAGTAATGGATATGTGAACTAAAGTTTACATTTCCTCCTATTAAATAACCATTTACAAAGTTTTAGGTGGATATTATTAAATACATATATATTTTAACTATTGTCTTAATTACCTATGCACTATAGCATATTATATTACATTATTATGTGTAAAAGTTTAATAAGTACTTAGCAGTAGGATAAAAATCCCCATTTGATATTGAATGCAATTCAGTTATCGTCTTTTAGTACTAGTTTAAAATTTTTATGTCTAAAATAGTCATTTTGATTTTAAAGCATGAAGAATTTTTTCCTTTGAAGAATTTTTACTATTTTTAAAAAATGTATTTGGTAGAGAAGAATCGAGTTCTGGCAGCTTTTTTCTCTTTACTCACTTGAATTTCTTTCTTAAAAGCCACTAATGTTTATTGCATGCATTGTAAACAACTAGAATTATAGGTATCTTCATTCTCACTAGGCATCACAGCACTTGCTAGAAGCTTTATAGAATGCTGGTTCTATAATAATTGGGTTGAAGTATAATGGTGTCAATGTATAAGACCAGTGTCTATATTTTAGAGCATCCTGATTTAATAAGACGTTTTATTTTATTTATTTATTTATTTATTTTTTTGAGATGGAGTCTCTCTCTGTTGCCCAGGCTGGAGTACAGTGGCGCCATCTCGGCTCACTGCAAGCTCTGCCTCCCTGGTTCACGCCATTCTCCTGCCTTAGCCTCCCGAGTAGCTGGGACTACAGGCACCCGCCACCATGCCCGGCTAATTTTTTGTATTTTTAGTATAGATGGGGTTTCACCATGTTAGCCAGGATGGTCTTGATTTCCTCACCTTGTGACCCGCCTGCCTCAGCCTCCCAAAGTGCTGGGATTACAGGCGTGAGCCACCGTGCCCGGCCTAATCAGACATTTTAATATTTAGTATCATAGTCAGCCCTACAGTTTGAAATATTCTCTTCTGTTATCTCCCAGTCTCCTTTCTGCTTACCTAAACCCTGAATTTGTTGAATACAATCAGTAGTGGAGAGTAGTGTTTTAAAAAATCAAATCAATATATTGACTATATATCATTACTATTAAAACATTACCCAAATTGATTTTTATGTAAATGGAAACTTTCAAATCAATGTATGCATTGAATTTAATTAAAATGATGCTGTTTTTATTTAGGCTGAACTAGAAGCTTTTGAAAACAGACTGAAGGGTCGTCGGAAGAAGAACAGGAAAAGAGATGAAGTGGCAGTTGAGCTATCACTATGGCAAAAACATAAATATTATCTCATTTCAGTGTGTGGAGTTGTGGTTGTAGTGTTTGCCTGGTACATCACCCATGATGTCAATTAAAAAAAGTTTTGATCTTTTAATGTAACTCAGATTGGATTTAGATAAGTTGTTAAATTTGAAATATTAGAAAATGTATATTATAGAACATGATATATATTTACATTCATCTCTGTATTCTCTCAGCTGTTGTTAGAAGGACAGAATGTTAAACTTTATCTTAATTAGTATACTAGAAAGGGCAGTATAATACTGTTTTAAAGTGAAGGCATGACTGAAACTAAAATATTTCATAAGGCTTAGCTAGAGGCAGAGTAACGTGTTTTTGTTCATTGGGCTTCCTTGTACTTAGTTTTTTCATTTAATAATTCAAACCAACACTTTTAAAAAAATAATTCAGATGAGACTGAGCCATATCTGCAGTAAGAGAAATATTTCTTAATGTTTTGGTTACTTATGATAGAGTACTTTTCTTGATACTGTTAACTTTGTGCTTTTTAAAAAAAGTGATTCTCTAACAGACCTCTTAAATTGTGACATGAAGGTATGTAATTAGATTTCAGAAATTGGTTTATTAGTGAGGAATTTTTATCAATAAATGTCATGGGGCGTGTTCTTCAGAATATATAGTTATTTTCAACAAATGCCAGGCTAGATTCCTCACATGTGGCTATTTCTTATGTAAGAAGCTTTTAACTGAAGTTGGCATGTTTCGTAAAACTTGCGTGTCTTTTAAAAATAATAAAAGGAAGATGAGTATTTATGAAGAATATGTGCTGACAACAGGGCTTATGAGGTCTATGTACCTTAATCTCGTTTCTCCTTACCACAATCTTAAATAGATTTCAGCTGAAAATAATCAGTTCTTATGAAAACAAATAGAGAAATATCAGTAAGTCAAATCTGTTTGAATTATAATTCCTTTCAAATAGTTTTGCTATTTAATTTATATGATTAATGTTTTCATTAAAATTTTTGATACCAAATTTGTAATCTAGAATATTTATTATTAGCTAAAATATTCAGGAGCCTATAATTTTAAGTTAGGCATTAGTGTCAATGTATGAAATTCTGATACTTCATGTGGAAGACAGTCATTGATGGATACCTAAAAGTATCTAAAAAGTAGATATGTTTTTTTTATTATTATTATATTTTTATTATTATTACACTTCAAGTTTTAGGGTACATGTGCACAGCATGCAGGTTTGTTACATATGTATACATGTGCCATGTTGGTGTGCTGCACCCATTAACTTGTCATTTAGCATTAGCTATATCTCCAAATGCTATCCCTCCCCCCTCCCCCCACCCCACAACAGTCCCCGGTGTGTGATGTTTTCCTTCCTGTGTCCATGTGTTCTCATTGTTCAATTCCTACCTATGAGTGAGAACATGCGGTGTTTGGTTTTTTGTCCTTGCGATAGTTTGCTGAGAATGATGGTTTCACCTTCATCCATGTCCCTACAAAGGACATGAACTCATCATTTTTTATGGCTGCATAGTATTCCATGGTGTATATGTGCCACATTTTCTTAATCCAGTCTATCATTGTTGGACATTTGGGTTGGTTCCAAGTCTTTGCTATTGTGAATAGTGCCACAGTAAACATACGTGTCCATGTGTCTTTATAGCAGCATGATTTATAATCCTTTGGGTATATACCCAGTAATGGGATGGCTGGGTCAAATGGTATTTCTAGTTCTAGATCCCTGAGGAATCGCCACACCAACTTCCACAATGGTTGAACTAGTTTATAGTCCCACCAACAGTGTAAGAGTGTTCCTATTTCTGCACATCCTCTCCAACACCTGTTGTTCCCTGACTTTTTAATGATTGCTATTCTAACTGGTGTGAGATGGTATCTCATTGTGGTTTTGATTTGCATTTCTCTGATGGCCAGTGATGATGAGCATTTTTTCACATGTTTTTTGGCTGCATAAATGTCTTCTTTTGAGAAGTGTCTGTTCATATCCTTCGCCCACTTTTTGATGGGGTTGTTTGGTTTTTTCTTGTAAATTTGTTTGAGTTCTTTGTAGATTCTGGATATTAGCCCTTTGTCAGATGAGTAGGTTGCAAAAATTTTCTCCCTTTCTGTAGGTTGCCTGTTCACTGTGATGGTGGTTTCTTTTGCTGTGTAGAAGCTCTTTAGTTTAATGAGATCCCATTTGTCAATTTTGGCTTTTGGTGTTTTAGACATGAAGTCCTTGCCCATGCCTATGTCCTGAATGGTATTGCCTAGGTTTTCTTCTAGGGTTTTTATGGTTTTAGGTCTAACATGTAAGTCTTTAATCCATCTTGAATCAATTTTTGTATAAGGCGTAAGGAAGGGATCCAGTTTTAGCTTTCTACATATGGCTAGCCAGTTTTCCCAGCACCATTTATTAAATAGGGAATCCTTTCCCCATTTCTTGTTTTTGTCAGGTTTGTCAAAGATCAGATAGTTGTAGATATGTGGCATTATTTCTGAGGGCTCTGTTCGGTTCCATTGGTCTATATCTCTGTTTTGGTACCAGTACCATGCTGTTTTGGTTACTGTAGCCTTGTAGTGTAGTTTAAAGTCAGGTAGCATGATGCCTCCAGCTTTGTTCTTTTGGCTTAGGATTGACTTGGCAATGCAGGCTCTTTTTTGGTTCCATATGAACTTTAAAGTAGTTTTTTCCAATTCTGTGAAGAAAGTCATTGGTAGCTTGATGGGGATGGCATTGAATCTATAAATTACCTTGGGCAGTATGGCCATTTTCACAATATTGATTCTTCCTACCCATGAGCATGGAATGTTCTTCCATTTGTTTGTATCCTCTTTTATTTCAATGAGCAGTGGTTTGTAGTTCTCCTTGGAGAGGTCCTTCACATCCCTTGTAAGTTGGATTCCTAGGTATTTTATTCTCTTTGAAGCAATTGTGAATGGGAGTTCACTCATGTTTTGGCTCTCTGTTTGTCTGTTATTGGTGTATAAGAATGCTTGTGATTTTTGCACATTGATTTTGTATCCTGAGACTTTGCTGAAGTTGCCTATCAGCTTAAGGAGATTTTGGGCTGAGATGATGGGGTTTTCTAGATATACAATCATGTCATCTGCAAACAGGGACAATTTGACTTCCTCTTTTCCTAATTGAATGCCCTTTATTTCCTTCTCCTGCCTGATTGCAGAAGTAGGAAGGATTTTAAAATTATGCTGGATCTAATTCAAAATTTAGTGTCATATTCTTTTTTTTTTTTTTTTTTTGAGACAGAATCTCGCTCTGTTGCCCAGGCTGGAGTGCAGTGGCATGATCTCAGTTCACTGCAACCTCTGCCTTCCAGGTTCAAGTGATTCTTGTGCCTCACCCTCCCAAGTAGCTAGGATTATAGGCATGTGCCACCAAGCCCGGCTAATTTTTGTTGTTGTTGTTGTTTTTGTTTTTTTTTGTATTTTTAGTAGAGATGGGGTTTCACCACGTTGGCCAGGCTGGTCTCGAACTCCTAGCCTCAAGTGATCTGCTCACTTCATCCTCCCAAAGTGCTGGGATTACAGGCATGAGCCTCTGCGCCTGGCCCTAAGTATTAGCTGGTGTCCAGAATTAAAGGACAGTCATTCCTTTCTTCATGGGTGTTTTGATTTTAGAATTGTTAACCTTTCCCAGTGGTAGAATTACAGGGTTGGCATTTCAGAAGCTCTAAATCAGATACACTACACTCAAGTTATTACCTGTACTAACTAAAAGTTGAGTGTTAAGGGAACAACCGGGTGTCTACGTGGAAAGTCATTTCCATCTGTGTCAGAATCTTGGCCTATTAAGTGAACATGAAACCTAGTTCATATCTGTTGTTTGTAGGGCTTCGGTACTAGCTAAATTGTTTTTCCTAATTTGGGGAAAAGAATTTAGGAGCAGAGGAAGGAGACTGAATGAATGGTATATGAAGTTGTTTGTTGTTTTTTCATCTTTTTGGCTAGCTCAGAGTGTAACTTATTTACCCAAAGTCACACAACTATTCCTTCACTTATTCAGTCAACAGATGTGTTTCCTATATGTCAGGAACTTTCTGTGTTCTGGAGATAATGGTGATCTTTCCTCCTATATTGTTGCTAAGGCACAGACAAGCACAGGCAGGTAATAGACATAAAAAAACGTGATTTTATGTGTGGTAAGTGGTATTCAAGAAAATAAGAGGAATGGTATAGAATGTGGTGGAAGTAGGGGATACAAGGACACTGGCTAATTTAGAATGGGAAAATCCCTCTGAGATGAGGATATTAGAGCCGTGACCTGAATGACCTCCATTTGAAGATCAGCGAAAAATCTATACGAGAGAAAGCAGTAAGTACAAAGTCCCCAGTTTGGGAAATGCTTGGCACACCTGAGGAGCAGAAAGAAGGGCTGGTGTGGCTGGAGCCTAATGAAATTTAAATTGAGAGGAGGATGTGTCTAGGCCAGTTTATGTCATGCTTGATAGACCAGGGTAAGAAATTTGAGTTGTATTTGAGTTGCAATGGACAGCATTGGAAGGCTTTAAACAAGGAAGAGACTTTTTTTTAAAGACCGCTGGCTACGATATAGAGAAAAGACTATAATGATGCAGAGACAAGTTAAGTTTTATCTAAGTAGTTATACTGATTTGTTCTGAGGGAAATAAAGTAATGCATATTGTCCTTTTAGGTTCAATCTGAGCGAATTAGAGAAGGAATGGAAAAAGTTACCAAATAGCCACTAACAATGGCCTAAGATTGTGAATGTGGTGGTCTTGTTTTCCTCCTTACTTGTGGCATTAACAAAGTGTATGAGCTTCCTATTTGAAATCTGTGGAATATGTATATTGAAATCTTTAGATTTTTTTGGTTTAAATGCTTTTCAGAATTGACAAACTGTTTTTCAGTTAATTTCACATCTAAATTAAATGAAAACAATCTCAAATAAGTACAATTGCTACTGAAATTGTCAAAGGAATTTTGCTGAGGCAAAGCAGTGAAAACATTTCCCTTCTATAAAGAAGTTATGATGCTTGAACTTAATGGCTATGAAGGTTAAAAATTTTAAATACAGATTAATCTCTGTGCTAGTGTTTAGAGAGAGATGACATATAAGAATTTTTTGGCTCTTCATGTTATTTTAAATGCTCATGAGTAATACCAGAAACAGGCTTTATTTGGAAATAGATATACTATTTAAGACAAAATTTGAAGAGATTTATTTTAAAGTGTTCCATTTCTCTTTGAGAAATATTTTTTTTCTTTGCCTAGATACCTGGCACAGTGATGAACTTAATAGAAGATTCTGTCCTCACTATGCATATGGTCTGTGTTGTGGGTTCTTCCACATAAGCAAACAGGTGAAGATTAAGCCAGGCCACCCATGTGGGGGATCTAGCCCACTGCCAAGGGTGACTTTTTAGGGTGCTTGGGCCTCATCCATCCTTTTATAATCAAGATTATTAAAACAATGGGAGATGCTGTATGCTGATCTCCAGAAGAACAAAGAATTAGTTGGGTGTTAAACCAAGAACACTAAAAATGCAGCAGTAGCCAAAATTGCTGTGACCAGGTATAGGACAGTAAAAGGAAGGCTGTAAAAAGAACCTCTGAGGACCCAGGTGACTCTAGCTGTTAATGTCTGTCTGTCCTTGGATATTGGGAACTGAAGCAGATGTCTAAGCTGTAGAGCTAGAGTTGACATGAGATAGCTCTGTCTCTTCTTGGGTCTGTGGAAGTTGCAGTCTTTATCGAGTGGCAGTGATTAGACCACTCTAAGACCCAAGGCTTATGAGGCTGGGGAGCTTCCAGGGTGAGGAAGAAGCAAAGTACTAGCTACTACCTCCTAGAAAAGATGCGAGAATTTGGGAGTGGTGGGAGGAACTGAGAGACCCTGTGATTTCCAGCAACTTAAAGAGACAAGCAAGACCAGGTGTCCACCTGGGAAGCCATTTTTACATATTTTAGAATCTTGGCTTATTGAACAAGCTCAGGTCTATTGCTTACTAAGCTTCTCTTCTTGCTAAGTTTCCAATTAGTAATTTAAGTCGTGCTGTGAAGGATTGTATGCAGTTTGAAACTCCACAGTCCAGATTCATTTGAGTTAACACCTCTGTATCCCATATATGTATTCTCTTAATACATCACCTAATATTTCCAAAGCCCCCCCCCCCAGTCACTGTCATCTGGTCATCCTCTATCTTCTCACAATACTTTTTCCTCATAGCACTAAATAGTACCTGTCCTCATATTAAGTGTCTGTTTATTATCTGCCTCCTTCCCTGGAATGTAAGCTTCATGAGGGCAGGAGTGCAGTTTTGTTTATTACTGTAACCTCAGAGTAGAGAAGCCTGGCCACATAGTAGATGCTAGTATTCGTTTCCTAGGGCTGCTGTAACAGATACCATACATGAGTTACTTAAAACAACAGAAATTTATTCTTTCACAGTTTAGGTGGCCAGAAGTCCCAAACCAAGATATAACAAATTATATCTGCAAAGCCTTTATTTCCACAGAACCACATTCTGAGGTTCTGGGTGGACATTAATTTGGCAGGGAGTAGTGGGGGGACACTAACCTACTACAGTGCTCAGTAAATATTTATTGGGTGAATGAAAATTCAGAGTGTATTCTAAGCTGTAAACCCCTTGGATGTTTTCATCACAGTCTTCTCTTAATAACTGCTACAGAACATAAGGATTAGTTTGTGGTCCCAGATTTTTTAGGCTCCAATTCTGCTTCTACCACTTTCTACTTGTGAGCTCTTAGGCAAGCTATTTAACTTTGTAAGCCTCAGTTTCTTCTGTAAAATGGTGACAATAAGAAATAACAGTAAGTGCCCAATAAGTTTTAACTATTATTATGTGTCTATAGCTATTTTAAAGCACTTTCTATATGTAATCCTCATAACAACCGTATTAGGTGAGCCTATTACACTTCTCATTTTATGACAAAGGAAACTAGATTTGTTTCAAGAATGAAAAACCTAGAAAATTATATGTCACTTTATGAAGTGCCTGGCACATAGTACATAGAATAGCTTAGCTACAATAATATAGATATGTGACTTTACCTCATAACTTTAAGACATCTCAAATTGATTCACAAATCAGAAAAAAAATCTGAGGCATCAGATGTGAGGTGAGGTGAGGTGAGGCATCTCAGTTTTTGCACATATGGTTACTGTTATTGAGGGAGCTCCATGTCATTGAGGGAGCTCCACGTCATTGAGGGAGGACTGGGTGGGATGCTGGCCAAAGGTAGGGGCATATTTAGGCAGTGAAATTGCAGTTATGGGACCCCTCTATAGCACTAGATGTGTGAGAGGACTAAAAATAAAATTCCTTTGAAATTTCTTACAGGGTCATATATTACCTCCTTCCCAATGACTACTGTGGTATATTAGAGTAGGGGATTGATGTCCCAGAAATATTATGTACATCAAACAGAAGATCTACACAAATTGTTTTATCAGATACTGAATATATCAATGGGCTAGAGTGTATTATAGTACATATGGGTATGTTGTTTTCCCCCTTTTGACTAAATAAACTCTCCCCTCTCTGCAACAGGTAAATTTCCAGTTTACCTTTTTCTTGCTGTTTTTAATTTTTTTTATTTTGAAGGCTTTGTATCTTTATATCTCAGCTGAAAATATTACATTCTAACTCCCCAAAGCTATTCTCACATTATTTGCAAGTATTTTTTCATAGTTTACATGTTTGTGTATTTGTTTAATACATTCCACAAGACTGAAAGTCTTGGTGAGGGCAGGAACTCTGTCTAGGTTGTTCATCTGGCAGCCAGCAAACCCAAAATAAGTATTAGTTGAATGAATAGCTAAATAGATGAGCCATGGGGTAGCATATCTGTTTTAGCTACTGCTTGCCTGTTATCATCCTGGGATGCTGCTTGCTTCTCCGTGATCTCTTCTTGTTCTTAAATTGTCTTCAGTTGTAGTACTAAGTACTAATTTGATCTGTAATGTGATATGTGGCTGAAGTTTGCTCTGTAAAATCACCGTTTCCTGAGGTATATTCAATATCTTTAATTTTTCCATAAATCTCTTCAAGGTTTGTGTGTGTTTTCTTTTAAATTATCTAACTAGTTGGATGTATGCTTGAAGTGCTAGACAATAAAAGTTTCAATAGGCTAGAAATGTTTCTTTTTGTAAAATTATTTTAAGAAACTAGATGATGGTTGTCACTTGAAGCTGAAATGCAAATGTAGCTAGTTTTTTTTAAAGAATAATTCAAATAGGTCATTAAAGATTACTATGAGCACACTGCATATTCAAATCAGTTTGAATATGTTTTGAGACTTCTAATAGTTTATGATTCTTGACATTTTAATGAGCACACTGCATATTCAAATCAGTTTGAATATGTTTTGAGACTTCTAATAGTTTATGATTCTTGACATTTTAAAAGTTTATTATAAAGAATATAAAACATCTTTACCCTCATTTTTTATGTCATTACCTTCATGCAAAGAATACCTCAGGTATTAATTCTGGTGCTGTTGGTAACTAGAACTGGTTGGGTTTTCTTGCTAAAAGGAAGTTTAAAAAATGTTTATTTTACACCATTAATGCAATTAGCTTTAGTTCTCAGAGGAACTAAAAGTGGAAAAGTGAGGGAGACTGATCGACCCTATCTCAAATCCACTGACGTAGCTACTTTAATTTCATAGTCCCTGTAGCACCTCCACCAGAGGGCAGAAAGTGGAAGAGAAAGAAGATGAAATAGAAACTTGTACTTGGCCTCAGAATGCCTGTAGAAACCTTAGCAATTGAATCCAGCCCTTATGTTATAGGCTGAGTTAACTGTGGCCCAGAAAGACTATGTGATTTGCTCACAGTTCTTGATTCCCAGACTGGCACTGCGGTGATGGTGTGTGATGAGGTAGTATCTTAGTAAGAACACAATCCAGAAGTCACTGCCTCGGGGGAATCCCAGCTCAGCTTCTTGCTAGCTTGCGTAGGCTGGTTACTTCACTTCAGCTCCCTGAATCTGCTTTCTTATCTCTAAAATAAAAATAATAGCTTCTTCCTCAGAGTAGTTGGTGGAACTGAAAGAATACATGTAAAGTGCTTAGTATGACACCTGCCACATAATATGAACTGAATTATTGTGAATTATGATAAATTTGTCAGATACTGGTTTACAAATCGGATGTTAGAATAACATGGAATCAGTGTTTCAGTCATTTTACTATACATATGCAATATTTTCTACATTTGATCTCACTTCAGAAACAAAATACTGCCCCCCCCATTTTACAAATGCATATTTTTTTCTCAGCAATAATGTTCAAGAACAAGTGCTTGGCCCATATTTTGTTGTCTTTACATGGCTTTCTTTAAATAATGGGGATGGATTTATTAAATAACCTCATGAGTAATTTTCAAAATTTCCATTAAGATCTTGATTGAAATTGGATGAAAAATCATTTCTAAGAAAAACCCAATGAAGTGTTTTTCTTTGCCACATTTGACAATTGCCTTGGACTTGGTAAAGTAATCATTACTGTGTTGAGTACCTCCAGTGCCCTCCTTGACGCTGCCTTAGAAAAGGTAGCTGCTTTTGAATGACAGGCAGGAATTTGTTCGCCTTTTAGGTTCAGCCTGTAGGTGCCCTCTGCAGGAAATCAGGAACTAGGGTTTTGGAAGCAGTCAGGGTGGGGTTCTCCCTTGTCCCTGCAGCCTCAGCAAAGACTCAGGCAGTCTGGCAAAAGCAGTTTCTTCAGCATACCTAACAGAACGCAAGTTTCCATATGCCTGATGCAAATAATGGCCTCCAAACGTTAAACCTTTTTTGAGATAAACTTGTTCTTTAATTGCCAGCGCCTGCAGTTAATTTTGATTGGCTACACTCTGGTTAAAAGAAAATGCTTTCGATGTGATATGGCAAATTTGGAGAAAAGTAACTCTTTTGCTCCCAACCAGTCTTCCACAACTTAAACTTAATCGTCCTGTCCTTTTCTGCTGCCCTCGTGGAGTGTAAGTTTTTGAGGGAGACCAGCAGAAACTGACTTTCCATATGCCCCTGAAGAATAACTTCTTTGAATGCAAAGAGGTGGGGACACGGAGGATCTGTCATTACGGGTTATTATGGGTGGGACCCAGAGACGGGAGTGAAGGGAGGGTGTGGCCCGCGGGTGGGATCTGTAGAGCAGACAAAATATGGGGCCCCTGGCGCTTAAAGTTCAGTTTGTCTCTCTTGAGCTTGGAGAAAATCATCCGTAGTGCCTCCCCGGGGGACACGTAGAGGAGAGAAAAGCGACCAAGATAAAAGTGGACAGAAGAATAAGCGAGACTTTTTATCCATGAAACAGTCTCCTGCCCTCGCTCCGGAAGAGCGCTGCCGCAGAGCCGGGTCCCCAAAGCCGGTAAGATCGATGATTCGCTGTCCTACCGCAGCCAGGTGTGATGGCCTCTTAGTCCCGGTGAATTCAGGGTCAGCCCCTCCCGCCCCCGTCCTCTCCTCCGCCCGATGCCACCTCCTTCCCCAGCCGCCGGTGAGCTCCCGCTCTGACAGTTCCGCGCTCAGCGCCCTGCACCCAGTTCCCAGGCGCACGGCCCTGGTCCCGACCACCACCCCGGTCGCCCGGCGTCCGAGACCCTCCCAGGGTCATGGGCAGGGTTTCCTTCAGTGTTCGAGTCGGCTCGATCCGGAGACCCCGGTCTCCATGCCGGGGGTGATGCCACCTTTCCTGCAGAGTCCCTCCTCCGCACGGTGCCCTCCAAGCATCTAGTGGACTTGGCTGCACACTGGCGGCAGGGGAGGCTGCAGGTGGAGCTGTCGGAGCCAGCCCCTCGGGGATCTACAGCTTCCTGTCTGCGCCGGCGTCTCGGGCGCCGGGTGGCTGGAGGGACTGTGCAGCAGTCTTGCCTGCCCCAGACGTAAGCCCCCTTCCCCAGCTGCGAGCGCCTGGGTGTCGGTCCCTCCACAGCCCGGGCTCGCGCTTGGTTCCCCGGCCCCCAGTTGGTGCCTGGGGATCACTCGCCCGTCCTAAGTGCTGGCATCCCAGAACTGGCCCTCTTGCAGAGTGCTGGGAACTTGTAGGTCCCTGCGTGCAAACTTTCTCCGGCGTGAACCTGCCTAGGCACAGGAGGGCTGGCCGCCGGGGGCGCAGGCTCTGCGCTGTAGGATTTGGTTGGCTCAGATCCAGTCCTGGGAAGGGGCAGCGTTGGCTCTCGTTCAGGAGGAGAAAGAAAGGGAAGGGCACCACGGACAGTCCCTACTGGCCTGAGCCCCCAGGAAGAAGGTCTAATTTGCGGCTGCCCCTCTCCTTCGGTGTCATTAGGGCCCCGGAATCCGCTTGCTACCGCGAGGGTCCCAGCTGCTCCGAATCGGGGACCGACCGGTGACGCTAGCTGCAGGCAGAGAGGGCAGGCTGTGCGGGCGGAAGGGAGGTGGTGTCTTGTCGGATCTTACTGGGACCCAGTTCCTGAGCTCCCGTGGCAGGCGCCTCACTCCTGCTACTACCTGCTCGGGGCCAGTGGATGGCAGTGTACGCGCTTTTTGCACGGCTCCCGGTTCCTGGGACCGAGCCCTGGGAGCTCTGACTTTGAATTCAGCAGGGAAGCTTCGGGGCTGGGCATTCCCAGGGAAGCTGTTCGAGTAATTCATAAAGTGGAGCTTTCCTCCCGCGGGAAACTTCTGAGAACGATGCGCTGCGAAGACGGACTCCTGTACAAGACTTCGATGACTGACATAGGCACAATTGTGGCTTCTAGTTTTTATTTTAACTTTTTATTTAAAGTAACTTATCGATGGAAGCGAAACTCTGCAAAGGAACGTCAGACCGCTACCAGAAAGGGGGTGAAGTCAGGACTTACTGGTGATTATTGTCCAAGGACACATTTAAGCAGATAGTTTTGAAATTAATTTTGGCATAACCCTGAGACAATGAGAAGAAACAATGCATTTATAAAAAGTTATTAAACCATTTTTTTTTGTCACAGTCAAAACATTCATTAGCTTGTTTCTATTATTAGGTGCCCAATAGGTTTGTTGTGTGAGATTGTGCTAAAAATTGGTCCTCAGATCCTGGGACTTGAGAGGTTAGAGGAGGTTCCTGGGGCTTGCGAGGTTAGAGGAGATGTCTGCATAGACTCACGTGTGGGCTTGGCTGACCAGGCAGGTTTTCCATAGAATGCTTTCCAGGACACCAAGAATTTCAATAGGATGAACTATTTTGGGGTTATTTGGGTGTGGAAACACATCAACCTCAAAACCCCAAGATTCTATAAGGCATTTTTTAAGGGGGAGGGGACTCTTTCCAGAAAGTTCCTTTCAGGGTAGGCTTACAGGACCAACGATGAAAGCCTCTGTTAACCTTCCTGTGGGTTAAAAAGACACACCAAGAATTGCTCTATTAACCTTATCAAGCACATATCCAGGTACAGAGACACTTTCTTAAAAGATGCAAAATTCATTCCATCAGAAACCTTCCTCATAATGCTGCAGAAATCACAATAGCAACAGCATAGAAGGCAGGCATCAGTGCTTCCGCATCTTGCATTCCACAACCAGCTGTGGTTTCCTTTTGGAAGGGTCACATTCTCCACCATAGCTTCATGTGGATTTCAGCAGTTGCTAGTTCTATTGACTGGCCAGCCCCTCTGTTGACCTCCCCCACTGTTGGGGGCAGACAGGAAGTTAGAGGAGAAGCTGAGTGGCCCAGGAGCTTCAGAGAGTCACTTTCAAAAGCCTGTACTTTCAAATCTCCATACTGTTAATGAGGTACTCCTTTCCTTATTTTTCCTCTTTTCCGCACTTGTAGCCTCTTTCAACACAAAGACTTGTGGTCTTAGGGTTTCTGAGTGTCCCCACTGCTGGGGTAATAAGAGCTCTCTGAGGAGCAGGAGAGCCGCAACACTGAATTGTTGCTGAGCGTATCTGAGGGGGAAAGGTTTGTTTGACCTGCTACTTCTACCTAATAAGTTATTCAACAAGTATGGATTCATGCATCCTGTTAGCCCCATCACTATTCTTGGCATTCCATTTTGCTGGACCAAATGGAAAATGAGGCTGGCTGGCTAAAGGGTACTGACCTGATACTGGCTGGCTAAACATACTAGGTTCACACTAAACACTCAAGGGATTCCAAGACTTACCTGTTCCTCAGAGTCTACACACTCACATAAAGACACACACAGACATAATACACTTGTTTGTTTTATGTCTGTTCAGAGAGGGTGGAAATGGCAGACCCCTTAAGAGTAGAAGGTGCTGTAGATGACCTGCCTTGGTGGGAAGAGTAGGAGCTTTGGTGTCAGACCTCTGACTCTGCCCCTTAAGAACCGCAAGGCTCTGGGCAAGTCAAATAATCTTGCTGGGCCTCAGTTTCCTTGGTCAGAAAATGTAGATGGTACTACTGACCACTGGTAAGGACACTGCAGACTGTGGAATACGTACTAGAAGTACTTTATGTAATAGTGGTATATTCTGGTGAAGGTTCCCTAACCTTTTTTTAAAAAACTACTTTATTGAAGTATTGGCGAGCAAAAACCTGTATATATTTAATGTAAACAATGTGATAGGTTTGGAAACAAGTATACATCTATAAAACCGTCACCACAATTAATGTCACAAACCTATCCATCATCTTCAAAAGTTCCCTTCTGCCATCTTTATTATTGTTATTATTATTTTGTTATAAGGACACTTAACATAAGATCTACCCACCTAGCAAATTTTTAAGTATAGAATATAGTATTCTTAACTACAGAAGCCATGCTGTGTAGTAGATTTCTAGGACTTATTTATCTTGCATTACTGAAACTTTATACCCTTGGTCCAATACCTCCCCATTTCCTCCTCCTCTGGGAAACCACCATTCCACTCTCTGCTTCTATGAGTTTGACTGTTTTAAGATTCCTCAATTAAGTGGGATCATGTAGTATTTGTCCTTCTGTGTCTGGCTTATTTCACTTAGCATAGTGTCCTCTAGGTTCATCTCTGCTGTCAGAAATGGTAGGATTTGTTTCTTTGTTAAGGCTGAGTAATATTGTACTGTATGTATATATACATACTGTTTATATATACCCCATTTTTCTTTATCCATTCATCTATCAGTGGACATTAGGCTGCTCCTATGTTTTTGCTATTGTGAATAATGCTGCAATGCACATGGGAATGCAGATGTCTTTTCAAGATCCCAATTTTAAATTCTTTGGTTACATATCTAGAAATGGGATCATATGTTAGTTCTATACTGTATGCTGGTATCATATGCTGGATCATATGATAGTTCTATTTTTAATTTTTTTGAGGAACTTCCATACTCTTTCCCATAATGGTTGCACCAATTTACATTCCCATGAACCATATACAAGAGATGCATTTTCTTGGCATCCAACACTTGTTATCTTTTGTTTTTTGATCACATTAACAGTGGCAAAGGGCTGAAATCTCTTTGTGGTTTTGATTTGTAATTCTCTGTTGATTGGTGATGTTGAGCATCTTTCATATACTTACTGGCCATTTTTATGTCTTCTTTGGAGTAATGTCTATTTAGGTCTTTTTCCCATTTTAAAATCAGGCTATTAGCTTTTTGGCTACTGAATTGAAGGAGTTCCTTATATATGTTGGATATTAATCCTTTATCAGATATATGATTCGCAAATATTTTCTCCCACTTTATAGATTGCCTTTTCATTTTGTTGATCATATCGTTTGCTATGCAGAAGCTTTTTAGTTTAGCATAATCTTATTTGGTTATTATTGCTTTTTTTTTTTTTTTTTTGCCTATGCTTTTGGTGTCGTATCCAAGAAATTATCGCCGAGATCAATGTCAAGATTTTCCTTTATGTTTTCTTTCAGAAATTTTACAGTTTCAGGTCTTATGGTTAAGTCTTTAATCCATTTTAACTTGATTTTTGTGCATGGCATGAGATAAAGTTCCAATGTTATTCTTTTGCATATGTGTAGCCAGTTTTCCCAGCACCATTTGTTGAAGACATATCTTTCCTCCATTGTATATTCTTGGCATCCTTGTCAACTATGTATGTATGAGTTTATTTCTGGGATCTCTCTTCTGTTTGGCCATATGGCTGTTTTCATATGAGTACCATACTGTTTTGATTAGTGTAGCTTTGTAATATATTTTGAAATCATGACGTATGATACCTCTAGCTTTTTTTTTTCTTGCTCGTAATTGCTTTGGTGATTTGTTTCCTAATCTGTTTTTACTTGAGGATCCAGTCTCATCCTAGACTTGGTGAGAAATGTCTCAAGACTTTTTCCACAGGCAGCTTTCTGTGACTCTAGAGCCATGTGATGCAATGGAGTAGCTCTTAGCCAATTGTGGTTGTTTAAATTTAATCAACATTAAATCAAATTAAAAATTTATTTCTTCAGTCTCCTTGGGCACATTTTAAGTGCTCAGTTATTTTATAAAGCTGGTGGCAACTGTATTGGGCAGCACAGATACATGATCTCCTTCGTTGCAGGCTGTTCTCTCAGGCAGTTCTAGAGCTTTCTTTTGCTTGAGTGATGATATAAGATTTTAGGATGATAAAAATTTTCCTAGGCCAAGGCACAGTGGCTCACTGGGATTACTGGAGGCTGAGCCAGATGGATCACCTGAGGTCAGGAGTTCGAGACCAGCTTGGCCAACATGGCAAAACACCATCTCTACTAAAAATACAAAAAAATTACCAGGGCGTGATGGCACCTGCCTGTAGTCCCAGCTACTTGGGAGGCTGAGGCAAGAGAATTGCTTAAATCCGGGAGGCAGAGGCTGCAGTGAGCCGAGATCATCCCAGTGCACTCCGGCCTGGGTGATAGAGCGAGACTCCATCTCAAAAAAAAAAAAAAAAAGAAAAGAAAAGAAAGAAAGAAAGAAAAGAAAAGAAAAAGTTTTCCTGTAAAGCACCTCTATTTGCTTCTTTTTCTTTTAAGAAGTGGTTTCCTATAGCAGAATCACTTCCGTTTGTTGAGGTCTCTTACGTGGCCTAGGCATTTGTTGAATAGTAAATGGCCAGATTGATGTATAAATCACTGACAAGTGAGTATTAGTCACATAATCCTCTGAGTTCTCCCCTTCAGCCTTGATGATTTTGCTTATGTATTGTTCTTTTCCCTCCCTATGAGCTTTATGGCCGATGATTTTCCTGGTTTTACAGCAGAAACTAATACAACAGAAGGAGGCTCTTCTCCCTCCATATGTACTCCTACATGTTGTACCATTTTTTACAAGAATGAAAGCACTATAATACTAAGTACAATGTTTGGGGGAAAGATCCACCAAGTGTTTAATTTAATCAGGCTTAAAAACTAATACTCCACCTCACTACGTAGGACCCCTTCTTGAACTCATCCTCATTTGACAAACTATATATTTTACTTCCATGGCCTTCCTGGTGTGTGTTTCTGTGTGTTCTCTTATTATAAGAACATCAGTCATATTGGATTTAGGCTTCACCCTAATCCAGTATGACCTTGTCCTAACTAACTTCAACTGCAAAGACCCTATATGCAAAGGAAGGACACATTTTGAGGTTCTCGGTGAACATATATTTTGGAGACACTATTCAACCCATTACAGATGCATAGATAGGTCAGTCTTTTCCCTAGCTGGATTTCTTACCCCATGAAGTATATTCTGTTCCTGAGGCTTTACTAAATCTGCTTTAGTGCAAGCACAATCTGTAATGTTTATTATTCTCATGGACAGACGATCATCATGCAGGTTGGGAGATTATGTTCTGCTAATGAGCGCTTTCTACCTGGGTGTGGAACACATGGGATGACTCACCTTGGGACTGCTGAATCAGCTGTTCTTCCCCAAGCCTGTCACTGTCCCCAGTTCTGTCTTCAGTCTCCACCCTTTCTCTTCACTCATAAAGAGCCACAGTCATCCTGGAGCAGTGGCTAGTCTGTTTGCCTCTTTCTTGAGCCTTCTGCATTGGCGTTTGGTCTGCTCTGAGCTCTGCTGAAGGGTGCCCATTAATTATGCCTTCCCTTCTGCCTGCTGGCAGTTGTCCCGATCAGCTCACCTTACAGCAGCTGTTTGCATATTCTCCTGCAATACATTTCTACATGTCCAAACCATCAGAGCTGGTGGTGACAAATGCAGTGTCAATGCTTAATCAGGCTGGTTGAGGATCCAAGGTTGTCCTGTAGGTGATCCATCTTGTCATTAATGTCAGTGCTGAAACTCTGTAAGAGGCTCAAGATGACATCTGTGGAGAAGGGCCAGTCGGCCAACAGGCTGGCTTAGGAGCAGGGCAGAAAATATAGAGGCGAGTTGCGAAGACCATTTTGGTGTCTCCAGCTTGTGCTTCCTTAGCCCAGGGTCCCTTCAACCTGTTAACCTTTAGGTTGACAGCACTTGAAGAGTACTTTTTGTTTGTAGCACTTTGGGGGAGTTTTAAAGTCCTATGCAGCTATGAAAGTAGGTGTCAGTGTCTCTGAAGCCACAAAAGTGTCATTCTGCTGAAGTGTCATAGATAGAGATTGACAGTACCAGGAAATCTTAATCTGAGACTCCAAGAACCTCCTGAATGGTGAAAAATCTTTTTATGCATAGTTCTGTTTGAATTTTTCTGGTAATAGCACCACAACTTCCCAAGAAGTGAAAGCCATAGCTAGACCTAAATAGCTTTAATGTATGAGAATTCAACTATACAGGCTGGACAAAAAGAATACATTCATCTCCTTATTTAACAAACATTTATGTGACAGGTATATTATTAGGCACTTAGGAGACATCTATGAACAAAACAGGGATTCATGCACTTGTGAAGCTTGGTTTCTAACTAAGCAATAAACCCTAAACCATGAGTGCAGGGAGGAGAGATGAATGTTTAATTAATATGAGTCATTCTATTCAGTGTCCTGGAGTAAGAGCAAAAGATGAGAGAAAGGAATCTGCCATTAGTTTCAGAACCTGGTGCCTTTTATGTGTATCCTTTTTGCAGTTCCACGTGTGATCCTGGGTTTAAAGATTGTGCCATTTTATTCCCTAACCTCAAGCCAATTAATTAATCTGGTACTCAACCGATGAGCCTGTTCCAGCTCTGAAACAAAAAAAAAACAAACACCATGTGGGATTTATTGTTGGAAGTTACATTGGTCTCCAATGTGACACTCTCTTAAGGCTTTTCAGGGATTAGTTTGACAGTACATGATTTTCATCTTCATGTGCCTATTTTAGAGCCTTATTCTGGGAGCAAGATGCTACTTCTCTGTAGTGTGGTTTGGAAATCAAAGCTATATTGTTTTATTTACTATTTCTCTGTCATCCTTTAAAACAGTTTTGTCCAAGTCAAGCATCATCAGAAAGGGGAGTTCAATAAGAAGTTGGTATTAGGTTGCTGAGATTTTACAGAAGTCAGTTAACCTTTTAGATCCTGGTTTACTTGTGTAAAATGAGGTAGTTGGACTATTTACTCTTTCAGGGCCTTTTTCAATCTAAAGGCTATAATTTTTATGTGGCAGCAGAAAATGAGCAGGACACTGTCCCATTTTACTTTATTGTTTCTCTCTTCCCTTTCTGATAGCTGACAAGTGGTGTGTTTTTTCCTTCCTGACACCAGATGCATGGTATCTTTCCTGACACCACTGCTGCAACTCTCTGACACCAACTGGGTGTCCAATAATTCAACTCAATTCTGACACTATCTACCTGGAGTTAGTGCCAGATCCCACAAGACTGCCCCCACTTTAGATGACAGTTGCAAGTTCTGGGCCACCTGCACTTCTGACTGATTGGCCATGAATCAGGGGTTCCCATAACTCCCTCCCTCTTCAGGTTTGATAATTTGCCCTGATGGCTCACAGAACTCAGGACAACACTTAACTCACATTCACTGGTTTATGATAAAGGATACGAATGAACAGCCAGATGAAGAGGTGCCTAGGCCAAGGTCCAGAAGGTCCAGAAGGTCCAGAAGGGTCCTGCCCCAGTAGAAATATAATGTTAGCCACAGATGTAATTTTAGATTGTCTAGTAGCTGCACTGAAAAAGCAAAAAGAAACAGATAAATTTGAACTTAATAAGATAGCTTAACTCAATGTATCCAAGATTTCATAATTTTAATATGTAATCAACATAAAAATTAATGAAATATTTCACCTTTTTTTTTTTTTTTTTTTTTTTTTTTTGAGACGGAGTCTCGCCCTGTCACCCAGGCTGGAGTGCAGTGGCGCGATCTCGGCTCACTGCAAGCTCCGCCTCCCGGGTTCACGCTATTCTCCTGCCTCAGCCTCCTGAGTAGCTGGGACTACAGGCGCCCACCACCATGCCCGGCTAATTTTTTGTATTTTTAGTGGAGACGGGGTTTCACCGTGTTAGCCAAGATGGTCTCGATCTCCTGACCTCGTGATCCGTCCGCCTCGGCCTCCCAAAGTGCTGAGATTACAGGCATGAGCCACCGCGCCGGGCCTACCTTTTTTTTTCATAACAAGTCTTTAAATTTCACTACCCTTACAGCATTTCTCCATTCAAATGAGCTACACTGCACATGCTCAATAACGACATGTAGCAAATGTCTGCGGTATGAGAGAATACAGGGTTATATGGTGTGAGATGGTCTGAACAATGACCCCTGGAATAAACCCACATCTTAATCCCTGAGACCTGTGAATATTATTTTATATGTCAAAATTGTCAAAAGGGACTTTGCAAATGTAATTAAATTAAGGATTTTGAGATGGGGAGATTATCTTGGATTATCTGGGAGGTCCTGATGTGATCACAATGCCCTTAGAAAGTGCAGGAGCTTCTGTCCCCATGGAGTTGGAGTGCTCCCAGAATGTAGATGTGTTCACCAATTCAGAAACTCTAAGCCCTGACACTTAGGGGTTTTTATGGAGATTTTGTTCATCACACAGGCATGAGTATGTGGTTATTAATTCAATGTCTAGCCCTCTCTCCTCCCAGGAGGTTGGGGAGTAGGGCTGAAAACTCTAGGCTTCTAATCAAAGTTTGGTTTTTCTGGAGACCAGCCCCTATCCTGAAGCTAGCTAGGAGTTTTCAAGAATCCAAGAATCACCTCGTTAGAACAAAAGTTAGAACAAAAGGTGCTCTTATCACTCTTATCACTCAGGATATTCCAAGGGATTTAAGGAGTCCTGTGTCAGGAATTGGGAAAAAAAACAAACACATACTTCTGATTATGCCATAGGAGTGCTGCCTGGGTAAGGGGCATCCTACATGACCTTAGTGTCCACTTCCCTCTTAGTGGGCATTTGCTAATTCTTCTTACAGTGACCCTCTGCCAAAGTGAAAAATTGCCTGTTCAACCCCAAAAGACTGATCAGAGGAAAGCTGGGAGGCAGTTTAAACTACCATAGCTCTGGTTTCTCTGAGGGTATCTACTCTGGCTAGAGGTCAGATCCGAACATCTTACCTATGTATGCAGCTATGGGTGGTGAACAGAACGAGGAGAGACAGTCATTGGTATCAGGGCTCTTCCACCAGATGGCCCAGGATCAAGCTGGGTGCCAGGTGTGCCTCTGGGTGCTGAGGAAGTGTGACACAGGAGAAAATCTTCTTTAAATAACTGGGTGGGAAATATGCCCCTATGCCTTCAAAGTTAAGAAATAATTTTTAAAAAAACATAATAAAAATGTGCTCAGAATAGCAAAAGAGCAGAACTTTAAGGTAGAAAGGGAAAATCCTGAGATCTCTGAAATTTAGGAGGGTGGAAAGTAAAACCACTCAGGAAGTAGAGTGAGCCTGATTAAACCACTAAACCCAAACCAGGAAATCAGTCAGGCAGCCTTGGGTGCAGAGGTGCATAGACATGGGCTCAAGTTCTAGCTTATCACTTACTGACTGGGTGCTCCTCCAGCAAGTTAATTTCCCTTAGGCTCCATTTTCTTCTCTGAAAAGTTGGAATAATACATCTCTTACAAGGCTGTAATGAGGACTTAATGAAAGAATGTATTAATGAAAATGCTTTATTAGAATGCATGTTGCTGGATAAATGTATTTTTTTTATTGTTACGCTTATCTAGTTGTGCATATCCCTAATAAAATATCTCTCTTGAATTGACATCTTAATTGCAGGAATTTAGTGGCTCTCTCTAGAGAAAGAAGAAATGTTGCTTCCAAAGTCTGGGCTCTCTTATAAGTAAGGCAAAAATAAAACAACTGAAAGTTAATGTCACCCTGCCTCCTTTATGGTCTGTAGTAGGACTGCTCCAATAGAAATATAATGTTAGCCACAGATGTAATTTAAAATTGTCTAGTAGCTGCACTTGAAAAAGCAAAAAGAAACAGATGAATTTAATCTTAATAAGATAGCTTATTTAACTCAATATATCCAAGATTTTATAATTTTAATATGTAATCAACATAAAAATTATTAATGAAATCTTTTACCTTTTTTTCATAACAAGTCTTTAAATTTCACTACCCTTATAGCATTTCTCAGTTCAAATGAGCTGCATTGCAGGTGCTCAATGACAACACATAGCGAGTGTCTATGGCATTAGAGGGTACAGGGCTTTATGGAGCGAGATGTTCCGAACAATGACCCCCTAGATAAACCCACATACTAATGCCTGAGACCTGTGAATATTATTTTCTATGTCAAAAGGGACTTTGCAAATGTAATTAAATAAAGGATTTTGAGATGGGGAGATTATCTTGAATTATGTGGGAGGTCCTGATGTGATCACAAAGCCCTTAGAGAGGCAGAAAGGTCAGAATCACATGTGACAATTAGTGATGGTGGATGTAGAGATGGGAGGAGAAATGTGCTTTGAAGATACAGGAAGGGGCCACAAGCCAGGGAATAGACACAGCCACTATAAGCTGAAAAAGACACAGATTTTCCCCTGAGAGCCTTCAGAAGGAAGCAGCCTTGATAACACCTTGACTTTAGTCCAGTGAAACTGATTTCAGACTTCCAACCTCCAGAACTGTGAGACAATAAATTTGTGTTGCTTTAAACTACTAAGTGTATGGTAATTTGTTACAGCAGCAAGAAGAAACAACTATATAACTGATACACAAATATTCACATCATTTCCAAGCGTGTTTTGTGAAGGTGTTGCCCTGGCTGCAGAGTCTTAGACAATCACAGTTGTTCATCTCAGCTTGTGCTGGGGTAGGCATTTGCAGTCATTCCTAGGGTTTTTGTGCATTACTGCTATCTTCCCTTAGCGCTGGGGTCTATTTCTTTCTCTGACCCAATTGCCGCCTTTGATGGCAAAAACTCAGTTGGTGTCTTATCACTGCCTTTAAGGACGAACAGAGGAAGGAGGTTTTCTTATTAGGGTACAGTGAGCAGCAGAAAAAAGCAATGGTTGGCTGGATTCAGTGGCTCACACCTGTAATCCTAGCACTTTGGGAGGATGAGGCTGGCAGATTGCTGAGGTCAGGAGTTCGAGACCAGTCCGGACAACACGGTGAATCCCTGTCTCTACTAAAAATACAAAAATTGACCAGACATGGTGGTGGGCACCTGTAATCTAGTAAGCTAGTTGGCAGGCTGAGGCAGCAGAATCATTTGAGCCTGGGAGGCAGAGGTTGCAGTGAGCCGAGATCACGCCACTGCACTCCAGCCTGGGTGACAGAGTGAGACTCCATCTAAAAAAAAAAAAAAAAAAAAAAGCAGTGGTTTGAAAAAGTTACTGGTGATTTTTACTATCTGCTCACTTTTTTTTTCTGGTAAGTGTAAAAATGTTCTAAAAGTTATTCATTTAAAAGAATTACTGCAATGTGGGCTTGGTGGGATTCAAGTGTTACTCTTACGTCTTTATCTATGAATGTTAGCGAATGTGTGATTAGGCCAGTGATCCTAGAACTTTAGTGTGCATGAGAATTACCTGGAGGGTCTGATCCAACATGGATCGCTGGGTCCCATTGTCAGTTTCTAATTTAACAGGTCTGGGTTGAGACCCAAGAATTCATGTGTCTAACAAGTCCCAGGTGATGCTAATTAGCCGCAGATAGGTGTGGTGTGGGAAAGCCCGGCAGAATACCTCGCCTGCAAGGGGGACTCCCAGGCCTCACTTCTATGGGGAGGGGGCCACATAATTGCCAGGAAAGACTCTGAGGCTGGCTTTCCATCGCTGATCCGGACACTTACAGAGCCCTCCTCCAGCAACAAGCCCAGCAATTGGTTGCTAAGGAACTGGAGAGTCCGCACACAGCCTCTCTTGCTTGGCTCTGTTTTGTGTCTCGCACCCTGAGGCCTGAAGCAGATGACAATTCTGAGCTTCTCAAGTCTCAGTTAAAAATACCTCATTTGCCACAGGCCAGCGGTGTGCTCACATTTCCCAGGTGGAGTGACTCCCTGGACCTGCGGCTGCCCTGGTGGAAAGTCTGTAAGCAGATAACACCAGGTTAAAAATAGCCCTGGGGAGGCCCCTCAAAGCTGTCACACTCAGCTGCCCACGTTGGGTAAGCAAGGCAGAGTGGGGAGGGATCTTTCAAGCTAGGAATGACTGAAGGACTGTCTGGCTGTGTCCAGTTTCATTCCCTAAAGAGGTTAGGACAAACTTGAGAGTTTAGCGTTCTCTTTCCCCTTGGCCTTTGTGGTTTTTTGAATTCAAAATCTAGACTTGGATACACAGCTCTAATCTGGCCTGTGGTGCTTTTTATTCTGCCCTCTTCTGCAGAACAATAGAATCATAACAATAGAATTGAGTTTCCATCCTGTTTGAAATTAAAACAAAGAAGGTGAACCTGGGGCATGGTGGCTCATGGCTGTAATCCCAGCACTTTGGGAGGCTGAAGGGAGAGGATTGCTTGAGGCCAGGAGTTTAAGACCAGCCTGGGCAACATACTGAGACTCTGTCTCTACAAAGCAAAAAAAGAAAGAAAGAAAAGCTTTTCCTAAGGCATCCTGGTGAGAACGTGAAGTGGCCCCAACAAAGGACCTGCAAGATCTCACCTGGGTGTGCCTTGGTCAGTGGTCCGAGTTGTTTTATGACAAGCTCAGCTTACCTGTTTGGCCTCCTGGTAGCACTGTGTGTGTATTTTTTTTTTTTTTTTTCTGTTGTTGTTTAACACTACCTCTATTAACTGAATGCAAATAAGAGGAACAAAAATGCTCTTTGAATAAGAAACATATATTCCTAACAATATTCTCAAATCATTTCATGTCAGCCACTCCTAAAAATGCTCTTGTATTGTTATTCTCCTTTATATATGCTTTAGGAGAAAAAAGGAGTAAAAAAAAAAAAAAAAGGAATAGCATTGATTGCTTTCCATAGATTTCAAAACTTTGGATTTTCCTATTCCTTGCTCCTTGGTGAACAACTGAGTCCTGAATGGTTCAGTGGACAGAGTAAGGTGGGTTCTAAAGTGTGGGGAGGGACAGCAGCACGTCAGCCACATCAACAAGGACAGGTGGCCAGCAGAGTATGTTGGTGCCTAAGCAGGGTAAGGATGGTGTGTGTGGAGGTCAACCTAAGATGGGGTTCAGGGTCTGAGTAGGAGGAGGAAGGTGTCCATGCATAGGAGAGCCAGGGCAGAATGAGCACGGCGTCTGGGACAGGGTGAGCATGGCGCCCACATGGCAGCTGGGGCTGGGACATGGGAAATTAGTTACAGACTGGGGGATTGATCAAGCAATTAAATGTATTAACAATAAACCAGCTTTCTCCCTGTTGGAAAAGGGGTTAAAAGTATAGAAAGTATAGTAGATCTGGACCTCTGTGATATGGGATTGAAACTGGAGATATGTGTATAAATATCTGGTTTTCAATGTGTAAAGATAGATATAGAAATAAATACAGAGGCCTATGTGTATGTGTACATATGTGAATGCACACACAATATAAATACATTTTTCCATATAGCTCTTTCTGCTGAGAGAAACTGGGAACAACACCACCCCAGGAACAATGAGCACATCATATGCATACCAAGGGGCCCTCAGATCTTGTTTTTTAAATGTCATTTTCTACAAAAAGGAACCAGGATCCTTGGAGAAATGGCTGATTCCAAGGGTGATGCAAGGCTAGTAGCAGATGAATTCAAAGCATCTTGTTCCAAAAAGCAAGGAAGTGCTCAAAGAATGATGGGGCATGTCACAAGGACACAGCAGCCAGCTTTAATGAACTTCCATTGGCCAAATGGAGGGCAAATTGAGGATCTAAGTAAATTATGATAGTAACAAATTATAAACCATTGAATGAAATAGGAAAACAGTAGTCCATGCTTATGTAAGCGAATAAAAAAAGAAATGGGGCCGGGTACGGTGGCTCACGCCTGTAATCCCAGCACTTTGGGAGGCCGAGGCGGACAGATCATGAGGTCAAGAGATTGAGACCATCCTGGCCAATATGGTGAAGCCCGTCTCTACTAAAAATACAGAAATTAGCCGGGCATGTTGGCACGCGCCTGTAGTCCCAGGTACTTGGGAGGCTGAGACAGGAGAATCGCTTGAACCCGGGAGGTGGAGGTTGCAGTGAGCCGATATCGCACCACTGCACTCCAGCCTGGCATCAGAGCGAGACTCCCTCTCAAAAAAAAAAAAAAGAAATGGAAAGTTTGAAGAGATGGTATATTAACATGGTTTCAAAGTACCTCTCCACAAAATAATGTTACAATGGGGAGGCTTGACCCATCCCAACAGTATCATGTGTTGGATATGACTGTCATCAATAAAAGGACAAATTGATAGGATTCAATGAGAAAAATGCAACATCACTTTTGTGTTATTTCTCCCAAAGATGTCTGAATTTAATCCTAAACCACAACTGAGGAACATTCTACAAAACAACTGGCCTGTAATTTACAAAACTGTGAAAGTCATAAAAGATAAGAGAAGACTGAAGAAGACTAAAGAGACGTGAAAACCAAATGTAATTGTGATTCTAAATTAGATCCTTTTGGTAGAAGGGGTATTATTGAGACTAATGGAAAAACCAGTGGGGTCTGAGAATTAGGTGGTTGCAATATATCAATGTAATCTTCTCATTTTAATGGCTGTGTTGTGTTTAGGCAGGAGAATGTCCTTGTTTATAGGAAATATCCATTAATATATTCTGGAGCAGTGAGGCATCTGGTTAGCAACTGAGTATCAAACGGGTCAGAAGAAAAGTCAGAAGAAAATGGGTCAGTTCCTTATACTGTACCTTCAACTCTTCTGTAAACATGTGTGTTTTAAATTTTTTAAAAAGGAAAAAAGTAAATACATTTTGTTTAATAATTTCAGGAGATATTTCACTTTTGCATTTTTAAAAAATCTACCCTAAGACAAACTTTATTTGTAGTCATGGACATTTTTTCTTTTTGAAAGTAGTGAACAATTTAGTATACTGTTAATATACAACTTAATCTTAAATGAAATATCTTTCCCCTAACTTCTTCAATTGAAAATAGGATTATTTATAATCCCTTAATTCACATCCACAATTCTTAATTGTGTTTCCTTTGAAAAGGATAAAAGTTGATACATGAAAGCTAGGCAAGTATTAAACATTTATAGAACTCTTTTAAATTAGTTTAGTCTGTTCTCATTTGGATCTGGAGGTTTGTCTTTTCATAAGCAAATTAGGTGCATCTATAATATACATAGTTTAAAACATTTATCATTTCTATGTTTGGTTTTGTCTCAAAGTACAGATAACTTTAGCGCTGGGAAGAAATGAGACAATCATTTAAAAAATATTTTCTTGCTTGGGAATACCAACTGTGGAAAGACGTCAAAACAAAATTTAAAAATGTGATGGATGGAACAATGGGATCTACACTCTCAAAAGCCTTCTTTTCTTTTTATCAACTTCTTATAATTTTAGAAAATGTTACATAATTCTTAATACCTTGAACTCCGATCATAAATATTAAACATTCAGACAGTTTTTTTTATAAGTATGTATTAACATATTATTTAAAATATTTAAAACCATCAGTGGAAAGAAGCGGGGAAGGTAAATTATTTGATTATGACTGAAATAATAATTCTAATATTATATATATATAAGTACCTATAATAAATATTAATTAATATTCCTAATCATTGAAGTATTTTCAACATGAGACTGCTCTCTGTTGTAGTTAAATTGAACATATTTTAATAAAAAGGTTGAGGTCAGTTTGTAAGTTCATTTTGTTTTTTTTTTGAGATGGGGTCTCGCTCTGTCGTCTAGGCTGGAGTGCAGTGGCATGATCTTGGCTCACTGAAACCTCTGCCTCCCGGGTTCAAGCGATTCTTCTGCCTCAGCCTCCCGAGCAGCTGGTACTACAAGCACACGTCACCACATCTGGCTAATTTTTGTATTTTTAGCAGAGACGGGATTTCACCATATTGGCCAGGCTGGGCTTGAACTCCTAACCTCATGATCCGCCTGCCTCATCCTCCCAAAGAGCTGGGATGACAGGCGTGAGCCACCACACCCAGCCATGAGTTCATTTTTCACATTGCCATAAATTATTTATGCTGTACTTTCTATAGCATTTTTTAATCATAAAAAGTATGACTCAATCTATAGCATTAATCACAATAGTAATTAAATGAATATTTGTGTAACAATTGACTCTATTTTTCCCTTGATAGTTCGTGTATTCCATAAGGACAGGGACTACTGACTTGTCTATATTCTATTTCTACCTCTTAGCACAGTTTATCAGATCACTTTCTCATGTGTTTTACATTTTTTATTGTGAGCTCATTTTTCGGGCAGGGGGCAGTTTCGGAAGTGCAGAGTGGTTTTGGTTTGCTTCTGATAGGCACCCTAGTAGAATTACCAGTCTGAGATCTACTTTTATATTAATTTCACAGCTTGGGAATTCTACACTTGCTGTACAATGTAAATTTGTACAGCAAATTTTTCATTTCTCATAAGAGCTTTTTATTGTTTTCACTTTTACAGGGATGCTCTTTTTTAGTCCTTTCCTTGGGCTAAGTGGAGCTTTCTAACTTCCTTTTCACTGACAGTGTAGCATTGTGAAAGTCCTGGATTTATTTGAGGTTCTCATTTCCAGCTCCTAACCTAGGCCTTTTCTCAGGTCTCTTTCTTGGCATTCAAACCCCAGACCCAAGCTCCTAGTCTGACGTCCAAGAAAATTTCTCCCCTCACCCTCATTATTTCCCTCTAACCCTAATTTCCAGGATGTCTTAGCCTCAACTTTTACTGTTCTGGCTTTCAGTTTCCCTTTCTTTTCTTGCTCCTAGAAATTCCTCTCTCTTTCTTTTGACTGCCACTATGTATTTAAACTGGCATGAACAATAGTTGAAACCATGGATGGTTCCATTTGAAAGAAGAATGTGTCGGGAGGGGAGGAAAGTGACACTTTCCGGAGTCAGGCACTTTTATACTCCGGACATTTCCCAAACCCTGGGAGATGGGGCTGCTTGTCTGGCTTCAGGATTGTAATAGCAGTTTCAATTAGGATCCCCCTGGATGGTCTATAAAATTATTGGGAGCATTCTGTATTTGGTAGCATTCTGATGATTATAGGTTATGAAAACCTCTTAGAACTGGCTAAACTGACGAAGGGGATTTTATCTTTGGCTTATTTGATGTCTCACAGATCCTAAGGGCAGGAAAGCAGGGACTAGAATTTGGAGGTAGAATTTGGAGGTAGAAGGCTGGTGGGAATTAATGGAATTATGGGCATCAAGGTACACAGATGAGATGCAGGATGCCTCTGATCTCTGATTCTGAATCAGGATCTTGTGAAACCCTTATCCAGTTAAGGCTAATGGGATCATTTCTCCTCTCCCGTTATCCTTCCCATTTTTGGGAGACTCTGATTCCCTTCATGTCTCTCGCTGCTTCTGTCTCCTGCTTTTTTGCATAGGAATGGTTGGTTCCTCATATTAGCCTTTATTACTCCTCGTAAAGAGATTGTCTTTCCCTGGCTATTTTTGTCTCTGTCCCCTCTTCCTCTAGGAAGGCCCTGTTGAGTTTGCAAGAGTTTAACTTCCTTCTTAATTTAGTCATTTCCTATCTATATTTTCTGTAGGTTCAGTAATTTTTGCTCAGTTTGCTTTTAGTTTCTCTTTGTCTTCTGGCCATGATCTTTGCCAACTTGCTCTTCTAGACTTCCTTTGTGAAGTCTCCCATAGTGAGAAATATGAGTAGATTTTGGGTCTGCTGAATGCTTTCATGTTCAAGTAAATCTTGTCTACCATTATCCTCCTGAGTTGGCTAATTCCTACCCAGAAGGTGTTCTCCTCTCAAATCCGCATCTAACCTAGGCTTGGACTCAATCTATTATGGGTTGCCCAGCTCCCTTTTAAATATTTTTCATTTTTGCTATGTCTTCTCTTTTTCCTAATTCCATAAATTTTCTATTATATTACACACACAGTACTTATGTACTCACCTATAATAACTGTGTCAGGCTGAAACTTGATACGTAAGAATTATTGGATAATTTTATGTTGATTTTCCAGATCTTACCCTGTTCAATATATCCAGATTTTCAAAAGCTGCTTGGCATAGTTGTCCAATCTTTTTTTTTTTTTTTTTTCTGTTTTTGACAGAATCTTTCTCTGTCACTTAGGCTGGAGTGCAGTGGTATGATTACATTTCACTGCAGCCTTGACTTCCTGGGCTCCAGTGATCCTCCCACCTCAGCCTCCCAGGTAGCTGGGACCACAGGAGTGCACCACCACGTCTGGCTAATTTTTGCATTTTTGTTAGAGACGAGTTTTTGCCATGTTGCCCAGGGTAGTCTTGAAAACTCCTGAGCTCAAGTGATCCACATTCCTTGGCCTCCCAAAGTGCTGGGATTACAGGTGTGAGCCACCTTGTCTGACCAGTTGTCCAATCTTTTAGGCATGGTTCCTCAGTTGTTTTTACAATCAAATGTCTATCTGCAGCTTTTAAAAAACTGCCTTTTAGTAATTTATCACATCCTTGACCTTTTGGGGACAGACAATTCATTTGTTTTCTGAGAACTTGTCTTTCTTCCTCTGTTTGATTTCTTTGGGTTCCAGCCATACTTTATTGTCTAGTAGTTATCAGAAGCATCTCTCTCTTTCCAATAAACTCTTTAAGCGTATTAGACCTGGGTGCAACTCCTTGCTCGTCTATATCTATCCACACAGACCTTCAGAGTCTCACTTTTTCCTTCTTATCTGCTCAGCCTACCTGCTCAAAACTCAACCCTTCTCTTAAGGAAACTTATGTCTTCCTCTAATTTAGTAGTTTAGTCAACACTTTTTCTGAAAGTAAGACTGAACTATGTTTTTCAAACCATTCCAGATATTTTTTGACCTCCTGAGATAAACATTCTGTAGAGACAGGATGTTTAATGCACAGGCCTTTGAATTGCCTTTTTAGCCTTTGCATTTGCAAAAGTTTTATTGAGTTGTGTTCCTACTTCACCCCAAGAAGAAGGAATACATGATGATAAAGCCTTGTATATTTTTGTTTTCAAATGAAATCTACCAGCTGTAGAAGGGTAAATCTACCAGCTGTAGAAGGGTAAATCTACAGCTGAATCCATGAATTAGGTCTATGAAATCTAGAGACCGGGTCAGAGATTATTTGTTTAACAAATCCAGAGTGAACTTAGGATCATGTGATAGAGGGTGGCTAGAACCTGTGAACAAATTCTGTGCATCTTAAGGATTGAGATCTCCCCTTCTCTGTTTCTTTCCATGGCCCTGAATGTAGCTTAAAACAACATAAGGAGGAATAGAATTTGGGGCAGCCTTTCTTCAGTTTAATACTTATTTTAAGACTGGCACAAATAGTCAAAACTAGAAGCTCACATCTACTTCTTGAGAACCAAAGAATCTCAGCTGTTTTGTAGTTTCCAGGCAGCACCTTTTGTCCTGTTCACCTCCAGAAGCTAAAAACTTGATCCTACCTCAGCCACAGCTGAAACACTGGGAACTGGCATAGGCTGCAGAGACTGTCCAAAGTCTAAAGTCCTACATGGACCATGTTTGGTATGGGTCCACCAAGGCTTAAAGCCTCATGCTGTGCCAGATCAAGAAATAATCACTCCATGTGTGTTGTTCTACCCTAGTACCACTCCATACTCTCTCAAGACTCCTGGTTCAAGAGTAGTATATGTTAGTTATATATTATATATATATATATTTTGTTATATATATATAGTTAGTAGTATATGTTTTAAAGGACTTAATACATTCTGCCACTTCTTTTTGATTGATATTCGATTGATGTTGACATTCAAATTCTGTGTTCTTTGTGTTCCAGGTAGGGTGATGATCACACACAATTAAGAGACATAATGATTATTATTTTTTAAATGTCCCATACCTCTGTGGAAAAAAGGCATAAGATTTAGTACTTACCTAAAGAGCTAGTGTTTATTAATGCCTATAGGAAGGGTAACAGTTTGCTTACTTAGGGCTGTGCCTTGTATCCAGAGAGTCAAGCTGACCACACCGTATTGCTCAATAGATGATTGCTGAATGGCCCAAGTGGTTCTCAACTAGGGAAGGCAGTACTCTAAAGAACATTTGGAAATAAAGTAGGAGCTATTTGTTGGTCACAATGAGTGTGTGAGTGTGTGTGTGTGTGTGCACGTGTGTGTGTGCTTGTGCTATGGCTGGCATTTATTAGGTGGTGGCCAGGGATGCCAAATATCCTGCAATATGTGAGAGAGTCCATCAGTGAAAAATTGTCCTTCTCGGAATATCAATTACATTGCTTCTCTTTGGCCCCCCTCCTCCTTCAACCAACAGACATGTGCTTTGAGGCTCATTGGAATAAACGCTCAAGAAATACTGTTGTTTCAGTGCAAAAGTTCACACTGCACCTATGGTTGATTTGTTGTTGTACTTTTTACATGTCTGCATTACCCTAGTCATAGGGTATTGAAGTCACCTGTGAAGCTGTATATCTTCTTGGAGGTAGGCTGTTAACTCCTTGAGGACAGGGACTATGTTTTCTTCATCTTTATAGCCCTATAACACAGAATAGATGTTACATAAGCATTTGTGGAATAAACCAAATTACTGGGATTTTAACATGTCACATAGACGTGTTTTGTAATGGAAACCTCAACACAGAATTTCTCATTTTTCAACTAGAATATTCATGGAACTATAGCAAAACATATGATGAATGTTAAGTTTGGAATTCATCTTTTGCTTTAGGTATTCAGAAAGAAATTGCTGCTTCATCTAATGCATAACATCATTACTTGTATTTTTTCACTGCAGGATTCCTTTTCAGCAGGTAGGTTCAGTAGGTTAATTGTTTTCAACATCTGTTTATGTTTTACTTTGCATTGAAATGCCTGAAATGAATTGTTGTAGAGCATAAAATCCACTTTGTCTTCTATGCTTTCCCTGATTATTTTCAGCTGTAGAAAGTCAATCTTTTAATTCGCTACTCACTTTGACAATCTGTTTCAATTTTTAAAAGTCACAACATTTCCATTGTTATAGGATTAGTGAGTCAATTAAGTTTCTAAGATTTGCACAAATTCAGGAGCCTCCTTAGCGCTAAATGAAATGTGGGTTTGGCTTTATGTTAACTGTTTGACTCCTTTGGATTTTGCCATAGCTTTCTTAGAGATGTAGTAACGAATAATCAAGATGTGAAATTTAGAACATTTTTATCAATAAATATCAAATATTTAATTTCCCAAGAAATGGATAACCCAACTCTCTTTCCCCCCGTATTCTCTATTGTTTTAAAAAATATAGGCTGAAAAACTGACCTTTAAGACTCTCCAATATATGCAGAAAGAGTTCTGATATTGTATATACCTAAAAGGAAACTTTATTACTTTAAACTTTGTGTCTTTCATAAAATGATAGTATTGGCAAGTTTGAGATTGAGGGCAAAGTCATCTCCAAAAAGGACACAGGATCCTATTTATCTATCTTGTCTGGATAATGAGAGCCTACTGTTTCTTCCCAAAATCATCTTCTATAACTATTACAGAAATATGACCCTCCTACAGTGCTCTGAAGAAAATAGGATTTACCTAAAAGGCTAAACTATTCTCCTGTTGCCTCTGAAGATATCTCCTCATTTAAATAAAGATAATAACTTTCCTCCAGGGAAACTAAATTGAGCAAGCTCTGAACTATGTGTTAAAAAAAAATCAGGACTCTTGAGCTTTCTGAACTTGAAAGAAACATTTTTTTTTCATTTTTCTTTTGCTTTACTAATTTCACTTTACTTTTGGGGTATTTGTGGTTGGAGAAAGACCTTTTTATGCCTTATTTGCAGATACGGAGATACGGTTAAGAATGGAAGATGACTTTATAAGGTTACGTAGATTTTCAGTGGCTGAGAAAGTATTGTACAAGTTGCCTTTGAAACATTCCAATCTCGTCTCTCACAGTTCAGACTTCAGCTAAACAATGTATCCTCAAAACAGAAACACTAATGTTATATGGTGCCTGCGTACTGGGTTATTATTATCTAGTCTCCTTGATAGGATACATATTTTGTTGGTATTTAGTCTCCATATTGAATCTACATTCTGGGATATGTGATTCTGAAATTTGGGAGAGGACTATCTGGTGCTGTTATTTTGTTAACTTTCAAAGGGAAAATGTGGGCAGAGTTGGCTTGCAGTACCATGTGTTCTGGTATGAACTGAGTAATTTCATTTTGAGAGACTGCATGAGTTATTTAAACTTCATATGCTTCAACTACATGCCAGAAAATGGGATGAAAAGACTTACTGAAAACCAGATGCGTGTTCTTTATGCTTCCTGGGATATTAAAAACAAACATCACACCAAAAGACATGATGATTTTGGAGGCATTTTGCTTGTTGGTTGAGTGAGAGCTATTATTGCAGAGAATTGCAGATGCCTGGCTTGAGAACTATCCACATTATTAATCTGTTACTCAACAAATCTACTTTTAATTCATGTGAAGGTCACTTTCATAATTTCTTAAGAACAGAGTGGGAAGCATCTAGCACTGTCCATTTTTCATCTTAAATGAGGGGGTAACAATTGACTAATTTTTGCTCTACGGACAGAGTGGAGATGGGTTGGAAAAACTCCATCTCTATGACTGAAAAAAGAACACAAATCACATTTTGGCATAATGATTGTGCAGGACAAAGTTCCAAGTTGAATATCTAGCCGCAAGTAGAGTCTCAGTGTCTGCATTTCTTTAGATTCGTGAGTATATTAATATGTGACACTGTAATGCCCCCACAGTGTTTAGAGGGAGCTTCTGTGTCCTGTTTAGGACACACCAGTAGGAGTCACTTTATTATCCTTGAGGCTGGTCCTTGCTTTGCTGAAATGGAAGAGTATATTTGCAGTTTATCATCTTCCTACCTAAAGAATTAAGGTACTAAATTTGTCTCAAGCCAATACATAGTGTTGATTTTGGATGATTTTTTTCTTTTTAGTTGTTTGTTTTTAACATTGTAAGCAAATATTTTGTGATAAGACAAATGGTCATTGAATTCTGCCATAATTTTGCATACAATCCCATCTATTAAAATGAACATTCTCATTTTGGTTTGAGAACAGTTTGACATTTTGGCTTGGTAATATCAGAAACTTCAAACAATAAATAGAATTTTAGCTAAATCCACCAGATTGGCATATGAATTAGGATAACCTCTAGCAAGTACTGTTTGTACATCTAAATAAAGTTCACAGACTGTGTTGACTAACCATCATGTATTAACTAAGTCTACATAGTTTATTTAAGAACATTTTGGTATTTAATTTTGGTAAGAATAATTTTGGTATTTAATAAAATCCATGGTATAATGTCACATTAGGCAGACAGAATTAATCTTCACATTTCAAAATATTCTGCTTATCAGAAACAGTTTAAATTCTGCCTCAAGTTTGCCTGATCTTTGATGGCAATTAAACAAATCTTGTTTAAAATAAAAATATCAACATATCTC
Source organism: Homo sapiens (assembly GCF_000001405.40). NCBI lineage: Eukaryota > Metazoa > Chordata > Mammalia > Primates > Hominidae > Homo > Homo sapiens. The sequence continues at coordinate 47,813,523 of NC_000004.12, read as the reverse complement.
TATGTCTGATGCTGTACCTTAAGAAATAGCAGGCTGATGTTAATCTCTTTGTAGACAATTTCTCTGAGTGCATATTATTGCTTTCAGAGCTAAAGACAGCATATGTTTGGCAAAACCTTGGAATGGTCAAGGGATAGGTTTTGTTTTGTTTGTTTTTAAATTAGGTATTGGGAGAAATAAATAAGCAAGGACTTGGACTATGGTTTCCAAACTGTGTGCTGTTGTATTCCAGGTTGCTGCAGTGACTCAAGGGACTTTGCTGGATATTTTTAGTTTTTGAGGCAAATGCAGCGATACTTGACATTTATTGGTCATCACATGAAATACTAGCTTGAGGTAGCTCACAGTTTCAACATTAGATTGTGCTATATTCCTTTTGATATTGTCCTGTCTCCACAAAGCTGGGTTCTTGGCGGTTGCTATGCAAAAGTTGTGCTATGAAAGAATCCATGTGGAGCAGGCAATGAGGGGTGGTGGTGTCTGATCTGATTCCAAGGTGTAAGGAGTTGTGCGGTAGTCAACAGGTGTACACATCATATTAGTATGCAATTGTGGTTATTATTTATATTTTTACTTCTTGCCAAATACATTTTCTACTTGAAGGATTTTTGGATGATTTAGGAATAGACTCTGTAAGAAGTAGTTATTTGCATAATTATGTACAAAGTAATTTTTATTTAGGAAATTTAATTAATTCATTTATTCAGTAAGTGTTTATCCACTAACTCCTGACCGTGTTCAGGTACTGTTCTAGATACAGAGCATTCACTGATGAGAAAAGGGCAATATTTGCATATATAGCAAGAAATAGACTGAATTGGTATGACTTCTGCTATGATTGTGTTTTTAAAGAAGCAGGAATAAATTTGTACTTTCTAGCTCTAAAATCTTATGAGTATTTGTTGGTTCCTATAGTCTATGATGCATGTTGTGGTACTCTTTCAGCTTGAATGTTTCTGAAACTAGTGCTTTCCTTTCTCCTAATGTAGTGCATATAGTATTTATTTATTTATTTATTGGACCCAGGGTCTCGTTCTGTCTCCCAGGCTGCAGTGCAGTGGTACGATCTTGGCTCACTGCAACCTCAGTCTCATGGGTTCAAGCAGTCCTCCCACCTCAGCTTCCTAAGTAGCTGGGACTACAGGCAACAACCACCATGCTTGGCTAACATTAATTTTTTTTCTTTTTGTAGAGAATGAGGTCTCACTATATTGTCCAGTTTGACCTTGAACTCCTGGGCTCAAATAATCCTCCTGCCTCAGCCTCCCAAAGTGCTGGTGTTATAGGTATGAGCCATTGTGCCCAGCCACATATATAGTGTTGATAATTTTTTTTCTACTTTGAAGATTATTTTTATCTTTCAACCTTTTCTGGAGTAACTTTGCACTACAGCAACAAATAGTTTTGTCTGCTAATTTACCCCCTGTACAATTATATCATATTTCATTAAAAGCCCTGATGAAGAGATTAAAATACAATTTTCTTAAAAGAATTTATATTTTAGTTTGATTATCAAATTAAACATGCAAATTTAAAAATACACATATATGCAGATATACACTGATACACTACATCAGGGGCTCACATACTTTTTCTATAAAGTATCAGATAGTAAAGATTTTAGGCTTTGAGTACCATATGATCTCTGTTGCAACTACTCAATGTTGTTGTAGTAGCAGCAGAGCAGTATAGACAGAATATAAACAAATGAACATGGCTGTATCCAATAAAACTGTATGTACAAAAATACTAGGTGTGCTGAGTTTGGTCCATAGACTAGTTTTCTGATCCCTGTTCTATATATTTAAGATGTAAAATTTATCCCAAAAGGTAATCCAACCAATTAGAAAATAATCCTCGGCTGGGCGCGGTGGCTCAAGCCTGTGATCTCAGCACTTTAGGAGGCAGGAATATTTGAAAGGACAACCATCCCTGATAGATGAGGACTCACCTTTGGTCAGGGGTATTCAAGTAGGTGCACCCCCCAGCTAGAACCTCCAAACAAGCTCTCAAATATTGTCTGCCATTCGCAGATGTGGATGTGCCCTCAGGAATGCACCATGTGTTGACAAAGTCAAATGCTGCCTGAAGGTAAAAGAGGGTAAAGACTTATGTACTTGAAATGTCAACTATAATCTCCTTGACCTTTGCAAACTTGATAAAATGGACTCAAAACCTCGTACACCCTAATGTAAATCCAAAGCCCTCCCCAGAACCTCTGGGTGCATGGTTCTCATGATCAGCTCTGGTTCCAGGCTCTGCATTCTTGAATTAGTTCAGCTTTGGGGTCATTTTTCACGTTGTTTTTTCTCATCATGCAAAGATAATACAGCCTCTTTCTTACTCTGGCTATAGTGTGGAGAACAGGTTAGGGAGTGCATGGATAAATATAGGTAAACCAGATAGGAGGAGGTATTTGCAGTATTTCAGGAGAGATATGTTTATTTTTACTATAATGTAGCATCTATGAGACTAGAGAGTTTCGTTTTGCATATTAATATATCCCAAGTGCCCAAACAATGCCTGACACATGATAGTTGTGCAATTACCTTTTTTGAGATCACAAACCCTGGAAGAATACCAGATATGGGGATGAAAATTGTTTATTTGGTTCCAGACTTGTTGAGTTTGAGCTACTTTTACAACCTCCAATGAGGAGATGTCAAGTGGTCAGTTGCATATAATGCAATCTTCCTCTGGAGATCAGAGGAAAGATCTATGGTTGTTATTTAAAGATGCGAGTCACCTATGGAGGGCTGCTAATTGAAGTTAAATGTGTGGGTGACATTGCCTGGGGAGCGAGTGAATGTGAGAATTGAGCCTACAGAAAGAGAAGGAATGACCAGAGAGGTAGGAGAAAGAGAAGCCAAAGGAAGAAAGTGCTTCAAGAAGGAGGAACTGGCTATCTGAAATTTTGACCTCTCAAATGATACCAAGATAGCATACACTTGTGGTACAATGGTACACTGTGCCAGTGTACATTATATAAAACAACATGACAGTTTTTAAAATAAATGTAGTTCTTAAGATAGAAGAAACACATTTTCAGTAACAAGATTAGTAAAACATAAGAACATTTGGAAGCTTGAGGTGGGTGGATCACTTGAGCCCAGAAGTTTGAGATCAGCCAGAGCACCATGGTGAAATCCTGTCTCTACAAAAAAATTAGCTGGGCGTGATGTTTGGTGCATACCTGTTGTCCCAGTCACTCAGAAGACTGAGGCAGGAGAATCACTTGAGCCCAGGAGGCAGAGGTTGCAATGAGCCGAGATCATGCCACTGCACTCCAGCCTGGGCGACAGAGTGAGACCCTGTCTCAAAACAAAACAAAACACCAAAAACAAACAAACAAACAAAAGCCCAAAACCAAAACCAAAAATAAAAACAACAACAAACAAAACACAAAAGAATGACATGCTTTACAAATATGTGCAGGTCCAATCAGATGCATCGTTCCCTACCCTTGCCATGGAATGCTGTGCCTGTGCTCAGCTTAGTTTCAAGGCTGAGGAAGGTGCTTGTGGAAGAGGGATGCCATTTGAAGGGAGGATTGTTTAGAGTCCATTGAAACAAAGCTTAAGGATGATTCTGGTTGTTTATTTCACCTGGCATTTACTCAACAGTGAAGTCTGAGAGTTGCCTTGTGTTCAGAGGAACCTCCAAGGGCCTGTGCATAATGTAGCATTTGCAACAGTCCTAAGTGGCCATGAGTGCAAGAGGAAAGTTATGCAAGTTATTCAAGAAGAAAGTGTTGAAGTATTGAATTTCTCCTACCTATTTCTTCCTCCTCTCCCTTTGAAAAAAGCAATCAATTCTCTGGCTGGGCGTGGTGGCTTACACCTGTGATCCCAGCACTTTAGGAGGCCGAGGCGGGTGGATCACGGGGTCAGGAGTTCGAGACCAGTCTGGCCAACATAGTGAAACTCTGTCTCTATTAAAAATGCACAAAAAATTAGCCGGGAGTGGTGGTGTGTGCCTATAATCTCAGCTATTCAGGAGGCTGAGGTAGGAGAATCGCATGAACCTGGAAGGCGGAGGTTGCAGTGAGCCAAGATTGTGCCACTGCACTCCAGCCTGGGCAACAGAACGAGACTCTATCTCAAAAAAAAAAAAAAAAAAAAAAAAAAGCAATCAATTCTCTTGTCACTGAAGAAAATATTTGGTCTAATCATGAATATTGTTTTTGGAGGTCCAGTACTTGATATCTACTTAGATGACATATTAAAATGGGCCTCTAGCATTTTCTCCACTGACTCTTTACTTATAAATGCTAAATGAGATGTATCTGGCTCCAGGAGTCCAGATGGCAATGAGCCAAGGTTATTCCTATAATGCTTCTGTGATCACCTTAGCAAGGAAGCTTCTTCACTGTTGTAGAAGTTAAATACTTTGCAACTTTTTTTAACTCGTAACAGACTTGTTCAGGGGTACTTTTCTCAGAATTATGGCTGATTCAGGGTTGCTCTCTCTACAATGTCTTACGTGATCTTCCAGCAAGAAATCGTATTTCTATCTTTTGAATTCTTATATCACTTTAGCTATAAGTGTCATGGTGCTTATCATTTGCTACCTTGCAATATAGTCATGTACATTTCATCTCTCCTACAAGACTGTGAGCTTTTGAGAGACAGTGGTTTGAAGTCATTGTCGTATCCATCACTATTATTATAATTAGTAGGTATTCAATAACTAAGTAAAATAAACAAGTATCAACTTGTTTCTGCCACTAACTTTGTTGGCCTGTAGTCCCACACTTTTATTTATTGATTGATTTTTTTGTAGGTAAGTGTTGTACACTTATCTTCTTGAAGATCAATTGTCTTCTTGAAGATCAGTTGTAAATTAACTATAAATTATAACACATTGGCTGGTAGCTTAATCCAGGTACAATGGATCAGTAAGACATTAACCTAGGAAATGAAGTTCTTCTCAAGTTAACAACACAAGTTACTTCAAATAATGTCTCTCATGGAGAATTCTTAAAATTACAGAAGGTGTCATCATATTATGTAGTGAACACTGCTTGCAATATGGGTTAGTGAACCTATATTCCCTTATAGAGAGAATAAAGCAGAAATGGGAATCACATATGCCTTGCAATTCAGAAGAACCCTTCAAAATTGCCTTTGCATCCACGGGAAATAATCAAATACTCGTCAGGAAGTCCTGAGAATATTACAGGGCCATTGTGTTAGAACAACTTCTTGATTATTATAAGGCTCTTTCTCAAAGGTCATTCATTTTTTTAAAAAAAGTTTGGTATTTATTAAGAGGAAGAACCAACAAAACCTGGTGATGTACGGCATAGGGGGATGATGAAATGGGGAGTCTTTGGACTCCACTCCCCATATTGGAATGGAGGAATTTCTGTAAACATAAATATGAAAGTCAGGAGAAGAACTAGTTTGAAGATAGAGAGAGAGAAGGTTCGTCTTAATTTTGGACTTGTTAAAAAGAGACGCTGCTACCCACCAGGCATTGGAAATATGTAGTGTAACTCTGAAAGGAGTACAGGATGCAAGAGAGATTCAGGAGGTAGTTACACTGAGGTTATAGTTCAAGTTCTGAAACTGTCAGAGGAGAAAATGCAGTCAGAAGTCCAAGAGAGAATCATGAGAAATGCCTTCATTAAGGAGACTCGGAGAGTTTCTTGTAGTTATTCAAAGCCCTTTTAGTACCATCTCAGATGTTTTTTTGAAGTCACTGCTTTAAGCTAGCCATCTGTAATAAATGAATTTCCAGATATCATTTCTGGCAAGAGATTGAACTAAGCAAAATTTGAAGCATTTGAAGACAAGAACTTTATCTGAACCGTCGTTGTTGCACTTTGACATCCTCTCACACAGGATGGGCTGCAGGGGTAGCATGGGCAGCCGAGGATGTCCTCAGAGTTGTTAGCGTTTAATTGGCAATCAGGCAGGCTCCTCCTTATATTTCAACTTGTCACTAAATGCATGGTCAGTAACAGTGAGCCTGGCTGAATTATTAATGGCCAAAAACTTATTTTATCCAGATTCATTCACATTTGGTTTAGACTAATGAGACAAAAAAGAATGAAGTCTGGATAATATTCTGTCTACACCTACTTACCAATTTTTTATCACTGTATTAGGCAGCCTTCACTTCTGTCATAGCTTTGGGCCAGGGTAAGGTTTTGCCATGGTCATTCATAGCCCTTTGGAATCATACCAAATTGACAAATATGTTTTAAAAAAGCAAAATGGGATATTGTTAAAAGCCTATGTACTTCCGAAAAATGTTTCAGAAATAGATAGTTTGCTCTTCCCTGAATGTAGATGTACAGTTATCTGTTCCTTTATTGGCATGATTTGTTGACTAAGCTCATTTCATACCCTAAACCACAAACTGTAAAATCTTTTTGGAATGTGCTGTTCTAAATGGATAGCTGTAACCTAAAATTTCATACCATGTATTGTAAAACTAAAACCATGTTGCATTTTCCTCTTTTACTTTAGGTCTTGAGAGCTGATGACAATAACATGGGCAATGGCTGCTCTCAGAAGCTGGCGACTGCTAACCTCCTCCGGTTCCTATTGCTGGTCCTGATTCCATGTATCTGTGCTCTCGTTCTCTTGCTGGTGATCCTGCTTTCCTATGTTGGTGGGTGAGGCCATTATTAAATAAAAATGAAGTTAAAGTGAAAATTAGCATGATCTAGAAGAGTGATTTCTACTTAGTACTTATTTAACCCAAAGTGTCAGTCAATGAGAGGATTATCTTTTGATGACGTTATGCAAATCTGCAGTTTCAGCTACTGTAACCACTCTACTGGTTATTATTATTAATATTAATGAATGAGTTTATGAATTTAAAACATTTAAGGAATGATTACTAGGTTGCAGGCATTTTGAAAGTTCCTGAGAACTCCAGGATGGTTAAATTAGTCCTTTCTTAGGAGCTCACAGTTGAGAGGAAGTGATGATTATCACACAAGGCAACACGTGTTTAAGATAGAAGTGTATAGACAAGGTCCCATGGGCACATTCAAAGAAAGCATCATGGAGAGTTAATGTGTTAACTTCGGAATTAAGTTAATAGAAATTTAGGTTAGAAGACAGTAGTTCAGGAGTCACATTTGGCAGAGAAAATAACTACTGCAAAACTATAACCCCTTGAAAGATGAACATAGATTTAGAAAACTGGGTGAAAATTTGGCAGTGGTGGGAAATGCAGCTAGATCAATAAAGTCCAAATTAAACAGCATCTTACATTTTCATACTAAATACTAAGGAATTTGGGCTTTAGCTTTTAGATCACTGGTTTTCAAACTCTATTCCATGGTAACAAGGTTCTAAGGAGGAGACTTAAGGATTGCACAAATGTTTGCTTTGACTTTCATTAAAAAAAAAAATCTTAAAAACACACTCAAACTAAATATTACATACCACATTTTTAACCAAGTAAAAACCAGAAACCAAGTAATATGTGCTGACAGGTTAACTCATTAGTTAGCTCATTAGTTGCATCTTGCTATCTTTTTCTAAGTGAATGATACTTAAAGTTTGAAAAGTGAACTTTTTGGAAAAAGCAATAAACTATTATCACTGGTGGCTACCTAATGATATGAATCAGGATTTCAAAAAATATGTGCAATCAAATAAAACAGAGAAATAAATATCAAGACGATGCTGATCTAATTGCATTGCCAATGATTTTGAATTTTTAAGTTTTGCCAAACCTCCCTATTATTTTCTTACTGGTTTATAGAAGTTACACACTTAGATCTTATAAAGTAAGTTAACCACAATAAAATTCAGCTCATATCTATTAATAGATATTAGGCTTTTTATGATATTTATTTGAAAATAACATTGATCTGCTATAAAAATGATTACAAAACACTGCTATGGGTGGTGGATTACCACTGGAGGATCTTTCCAAGAAAGGAGAACTCTGATTATTTTACATTTGCAAAAGGCGGTAGAACTGGATACACTACAGAGTACTGGAGGCAGAAAGAAATGAAGGCAGAGGGAGACCAGTTCGGGGCTCTGACTCTGGTCTAAGTAAAAGGTGATGAGTGTTTGAAATAAGGCATTGGATGCATTAAAATCAACAGAAATCAAGACTGATTGGATTTTGGTGTGAGGGAGAGAGGAGTCAAGGCTGACTCCTGGATTTCTGGCTTGGGTAACCAGGTTTTTTAAAAAAAATGTTTGTGGGTACATAGTGGGTGTATATATTTATGAGGTATGTTACATACTTTCCTACAGGCATGTAATAAGCAATAACCACATCATGAAAAATGGGCTTTCCATCCCCTCAAGCATTTATACTTTGTCACAATAATCCAATTATACTCTATTTTTTTTATAATCCAATTATACTCTATTATTATTATTATTATTATTATTTTTTTTTTTTTTTGAGATGGAGTCTCGCTGTGTTGCCCAGGCTGGAGTGCAGTGGCGCGATCTCGGCTCACTGCAAGCTCTGCCTCCTGGGTTCACGCCATTCTCCTGCCTCAGCCTACCAAGTAGCTGGGACTACAGGCGCCCGCCACCACGCCCGGCTATTCTTTTGTATTTTTAGTAGAAACAGGGTTTCACTGTGTTAGTCAGGATGGTCTCGATCTCCTGACCGCGTGATCCACCCGTCTCGGCCTCCCAAAAATCTTATATTTTTATAATCCAATTATACTCTATTATTTTTAAATGTACAATTAAACTTCTATTTACTATAGTCATCCTGTTGTGCAATCAAATAATATCTTATTCATTCTTTCTAACTATACATAATTTTTGTACCCATTAACAACCCCCCCCCTCCCCACCCCCCACCATCCTTCCCAGCCTCAGCCTCTGATAACCATCCATCTATTCTCTGTCTCCATGAGTTCAATTGTTTTGATTTTTAGCCCCTAAAATAAGTGAGAACATGTGAAGTTTGTCTTTCTATGTCTGACTTATTTCATTTAACATAATAACCTCCAGTTCCATTCATTTTGTTGCAAAATGACAGTATCTAATCCTTTTTATGGCTGCATAGTACTCCATTGTATATATGCACCATATTTTCTTTATCCAATCATCTGTTGATGGACATTTAGGTTGCTTCCAAATATTGACGAGTGTGATCAGTGCTGCAACAAACATGGAAATGCAGATATCTATTTGATGTACAGATTTCCTTTCTTTTGGGCATATACCCAGCAGTGGGATTGCTGGATTATATGATAGCTCAATTTTAGTTTTTTTGAGGAATGTCCAAACTGTTCTTTATAGTGGTTGTACTAATTTACATTCCCATCAACAGTGTACAATGCTTCCCTTTTCTCCATATCCTTACCAGCATTTGTTATTGCCTGTCTTTTGGATATAAACCATTTTAGCTGGGGTGAGGTAATATCTCATTGTAGTTTTGATTTGCATTTCTCTGATGGTCAGTGATGTTGAGCCCCTTTTCATATGCTTATTTGCCATTTGTATGCCTTATTTTGAAAAATGTCTATTCAAATCTTTTGCCCATTTTTAAGTGGGATTATTCGATTTTTTAAAAGAAAGTTGTTTGAGCTCCTTATAAATTCTGATTATGAATCTCTTGTCAGATGGGTAGTTTGAAAATATTTTCTCTCATTCTGTGGGTTGTCTCTTCACTTTGTTGACTGTTTCCTTTGCTGTGCAGGAGCTTTGTAACTTGATGGGATCCCAGCTGTTCATTTTTGCTTTGGTTGCCTGTGCTTGTGTGGTATGACTCAAGAAATTTTTGCTCAGACCAATGTCCTAAAGTTTCCCCAATGTTTTCTTTTAGCATTTTCATAGTTTGAAGTCTTATATTTAAGTCTTTAATCCATTTTGATTTGATTTTTGAATATAGCGAGAGATAGCAGTCTAGTTTTATTCTTCTGCATGTGGATATCCAGTTTTTTAAGCACAATTTATTGAAGAGACTGTTCTTTCCGCAATGTATGTTCTTGGCATCTTTATTGAAAATGAGGTCTATGTAGGTGTGTGAATTTGTTTCTGGGTTCTCTATTCTGTTCCATCAGTCTGTGTGTCTGTTTGTATGCCAGTATCATGCTGTTTTGTTTACTATAGCTCTGTAGTATTATTTGAAGTCAGGTAATGTGATTCTTCCAGTTTCATTCTTTTTGCATAGGATAGCTTGGGCTATACTGGGTCTTTTGTGGTTCCATATAAATTTTAGAATTGTTTTTTCTATTTCTATGAAGAATGTCTTTGGTATTTGGATAGGGATTGCATGGAATCTGCAGATTGCTTTGAGTACTATGGAAATGTTAACAATATTGATTCTTCCAATCCATGAACATCAAATATCTTGCCATTTTTTGGTGTCCTCTTCAGTTTTTTTCATCAGTTTTTAGTTTTCATTATAAAGATCTTTCACTACTTCAGTTACATTAATTTAAAGTCTGGGCCCATTTGTGTCCATTTTTCTTGGGAAGGTGTTTCAGGTCTTCTAAGGGACTTGGGCCTGCGACCCTATAATGCTGCAATTCTTGAAGACTTCTAGAGAAAGGTACTGCCTTGGTGGTCCTGGTTAAAGTCTGGAAGAATTCTCTGAATTGCCAGGCCGAGACTCTCGTTCTTTTTCCTTACTTTCTCCCAAACAAACAGAGTCTCTCTCTCTCCCTGTGCTGAGCCTTCTGGAACTGGGGCAGGAACACAACATCCCCATGGCCACTACCACTGGGACTGTGCTAGTTGAGACTTGAAGCCAGCACAACACTGAGTCTTACCCAAGGCCTGCTATAACCACTACTTGGCTACCACCTAAGTTCACTCAAAGCTTTAGAGTCTACAATCAGCAGGTGGCAAAGCCAGCCAGGTTTGTGTCCCTCTCTTCAGGGCAGTGAGCTCCCCCAGGCCTCAGGTGGGTCCAGAGATGCTGTCTTGGAGCCACGGATTGAAGTAAAAAACCTTAGAACTTTAGCTGGTGTTCTATTCTACTGCAGCTAAGCTGGTACTCGAACCACAAGACAAAGTCCTTCCCACTCTTCCCTCCCATTTCCATTGGCCAAGGAGTCTCTCCCTGTGGCCACCACAACCACCAACCCATGGGGGCTTTTGCCAGGCCACCACTGATGTTCACTTAGAGCCCAAAGGCCCTTCAGTTGGTTAATGATGCATGCTTCCAGGCCTGGGACTCACTCTTCAGGACAGTGGACTCCTCTCTGGCCCAGGGCAGGTCCAGAAATGCTAACCAAGAGCCTAGGCCTAGACTCAGGGACCCTAAGAGCCTGGTTGGTGCCCTACCCCACCGAGGCCAAGCAGTCACCTCAGGTGCCAGAGAGAGTCCCCTTTACTTTTTTCCCCTGCTTTTAATAGAAAGAGTCTTTCACCATAGCCACCACAGCTAGGAATGTGCGAGGTCACATCTGAAGCCAGCACATCTCAGAGCCCAAGGCTCTGGGTATTGCTGTTGGGTATTCAGGGCCATGGGGCTCTTTGGTCAGCAAGTGCTGACTCCTGCCAGGTCTCTGCTGTGACAGATCAGCACTGAGTTCAATGTAAAGTCCCCCAGTTGCTGTGCTCTCCCTTTACCAAGCACACCGATTTCTCCATGCCACACACCCACTGCTGGAGGATGAAGGAGAGGTGGCACAAGCACTCCCTTAGCCACCTAGCTTGTGTCTCAGTAGGTCATGTGTCTCCCAGTCCACCGGCTCTGAACCCAGCTCAGCACTAGGGCTTGCCTAGGAATTGCAGTCCTTGTGGCCTAGGCTGTCCCTCAAGTTCATTTAAAGTCCCAGAGCATTCCAGCCTGCAGTGGTGAGGCTCGCTGGAACTCAAGCTCTCACCACTGGGATGGGCAATTACCCTTTGGCCTGGGCCTGTCCAAATGTTCCCTCTGCTTTCTGCTGTGACAGGGCAGCACTGAGCTCAATGCAAAGCCTCATAATTGCTGCACTCTCCCTCTCCCAAGTGCCCACATTCTCCAAGCTGCATGGCTACTGCTGGGGGATGGGAGAGGATGGTGTCAGCATTCAAGACTATCTTTCTTGCCCTCTTTACTGTCTTCTTCAGTGATATGAAGTTAAAACCAGGTATTGTGATTGCTCACCTGATTTTTGATTCTTGTATTAGTGCCTTTTGTGTGTAGTTAATTGTTAAAATTTGCTGTTCCTTTGGGGTGGGGGACCAATGCTATAGACTTCTATCAGGCCTCTTGCTCTGCCTCCTGTATCTAACCAGGTTAGTTTTGATACTACCTGTTAACATAGGAAGTAAAGGTGCAGGAGTCTGATACAGGCAGATGAAATAAAGATTGGAAGGTTGATTTGTGTATTAGAGATACTTATGGGACAACCAAATACAATGGAATCATAGTTGAATTCAACAGTGAAAGCAGGTCAAGAAATGGAGAAAAATGAGAAATCCAACATGTTGCTTTCCTAAGGAGTTTCAAGAGAAATTGTGACCAAATATGATGTTTGGCTTCTGTGACAGAGCAGCACTGACTTTAAAATTTAACTTCCAAGTCATTGGCATAGGACTGAAGCTAGGGGATCCAGGAGGGAGGTTGAGAAGGGAGGTCTGCCATGCATGCGGCAGTCTCAGTGGCAGTTGAAGCAGCAGGAGTCGATGAACTCTGAAGAGAAAATGCATTAAGCAGAAGCTGAGGGCAATGCTCTGGAGGATGCTAGTGTTTAAGGGGAAGACAAACAGGAGGGAAAAAGAGATACAGGAAGAATAGTCAGAGAAGGAAAGGAACCCAGAAATGCTGGCTTTCACAGATGCCAGAGGTCAGAGGGTGACCAAGTAAGAGGAAGACAGAACGAGTGCCCCAGCCCAGGAAGACTGAGGGTTTTCTGTGGGAGATTTAGTCGCTTCTTGCTCTGTGGTGTCAACTGTGGCCTGCTCTCAGGCTAAGACAGTAAACCGTCCTGAAACTCGTCTCTGCCACTCTCTTCTTAAGAGTCAACACCCTTCCAGACCTGGCCTGCTTCTCCTCCCTCTCCAGCGCCCTTCAGTAGTTGTCTTTTTGTGTTTTGTCCAGAGTTTATAGTTATTATCCCTGGACAGATCTGTCTGGTAGGAGCTTCCTCAGCTATACCACTGTCATTTTAAAAAGTCTGTCATGAGACTATGTTCATTGGCTCACATGCTTTGAGGAACACTTCCTTTCATTCTCAGGGTCTAATGCTAATATAAAATGTAAGTACATTTAAGTACGTCTGTGCTTAGAGGCCTCTGAGGAGAGGGCAAAGGAGGAATGCTTTGCTTTAAGTGGGTTATTCTTATTAATTTAATTAATTAATTATTAGTTAATTAATAATTTATTCTTATTAATATAATATACCATTCAATCCAACCATTTAAAGTCTACAATTCAGTAGTTTTTAGTATATTCATAGATAATGTAACCATCACTGCAGTCTGTTTTAGGACATTTTTGTCATCTCAAAACAAAACTCTGTACCCTTTAGCTACCACGCAATCTCTCCCCATCTCCTCACCCCTAGCCCCAAGCAGCCACTAATCTATTTTCTTTCACTGTAGATGTACCTATTCTAGACATTCTGTATGACCATATGTGGTATTTTGTGACTGGCTTCTTTCCCTTAGCATATGTTTTTAAGGTTTACTCACATTGTAGCACATATTAATACTTCATTCCTTTTAATGGCTGAACAATATTTCATTGTATGGATATACCATAGTTTATCCATTTGTCAATTGATAGACATTTGGGTTATTTCCACCTTTTGGCTATTATCTATAATCCTGTTATGAATATTTGTGTGTATGTTTTTGTGGGGACATACATTTTCACTTCTCTTGGGTATATACCAAGAGTGGAATTTTGTGTCACTTATGTAACTGCTCCTATATGCTATTTTGTTTATATGTAGGCAAACTTTAGGAAGTGGGGGTTTTCCCACGCATCTTCAAAATCATTCTTTTAACAATTCAAGATGCAGAAAACAAATAACCTCATTATAAAGTGGGCAAAATACATGAACAGATGCTTCTCAAAATAAACATACAAGTGTCCAACAAACATATGAAAAAATGCTCAACATCACTAATCATCAGAGAGATACAAATCAAAACCACAGTGAGATACCATCTCACACCAATCAGAATGGCTATTACGAAAAAGTCAAAAAACAACAGATGCTGTTGAGAAAAGGTATGCTGTTGGTGGAAATGTAAATTACTTCAGTCACTGTGGAAAAAACTTTTGAGATTTCTCAAAGAACTTCAAATGGAACTACCATTTGACCCAGCAGTCTCATCACTGGGGATATAGCCAAAAGAAAATAAATCATTCCACCAAAAAGACACACACACTCATATATTCATGGCAGCACTATTCACAATAACAAAGACACGGATTCAGCCTAGGTGTCCATCAGTGGTAGATTGGATAAAGAAAACATGGGAGACATACACACACACACACACACACACACACACACACACACACACCCCATGGGATACTATGCAGCCATAAAAAAGAATGAAATCATGTCCTTTGCAGCAAAATGGATGTAGCGGGAGGCCATTAGCTTAAGCAAATTATCACAGGAACAGAGAACCAAATACCACATGTTCTCACTTATAAGAAGGAGCTAAACATTGAGTGCTCATGGTCATAAAGATGGGAACAATAGACACTGGGGACTACTAGAGTCTACTACTAGAGTCTCATGGTCATAAAGATGGGAACAATAGACAACTGGGGACTATGGAGGAGGGCAAGGGTTGAAAAACTGTTGGCTACTATGCTCATTACTTGGGTGATGGGATCATTTGTATCCCAATCCTCAGCATCACATAATATACACATGTTACAACTTGCACATGTACCTGAATCCAAAATAAAAGTTGAAATTTATAAAAAAGAGAAAAAAATTAAAAACATTCTTTTAATAAATTCTGTACCAGATGATTTAATATAGCCATATTGAAGTAATATCTGTCCAAATAAATATTCCTTATTTTGTAACTGAGATGTTTGTTGTTGTAATGAGCAATACAAGCATTTTATATCTTTGTTTTAAAAACCTCATTAAATTGCTTACTTTAAAAAATGCTCTGTTTGGTTTGAGTTTATAACTTTGTGCTCATACAAAGTTTTGTAGTTATTTCTGTGTACATTAGGGTTGCTAAGGGATGCTGAGATATCAGTGGTGTATAAATAACAGGAGCTCTAGCTTCAAAAGCCAAGGAGATAATAATGAGAAGATTATTGATTAGAAAAGATAAAAGCCTTATGCTAACAAACACAGATGTACTACGTGTCTCTAATTTTGTCTGTTGTGGTTTCCCTCATGCAAAAAGTCAAGATGGTAAAACGATTTCTGAAGATACGAGAGGTGGGTTGTCAAATAATTGTATTAGCAGCAGGCTATAGAAGAAAGCAGTAGTAAATTGTTTTTCAACCCAACCACTAAACTGAAGCTAGAGCTACAAAGGTTGTTTAGTTTTGTATTTCTCAACTCGGCAGATAGTCTGAGTTGTCCATATGGTTCCAAAGATTTGGACTCTAAAACAAGGACTCAGGTTCTTCAAAGAGAAATTGAAAAATAAGAAAGTTAAATTATATGTAGATTTTTATTTCATTAGTTATAGTCTGATACTGATGGTCCATATGACAAAGAAGAAAGAGCATGCAACTTGGCACTAGAAAGTCTGGCTTTAGGGTTTTACTCTTCCATTTACTAGACATGGGAGTTTAGGTAAGATGCTTTATTTTCTACATGAGATAATTCTTTTTTGTATCACAGAATTGTTATGGAAGTCAAATGAAATGTTTGTGAAAGTGTTTTTATAAGTGATAAGTTCATTATAGTAGTAAAGAATTTGTTTTATTTGATTATGAATAATTATCATCAGATAATTATTTTAATAAATAGTCATATTATACCCAAGTAACAATTAACTAAACATGCATTTTGTCTCACATTAACTCTGTCCATAAGAATTAAAACCTTTGTGCTATGACCTGTTGTCATAGTAACCCCATGATCCATAACCCCATAGCCCTAGAATCAGGCTGTTGCTGCAAGATATTTGAATTGCCTAAAAGTAGCTAGGAAGAAATAAAGTTGACCAACAGTTGGATTTGTAACGTGATGGCAAGTTTGACAGGCCTTTTATTCTTAGGCCTGAGATTTACTTTCAGAGACTAATTTCTTTCTTATAAGAACTAAACCTGCAATGGTTTGTGCTGCCTTCATGTGACAACAAGTGTCACTTTATGCCATAGAGTACTTTGAGATTGAACTGATACCTTCCTCAAATTTTACATATACATATATAATTATTTACTATATTATAAATTCACAATATTATGTATTATAATTATATATTATATTATATATTATAAATATACATCATCATGCAACATTTAAAGTAAAATTATTTTGATATGTTGAGAAACATTTAAAAGAAACAAAATTAGCTATAATGTAATACTATTCACCCCTTTAACAAATATGTATTGAGTGTCTGTTATATGCAACACAGTGTGCTATAGGTATTGGGGACAGCAGTGAATAAAGCCTACCCTCAGGGACTCCACAGTGAGGGAAGAAGGCATGAAACAAATGATCACTTCATTAAGTAATTACAACAGAGTTTACTGCTATGTGGGAAGAGACAAGGTGCTAAGAGAACTTACGACAGGGACAGAAACTGGGCTGAGATGAGGGAAGATTCCCTAGGGAGTAAGTAGTACTTTAAACATGAAATCCACAATAAGGATGTTGATATAAGAGAGTGACAGGGTCTGGTTGTAGCATTTATTTATTTATTTGTTTATTTATTCATTCATTAAGCCCTTTTAATGAGGTATGATTGGCATACAAAAAGCTGCACATATTTAATGTATCACAACTTGATGAGTTTGGAAACAAGTATATACCTGTGAAATCATCACCACAATTTCTGCAATAAACATATCCATCACCTCCAAAAGTTTCCTCACATCTTTATTATTTTTTTCCATGATAAGAACATTTTGCATAAGATCTGCCCTTTTAACAAATGTTTAAGTACCCAAAGAAGTATTAACCATAGTCACTATGTTGTATAGTCATCTCTAGAACTTATTTATCTTATATTACTGAAACTTTATACCCTTGGATATCGCCTTATTTCCTCTTCCCCTCTGGCAATCGCCATTCTGCTTTCTGCTTCTATGAATCTATTTTAGATTTCTCATATGAGTGTGATCATGTAGTATTTGTCCTTAGCATAATGGCCCCCAGGTTCATCCATGTTGCCACAAGTGATAAGATTTTCTTCTTTTTTAAGGCCAAATGATATACCATTGTGTGTATGCCACATTTTTAAAATTTATTCATCTATCAGTGGACATTTAGGCTGCTTCCATGTCTTGGCTATTGTGAATAATGCTGCACGGAACATGGGAGTGCAGATAGGAGATCCTGATTTCAATTTTTTGGATGTATACCCAGAAGTGGGATTGCTGGATCATGCGATAGTTCTATTTTTAATTTTTTTGAAGGACCTTCCATTCTGTTTTCCATAGTGGCTGCATCAATTTACATTCCTACTAACAGTGTACAAGGGTTTCAATTTCTTCACATTATCACCAACATCTGTTATCTTTTGTTTTTGGTAATAGCCATCATAACAACCATGATGTGACATCTCTTTATCATTTTGATTTGCATTTCGCTAATGACTAGTGATTTGAGCACCATCTCATATACTTACTGGCTACTGGCTCTGCGTATGTGTCTTCTTTGGAGAAATGTCTATTCAGATCCGTTGCCTGTTAAAAAAATCAGGTTACCTTTTTTTTTGCTATTGATTTGTGAGTTTCTTATTTTTACATATTTTGAATATTAACTCTTGATCAAATATGTGGTTTACAAATAATTTCTCTCATTTTTTAGGTCCACTCAACCTCTGTTGATTGTTTTGCTGTGCAAAGTTTTCAGTTTGATGTAACACTGCTGGTCTTTTTTTTTTCTTTGTTGCCAGTGCTTTTTATGTCATGTCTAAGAAATCCTTGTTAATAGGATTAACAAGAATAAGTACTTGGGAATAAACATAACTAAGGAAGGGAAATATTTTTACACTGAAAACTATAAAATGCTGATAAAAGAAATTAAATCAGACACAAATAAATGAAAAGACATTTAATATTCATTGACTGGAGGAATTAATATTGTTAAAATGTCCATACTACCCAGAGTGATCTATAGATTCAATGCAGTCCCTAGCTAAATCCCAGTGGCATTTTTCAGATAAAACAATCCTAAAATTCATTTGGAGCCACAAAAGATCCCAAATACCCAAAGCGATTTTGAGCAGAAACGACAAAGATAGAGGCATCAAATGTGCTGATTTCAAACTATATTATGAGGCTACAGCAATCAAAGCAGTATAGCACTAGAATAGAAACAGACATATAGACCAATGGAACAGAATATAGAGCCCAGAAATAAATCCACATGTATATGGTCATTGGATCTTCAACAAAGGTGTGAAGAGTACACGAGGGGGAAAGAATACTCTCTTTGACAAATGGTGTTAGGAAAATTGCATATCCACATCCAAAAGGATGAAATGGGACCCTTATCTTATACCATCATACCAAAATCAAGTCAAAATGGATTAAAGACTAAAACATAAAACTGGAAACCATAAAACTCCTAGAAGAAAACATCGGAAAAAAAAGCTCTTTCAAGGTCTTGGAAATGATTATCTTGGTTGGGACTTTTAAAAGGTGTCATTGGCAGCTGTATGGAGAAAGCGTTTCAGCTTTAAAAGGTGTCATTGGCAGCTGTATGGAGAAAGGGTTACAGCTGAGTATGTGGCAGGGAGTCCTATAAATGTATGGGGTATGGTCTGAATTAGTTTTTTCAAACTATTCTTCATCTCAATTTATTCACCCAAGTTATGTTCCAAAAATTCTCATTAGAATTCTCCTGACTTTTTCTTTCTCAGCCTGTCGAAGACTTGGTTTTAAATATTCATCTGCTTATTCACTCATCCATATATATCTAAAACAAATTTATTTTAGCCATAAGCTTATGAAAACTAGCTTAAAATTACATTTCTAGTTTTCTTAATATGATGGAAAATGTATGTGTGGCTTCTTAATTTTTTGAGTAAATGAGGAAAAAAGAAAAATTATAGTGGTATGTAGACTATAGAAAGTTTAATAAACCATTCATTTTTCTTGAATTCGATAAAAATATTTCTCTTCAGAAATGACCTTTCTCCTCAAAAATGCTAGATGAACTGGAGATCATTGAATTTAAATACAGTTTTCTCTTAGCAAATTTCTCAGCAGTTTGTGGCTTTTACAAGAATTTGGAGTTAAAAGAATCTTAACTTCCTAACTTATAATGTATTCTTAGTATCACTTAAAAATAGAAAACCTCCCAAATTCTTGTTTCTTCACACCCAAAATTTAAGATTCTCTATGATCTTTCATGACCTGACTCCACATTACTTAAGACTTCAAATTCTTTGAATAAATCTGGCTTTCTGTTGCAGATTCACCAGCGGAGGATTCTCAAGCATGACAATTTTTTTTCTTTAACTACTGAGGCCCGAGGTTATATGTTATGTCTAAAGCTTTTTGAAATGGTAGTCTAAAGCCTTGTTCTCAAGTGTGGCCCATGGACGAGCAGCATCAGCATCACTTGGAAGTTTGTGTAAAATGCAGAATCCAGAATCTCAGTCCCCACTCCAAACCTGCTGAATTTGAATTCTAACAAGAACCACCCCAGATGATTCCTATACCTCTATCAGTCCCCTTCTGATCATCTCTTTCACTTCTTTTCATACTCCTATATCTGTACTTAGCAAGCCCACCAGTGTCTTTTTATCCAATGTGCTGCATTGGAAACCAATGTGTATTTGAACGAGACTTTGAAATGAAGAACCTATGTTTCTCTCTGTGTCTGTGTACATCAATTCATGGTAAGAATGTTCATTGTTAGTTGGTGCCAGCAATGCTTTCTTCTCCCCAGATGTGCTATGCGCATATGATCTTCCTCAGTGTTGAGTACTACTTTCATCTCATTATGCTCTTCAACTATGCCTTCATATTGTCACCTCTGATTATCCTTCAGTATCTCTGCCTGCTGTTTCTCATTTTCCTTAAGCTAACCTTTCTTTAACTGTCCATTAAATGGCATTAAAAAGAGCTGTCTGTCCTCAGCTGTCTTCTCACTTTACACTGATACCCCTCTTGGCAATATCAGCCATTTCCATTAGTCCATTCATCATTCATACGTTCAACGAATATTTATGGAGCCCTACACTGGTGCTAGGTGTTCTGCTCGGGGATTGATGTATAGATGCATGGGACAGACAGTTCCACTTGAGTGCATATGTGCTACAATATAACCAGTGCGTGCTCTGGGAACACAAAGGAGGGACAGCATTGTGGGGGAGTCTGGTGAGGCATCTGGAGGAAATCATCAGATTGCTTCAGATTTGGGCTTTTTCCCCCCTGAATGTTTCACAGGCCCTTTATATTCAATAAAGTGTAACAACAACAACAACAACAACAACAGGCTTCTACAAATCTATTTTTCATTCTCTGTTATCTATTGTTTTAGTCAAGATTGGCTAGACTCTGTCATGTAACAACAGCAAATCCCCCAATACTGGTGATTTACAAACAACAATAGTTAATTTATTACAATACTACATGTCCTTTGCAAGATGGCAGGGGGCCTGTGCTCATCGAGGTCCTTCAGGGTCCAAATTGATGAACTAGCCACCATCTTGAGCCTTTGTGATGATTGTGTCAGAGCTCTGAAGGCTCTTACATCAGCAATTAAATGCTTCTGCCTAGAAGCAACACTTTTTAGTTTTGCTTATAGCCTTGAACTTGAAGCAAGGCCTCACTCAAGAGGCCAGAGAATGCAATGCTCAGCTTATGCCCCAGTAGAAGGAGAGAGAACTGGAAATATTTGATGAACAACACTAACGATATGACACCAATTCAGTTGGGGATATGTTTGTTTACTACATTATTCAAACCAGAGACCTCGAAGGGACCTTTCTCTCATGTTCATATGATTTTGCATCTTTGGAGCTTTCTCCTAATGTTCCCTTTGTCCATAGGGTTTTTGCGTTGGCTAAGGCCTTACTCTTTTCTCACTTGGAGTATTACAATAGCCTTCTAACTACCCTCTAAACTTTTAAACGTCACCCTGCTGCCAAAGTGATCATTCTAATATGTTTCACCCTATTTAAGACCTTTCTAAAATTTTCTATCACAAGGTAAATTCCAAGCCTTGTACAAGACCTATCCTGTCTGGTGTCTCTTCCCTTTTCAGTCTTTTCTCTTACCAGGCTCCTGTGTACTAGCCATGTTTTTAAATTACTTGCTGCTGGGCCTTTTCATATGTTTTTCCCTTGGCTTTATCTAGAAAATGTTTCACTTCCTCTTGCCACGCCACTCTCCTCCCCACAAATACTTTGCTTAAACCTAGAAAATCCCTAATCATCTTTTAAGATTCACATTTAGGATACTCGTCTCTAAACAGGCTTTCCTGACTTTTTCAAATGGAATGAGGACTATCTCTCTACTTTTTGCTACCAGATTGTCCTAGGCATATCATTCTCAAAGCACTTGTACCATAGTTTATATTAATATTTTTTAGATTGCCTGCCCGTCTCCCTCAACTAATCTATAAACATCTTGATAGTAAGGACCTCTTACTAAATATTGTGTTCTCAGCAGAGTAAGTATGAAGTTCTTGGCACATAGAAAATGCAAAGTAAATGTGTTTCACATGGCTAAAGATACAAAGCTAAGAAATTAATTTTAAAATCACATTATAGGAAGATAAATTCTGCAAGCACATAATGGTTGACTTTTAAAACCTGTATGTTTTGTCCAGAATGAAAAGTGTGTGTATATGTATATGTCTATTTGCCATGTCCCAACTCAAATCTTGAGCAAGCTAATTCACTCTCATAAACTTCAGTTTCCATCTCTCTAAAACTCTGTCAAACGATTAATTATATTATCTGTTTTATAGGATTATTGGAAGGTTAACTCAGTTGATGCCTATAGTGAGGGAACTTAGCAAGGTGCTTGTATTAATTTTTTATTGCTCCTGTAACAAATTACCACAAACTTGGTAGCTTAAAAAGATAGTACAAATTTATTATCTTAGAGTTAAGAAGTTCAAAATAGGTCTCACTGGGCAAAATTTAGGTGTTCCTTCTGCAGACTCTATGGGACAATCTATTCTCTTGCTTTTTCTAGCTTCTAGGGCTTCCTGCATTCCTTGGCTTGTGGCTCTTTCCATCTTCAAAACAAGCAATGGTCCATTGAGTTTTTCTCACAGTTCATGACCCTGACACATACTCTCTTATCTCCCTCTTCTGCTTATAAAGACCCTTGTGATTACATTGGGCTCACCTGAATAATCCAGGATAGTCTCTTCATCTCAAAATTTTTACTTCAATCACATCTGCAACATCCCTTTTACCACGTAAAGTATGTAAAGCAGAATATTCACAGGTTCTAGGAATTGGGATGTGGCATCTCTGGGGGAGCATTATTCTGTCTACCACAGTGCCCAATCTCTTCATTACAAGGAATCAGTAAAGTTTGACTATTATTATTATTAGAATTATATACTATTTCTTAAATATCATTACATTTTTTTTGGCTATAGAGCTGAAACACTTTTGAGCCAGACTATCTTAATACAATGTGACTTTCTATTAATAATTTAGCACGAAAAAGCCATAGTTTTCTCACTCCAAATGTGGGTTAAGTGATTCACTTCTGAAAGTTAGCCATTTTGTGACACTGGGATCCACTTATAGTAAAATGAAATTGATATTTATCTAAAAGTACCTTAGCAGTCCTAAAGAAGACAATTTTATTGTCATTACCATCAATGTGTAGTAATGACTAACAGTTACGGAGAACTTAGTGCCAAAAGCCATTCGAAGTGTTTATATAGGTATTGACTGATTTGATCCCAATGTTGTAGGACTTTCTCCTTAGTTCACCTAAAAGCTGGGCTCTTGTTACACAGCCATGAAAGATTAGGCTCACAGACACTTTGAACGGTGAGAAAACTGGAATTTATCGGGCTAAAAGGGGAAAAAAAAGGGAAACAGGGACTCTCAGCAAAATGACAGTCCTGCTAGCCAGTTTCCTGCCTCACAAGTTGAGTCCCAAATACCACCCCGGAACAGGAGAGGCCAGGCTCCTCACCTCTGCAAACGGTGTGAACCTCCTGAGGCTCCACCCCAGTGCACGCTCCTCCCAGTGCGCAGGCCAGTCGGGGGTTCTGCCGGGGAGCCATTTTTACTTGGCTGTCTCACCACAGCCAGCCCCATGAAGAGGTATTTTATTTTTCCTTCCTTTATGGCAGTTAAGACTTTGTCCAAAGTTTCAGGGCAAGTGGTAGAGATGGGATTTAAACCTGTACTTTTAACCATAGCACAATAAACATAGAAATGTAGAAAAGAATGAGGCAGTATTAGAAGAATAAATACTCTACTTTGGGCTAATATCTCTTAGCAGTATTATTATTATTTTTTTGAGACGGAGTCTCGCTCTGTCTCCCAGGCTGGAGTGCAGTGGCGCGATCTCAGCTCACTGCAACCTCCACCTCCCGGGTTCATGCCATTCTCCTGCCTCAGCCTCCCGAGTAGCTGGGACTACAGGCGCCCGCCACCACACCCGGCTAATTTTTTTTGTATTTTTAGTAGAGACGGGGTTTCACTGTGTTAGCCAGGACGGTCTCTATTTCCTGACCT